>NC_000002.12:15224851-15531607 GCF_000001405.40 Homo sapiens
GCACACTTTCCTCACTACATATGCAGCGGGTGGGGCAGACACTTCCCAGGAGAATGTCTTCTATTTATCAGCTCCCATGAAACAATCGGGGAACTGGCAAGGAATAAGAACTGCAAATAAACAAATGTGTAAATGGTACCGTAGTAATATAAAAAGGGTGAATTTAGGAAAATCATAATCAAGGTATATTAAAAGAAAAATGCCTGGAATGGTAAGGATGTTGGTATGCACACAATTCCAATCTCAAAGCTTGACTCCTGATAAATACAAATAATCTCCTTGTGGCTGCTCTCAAATATATGCCAACCTAGAATATCTTCCTGGGTTCTTGGAGAACTGTAGGCATAATTAAAAAACAAAACAGAGTATCTTCCTGGGCTTCACTTATCAGTGAAAGGGTGGACACACCTTGCTGTAACATGGCAGAGTGGATACTCATAAATATGGCCTGAAGTGATACAGAAATATTGCGGTAACAGAGTGGATCCACCATCCTGGATTGTGACGACAGCTTTCAGGAGGGCTCAACCTCACGAAACATAAGGCCTCATGCACTGCAGGTGCTCAGAGAACACTGGATGATCTACTTTGCCTCACAGAGCAGGAAGAAGGAAAAAAAATCAGATTCAATTTGCTCTAGGTGGGCCGTTCTTTCTTCTCTTTTATTTTTCCTCTCCTTTTCACTTTAAAAACAATGTGCAATCCCTAGATAACAGCAAAGAGTTTAATAAAGTCTGAATTATGTGACATTGTTCAATATTTATATGAAACTTTAAGGCAGCTGAAGCTGAGACTGTGGTGAAGTAGCAATTTAAACAATCAAACCCCCCCAAAAAACTCAATAGTTTTGAAGTAAATCTTTCTTCTTTTTTTGAATATTGCACAGAGGAATTCTGCATTAATTACCTGTTATCTGAGTGAATTTAATGCTATAAATCCTTTTGAGAATGACAAATATACTGGCTCACGCTTGTGGGACATTCCTGTTAGGAAGTTTTTTAAAGCTAGATGAAGGCAAGAAGTAGAAAGGGAAATAAGGCAAAGGCAGAGAGAAGCATGTCAAAGAGACAAGGTAAGACCTTGCTACTCAAAGTTCTTCCATGGACTGGGTATCACTTGGGAGCTGGTTAGAAATGCAGAATTTCAGACCCCACCCAGACCTACTCTATCAAAATCTGTATTTTAATAAGATCTCCAGGCAATTCCTATGCAGAATTAAGTGTGAGAAGCACTGCTTTACTTTCCTGTGCTGGCTCTTAGTGTCAAAAAGAGGTGATATGGTGAGAGAAATGCATACCTCTCTGAGCTTCATTTCCTAATCTGTAAAATTCAGATGACAATTTCTGTATGATAAGGTTGTTCTGAGGACTAAGGGAGTTACTGAATAGCACCTTTCCAAAGTCTTGGCATAGAGGAATTAGATGTTCATTAGGATTTTTTGTTTGTTTCCTTGTTTTTAAAATATTTGACAGCAGTATTTTCTTAATTCCAGGTTTGACAGATATATGCTTTTAGAACATTCTTAGTGTTGAATTTTTTTTAAAGAAAACTTACTTTTCTTAAGCAAACAAATTCTTAACACGAACTAGAAATTGATATTTTCTTCTTGAAATATGATGTTATAAATACACATAAATAATAAGAGACAGCATACACATTTATAGATTTCTTTTATGAAAGAAATTTCATATGCACAAATAATTAATTCCTTTGTCCTACCTTTAATTGTAGATGTATGAAAGGTCTTTGGCATGATTTAAAATCCTTAAAACACTCAACTCTCATGTCTAGAGGCAAGAACGTGGTTAAACTGAAAAGAAAGCCATCTGTACAGGTGGCCTGTCTAGGTGTTATAATTTTAACACAAAATTAGCACAGATAAAGGAAGAGGAAAAGAGAGCTTTTTGGGAGAGGCAGGAGCTGCAGTGAAAGAGCAAATGATTCTAACACTTTTTTTGTGGAGTCGTCAGGATTTTCTACATAGATGATCATGCTATGTGCAAACGTGGACAATCTGACTTCCTCCTTTCCCATTTAGATGCCTTTTACTTCCTTCTCTTGTCTTATTGCTCTGAATAGAACTTCTAGTGTGATGTGTTGAATAAAAGTGGTGAAAATGGGCATCCTTGTCTTGTTCCAAACCTTGGAGGAAAAACTCAATTTTTTCTCATTAAGTATGATGCTATGGGTTTGACACAGATGGCCTTTACTGTATTATGTTCCTTCCATATTTAGCTTGTTGAGTTTTATCATGAAGGAATATTGAATTTTATGGAATGCTTTTTCAGCATCTATTAATGAATTTGGTCAAGCTGCAGATATAAAATCAACATACAAAAATCAGTAGCATTTCTATATGCCAATAGCAAACAATCTGAAGAAGAAAGAAAGCAATTTCATTTACAAGTCAGCTGTGAAAAAAATACCTAATAATATACTTAACCAAGGAGGTAAAAGACCTCTACAATGAAAACTATAAAACACTGATGAAAAAATGGAAGAGGACACAAATAAATGGAACGATATTCCATGTTCATGGATTAGAAGAATACTGTTAAAACATCCATAATACCCAAAGTGATTTACAGATTCAATGCAATCCCTATCAAAATATCAATGGCACTCTACACAGAAACAGAAAAAAAAAATCTTAAAATTCATATGGAAAGGCAAAAGACCCTGGATACCTAAAACAAACACAGCTGGAGGCATCACACTGCTTGACCTCAAAATATACAACAAAGCTATGGTAACCCAAACAGCATGGTAGTGGCATAAAAACAGATACATATACAAATGGAACATAATAGAGAACCCCAAAATTAATCCATGCATTTACAGCAACTGATTTTTGACAAAGGCTCCAAGAACACACACTGGGAAAAGTACAGTCTCTTCAATAAATGGTGCTGAGAAAATTAGATAACCACACGAAAAAGAATGAAACTGGACTTCTATCTCTCACCATATATTACAAATATCAACTATAAATGAATTAAAGACTTAAATGTAAAACCCAAAAATATGAAACTAGTAGAAGAAAACACAAGACAAAAGTATTATAAAATTGGACTGAGAAAAGATATTTTGAATAAGACCCCAAAAGCTCAGGCAACAAAAGCAGAAACAGACAGATGGAATTACATCAAACTAAAAAGCTCTGTTATGTCAAAGGAAACAATCAATAAAGTGAAGAGACAGCCTACAGAATTGGAGAAACTATTTGTAAACTATACATCAGATAAGGCGTTAATATTCAGGATATACAAGGAACTCAAACAACTCAATAGCAAAAATATAAATAATCTGACTTAAAAGGAGCAATAGTGACCTGAAGTGAAATAGACCTGAAGTGACATTTCTCAAAAGAAGACATGCAAATACCCAATAAATATATGAAAAAAAATGCTCGACATCACTAATCATCAGGGAAATGCAATCAAAATGACAGTGAGTTTTCATTTTCCCCGAGTTAAGAAAAAAAATAACTAATGCTGGCCAGGGTGCAGAGAAAAGTGGACCCTTATACACTGTTGGTGGGAACATAAATTAGTCGCTGTTAGGGAAAACAGAATGGAGGTTCCCCTAAAAATTGAAAATAGGACTACCATTTGATGCAGCAATCCCGTTACTGAGTATACATCCAAAGGGAATAACATCAGTATGTTGAAGAAACTTCTGCACACCCATGTTTATTGCAGTACTATTCATAATAGCCAAGATACAGAATCAACCTAAATGCCCATCTAAAGATTAATGGGTGAAGAAAATGTGGTACATATAAATACCATTCAGCCACAAAACAGTGAAATCCTGTCATTTGCAGTAACATGGATGAACCTGGAGGACATTATGTTAAGTGAGATGAGCCAGGCACAGAGACAAATACCACACGATCTCACTCATATGTGGAATCTAAAAGATTTCATGGAAGTGAGAGTAGATTGGTGGTTGCTGGGAGTTGGGGAGCAGAGTGTGGTGTACTAGGAGAGGACGGTCAATAGGCACAAAGTTACAGTTGGGCAGGAAGAATAAGTTTTGGTGTCTTATTTATATAGTAGGATGAATTAGAGCAAATACCCATGTATTGTATATTTCAAGATCGCTAGAAGAATTTGAATGTTGTCACCACAAAGAAATGATACATGTTTAAAATGATGGATATGGTAATTATACCAATTTTATCATTCATTCATTGAAACATTACAGGTTGGGCGTTGTGGCTCATGCCTGTAATCCCAGCACTTTGTGAGGCCAAGGAGGGTGGATCACCTGAAGTCAGGAGTTCAAGATCAGCCTGGCCAACATGATGAAACCCCATCTCTACTAAAAATACAAAAATTATCCGGGCATGGTAGTGGGCACCTGTAATCCCGGCTACTCGGGAGGCTGAGGCAGGAGAATCACTTGAACCCGGGGGCAGAGGTTGCAGTGAGCCGAGATCCCATCACTGCATTCTGGCCTGGGTGACACTGCAAGACTCTGTCTCAAAAAACAAAAAAAAAAAAAAAAAAAAAAAAAAAGAACATTACATTGTACCACCTAAACGTGTACAATTATTGTGTGTCAATTATACAATATAAAAAATTAAATTTAAAAGAAGCAAATAATATTTGCATCAACATAAAAAGATAAAAGAGGACATGTGGGCCTGGCGCAGTGGCTCATGCCTGTAATCCCAACACTTTGGGAGGCCGACGTGGGTGGATCACCTGAGGTCAGGAGTTTGAGACCAGACTGACCAACATGGCAAAACCCCATCTCTACTAAGAATACAAAAATTAGCTGGACATGGTGGCAGGCAATTGTAATTCCAGCTACTCGGGAGGCTGAGGCAGGAGAATTGTTTGAACCAGGGAGGTGGAGGTTGCAGTGAGCCGAGACTGCGCCATTGTACTTCCAGCCTGGCCAACAAGAGCAAACTCCACGTAAAAAAAAAAAAGAAAAGAAAAAAAAAGAGGACGTGAAAAATGGCATAAATTGCTTAAAAATTAACCACAAAACCACATATTTGGTGGTGGCTGTCAACACATGCACTCAAATTCTTACTTTTTTATGCAGTCTCCCTGCCAGGAATATTGTGGGATAGTATATACATAACCCAAAAGCATGTAATGTGCTTTTGTGTGTGACATCTGAAGATGTATATGAGTGAGGTTATTGTCAAAACAGACACTATGGAGGGTAGTGGGTGTCCAGGTTATGAGTTTGGGACTGAGGGAGGCTTGGTATGTCAACAAGAGAAAGGGTGAGGGGCACATAAGGCCTGGCACGGGCTCCTAGAGGTTAGGCTGTCATGTCATGCCAAGGAATGAATAACTTGACAGCATTACTTTCAAAATCCACAATAACCATATCACTGCAAAGACCCTCCTTAGAACTACCTGGAAAACACAAACTGTCTCCCCTAGATGATTCTGCCAGGTGCATTATTGGGAAGGGAAACCCAAACAAAGGGTGTCAGGTTTAACTGTGCAGATTCAAAAAATACTTGCCAAAATAAAAGTTATGGCTTTGTTTTTCTTCTTTTTATTTTTTAGGCAAAAAAAAAAAAAAAAAAAAAGTTCTCTGAAGTTTCTTTTGTTAAGAAGGCTTTGTTATTCTGTGTCTCTAGAATAAAAAGTAAGATCTTGTTCTGTTTCTCCACTCCCTAATGTCTTCTTCAAACCTTAAAAAACAGTCTGTATTAGAGTAAGTCTCAAATTGGATTCTTCTGTAAACGTGGCTAGAAATTCACTAAGATGAAATACTGCCTTTTAATATTCTTGAGATGCCCCAGTGGGACAAGACTAAGAAGCCCCATTGAAAGGGGACTAAAACAGTACCTGTTGAGACCCTTTCATCTTGGGAGACCAGGATCCAGAGTCAGCCTAGCCTGAAAGAAGCTGCGCTGCGGATGGCAGCTCCCTGGGAGCTGATGGCTGAGAACTCACTGACAAGCTGGGAGTGAGATGGCAGTAGTGAGATGGGCCCTGGAAGGAGGGTAAGTGTTTCCCACGTAGCATCTCTGCCTGCTCTGCTACCTGCTGCATGTGGAGTTGCTCAGGCAGCTTCCTCAGCCTGGAATTACCATCATCTATCTCCTCCAAACAGACTGTTCTTTCACTGACCAGCTCTGTGTCACCCCTTGTGTATCCTGCCCTAACTACTCCCTCCACTCTGCCTTCTGTACAGCGCTTCCCATTCTATAGCACAGTGACTATGGCTACAGGCCAGATCGTCTCCCGCGCAAGACTGTGAGCTCCTTGGGGTTAGAGGTTGTTTCTTATCCATATGACTCCTTTGTGACTTCACACAGAGCATGGCACAGAGTAAACCCCATGAATCATTAATTTCTTTTTAAAATCGGGGGCCTAAATTAGCCACTGCTACAGCGACTTTCCTATCTGAAGAACCATAAGCAAAGGGGTTTAGAAACACTGTGCAAGGTAAAAAGCACGGGAAGTAGAAACCCCTGCTTGCAATGTTTTTCCACCTTCACCTACATAGCTCATTCTATATTCTGTCACTCAAACCTTGTGCACAAAGCCATGCAGGGAAATAGACTATGAAGGCATCGGCATCTGAGTACTACATTATCATTTAGAGCCAGGGTGGAATCCTGGTTCTATTTCCCAGCTGTATGACTCTGGGCAAGTCAACTCCTCTCTCTGAGCTTTTAGGTCCTCCTCTGAAAATGGCAACAACATATACAGCCGTTAGAAATAATAATCACAATAATCATTAAATCTACAAAGATCAATGGAAAGTCTTACAATAGCAAGTAGATAAGAGAATACAAAAGTTTATACATTTAAATTGAAACTATATAAAAAGATATCTGCACCTGAACAATAACTGGTAGGTAACATGCAAATAAAAATAATTATATTACCAAATGGAATTATGGGGAGTTTTCTCAAACCCATCTTCATTATATTCTATCATATTTTCAATTAAAGAAAGAAAATTGGGGAGAGGACTTACATGGCTGACATGGATATTAGGCATTGTAAAGACTTTTATGAATTTCGAGGACATGCATAACTGTTCATTTGTGGTTGCTCTTTTTCTTATCAGTATCATTGTACCTGAATGAAAAATTCTTTCTAAAAATAGCATCGGAGATACACATCTTTCTAGGCTTATAAAGCCTGTACACTTTGAGTCCTAAAACAAAGCTGACTTTAATTTATACAAAGTTTTTTTGTTTTTATTTTAAAGAGCATATATACTCACCCTGGGAATTTCCACACTTAATCAATACAGTTAATGTGTTGGAAATGAGAATCCCCTATCTTGTAGGAAGCTCAGAGCAGTTTCTGCCCTGACAGAATGATCATGATGATTATTATTTCTAATGGCTTTCAAGGAGGCAAGAGAAAACAATGCTCTCCATGGCAAGCAGGACCTGGAGCTGGTGGGGTCAGCACAGAGCTAAGAATACCATGTCTCCAAGTGCAGAGCCGCTCCTTTCCCACCTAAAAATGTGGCTTAGTCTTGGAAGCCTCATACATACGGATACTAAGAGCAATTCTAATACTCTGAGGAAAGCCAGTTAATGAAGATGCACATACTGTTCTAGTCTTACCCCTTGTCCACACTGGCGTGGACTGCTGCAACAACACCTTCCAGGACCTTCAGTGGGTCCCTTGGCCCACCAAGGTCAGCACTGCCACCACTGTGAAAAGAGAGATAAACTGATTCAGAAAAGGATCACTCAAGTCTCAGAAATAAACTTGGTATTCACACCCTTAAATGAACCTGGCTGGATTTTGGCACAGTATACTGCCTGCCCATAGTCATTTGTGCTATGTGATGTCTACAAATGTACGAAGCCCTACACTAGGTGCTAATGAAACATTTTCTGCCCTTAAGGAGCTCAGTCTAATATACACATGTTTTCCTATCAAGAGAATAACACATTCTACTTGCGCTGTGTCATTCGAAAAACATTCGTTGAACATTAACTGTATTGAGCTACTTTAAGCATTAAATGTAATAATGATTTAAATCCTCCAGTTGAAGTTTTTTTTTTTTTTTAAAAGCACTAATATTTACTTGCTACTAATAAGTACCAGGCAATGCTAAACAGTTCACATATATTCTGCTACTATTAAATGCAACATCCTATGAGACAAGTACTATTATTATGCCCATTTTACAGATGTTATGTGTAGAACTCTAGTGAATTCTGAAAATGCAACAGAGAAAAAAAATATTTTCGATGAGTTTTTCGAATAATTTAATGATATAAATCAACTGCCAGATTCGGTTCCTTTCATGTCTTTGTTATTTCGTGCCTACTACATTTTATTAACTTCCTAAAAGGTAAATGTTATGAACACTGTCAATAAAAATTTATTTTCCTTAGAAACAGAAGTAGCTGAATTCCTTAAGTTCCCTTTTCCTTCCATTGCTGGAAGATTTAATTCACATTTATTGAATGTCTTCTGTGTGCCAAGTATACCATTTATTGGATCAGAACCAAATCTTTAGTGGTAGAATTGGATGCAGAAAAAGATAAGTATAATTTATGTCAAAAATTTATAAGTGTAAAAACTATTCCATCGTATTTTAATTATTCATGAAAATGGGCAATTTTTAAGAAATAAACTAAATTAATCAAAACACTAATTTTTCAAAATGCATATTTTTGTGAGCTTCATCTAAAACTTGGTTTAAGAAATAATAAAAAGATAACCATAAACCAAAAGGTATGAAATATGGCCAACAAATATCTGTCATCATTTGAAAGAGGACACTGGTTCATATAATCAACATCAAAAAATCCTAATAAGCAAACAATAAAACAAAGCTTTATTAATTTGAAATTTGTTCTTTTTTAGAAAAAGTTATGAAATTCTATATATCTCCCTATATATAAAATTAATGGATACCTCAGAGCATTAAGGTAAAAACTGTATGAGGCTGGGGTAATTAAACTGATAAAGGCTCATTTGATTTCAGTTCAGCTGCAGAAAACTGACATGCATTTAATCAAAAAGTTCCTCAAGAGCAATACAGAATTAAAAAGAATGCTTAAAAGGAGAATAAATTAAACATAACTAAATCTTTTAGCCTAATTGTATTATTCACAGAAAGTCCTTGATGCCTCATTATTTCCTGAGCGTCACTTCTGCCTCTTTTCTAATCCTCTTGGATGCATTCCTACAAAGGCACCCACATATCGACGCAAAGCAAGAATTTCTCAATTGTCGGTTTTATGCCATTAATTGCAGGTAAATAATGTCTAAAGACACTTTACAGATGTCTAACTTCATCAGTGTATGATCAGCCTTGCCTTGGGTTTTTCAAAACAACCTTCTGGGAACCATTTTCCCACTACTACAAAGAATGGGAATTAGAAATGGTAAGATCTGAAAAACCATATTGAAGTCACAGGAGAGTCTGAAACTTACTTACCTGTGTCAAATGCCATTTTGGCCTTTCCCTTATTTCAAGAAAAGATTGTAAAAGGGGGTCCAACCAGAAATTACATAGCTTAAGATGTTATACACAATACCAACAATGAAACATTTTCATGGTCTCCCTTCTGAAGACATAAGACTATGAGAACTCTAAAAATAATCTCTCACTTTTGTAAAGTCCTTCAAAACTTATAAAATGCTTTTACATACAGGATGACAGTTTAGCACCATCACTGACAAAGTGTCACCCCAGTTTTTCCACAATGACCACTTTCTAGCTTACCTCAATGCAGAAATTATTTTCATGATTGCACTCTGCACTATATCCTTGGGTGAGATGTCAAGAGGGCCAACTGCCACCTCTAGCAGCTGCTGAATCATTGCTAGAGGCTGACCATCTAAACAAATAGCCACAGCTTCATCATGAAGTTTCTCTTTTTCTGATCGGGACAGATCATAGAGGTGACTGTATTTTTGCAGTGTTTCCTGTAAAGACATGGTAATCAGCACTTAAGTATCAAATAGAAATTAAATGTATCTACATGCACAAAGTGAAACATATTTAGATCCTCGAACCAAATACATGAAAAGCAGCAACACCATACCAAAGGGCATGTATTAGTTAGTTATTAAGAGCTTAGGCTCAAGGATCACCCACATTTGAGTGCAAATTCTGGCTTTACCATTTATTAGTTAGTGGGCCTTTGTGATCTCAAATTTCAATATCTGCAAAATGAGGTTGAGGAAAATAGGGTCGTGTGAATAGAGGGTGTTGTGAACATTAACTGAGATAATATAATGGTCAGTTCTTTAGCACTTCGGGAATAAAGTAATGCTCGATAAGTATGAGCTTTTCTATTATTACTAACGCACTACGACCACATAATAATCTATTGAGCTATAACTATGTAATCCCAGGTATTATACATATGGTATCTAAATTAATACTTGTAATAACCCGGCAAGTATTTTTAAATTAGCTGCATGTTATAAAAAAGGAAATTAAAGACCAAGGAGATTGAGTAACATGACCAAAGTCACATGGCTACCAATTAGCAGAGCTAAGATTAGAACCCAAAAGTCTATTCCCCTGCCCTAGGCCACACTGCCTGCCTCTCTTTGATAAGATCTGTAAAAACAAATGTTATACCAAATAATTTAAGAAATAAGAGGGAAGCTATTGTTTTTTGGCATACCAAATACAGTCACTTAATGATAATAACAGTTTCCAGATTCTTTATAGTTTCCCTTGTAATCCTGAATATACTGTTTTGCCTTTGAAACCAACCATGAGAAAACTCTGAATATAACTGAATATTTGATGATATTAAAGAATGTTTATTAATTTTTTTCTAGTGATCATGTTATAGTGGTTATTTTAAAGTATCTTTTAGAGATAGATAGGGAGGTATTTATGAATAAAATGAAAAGATGACTGAGATTTGCTTCACAATCCACAAGAGCAAGGTGAGGGAAGGCAGCGGTATGCATGAAGATTGGGCACGTTCTGACAGTTGTTGAAGCTGGGAGTTGGGCACATGAAGTTTCATTTCACTGTTCTGCCCATTGTGAAATTCTCTATTTCAGAAAAATCCCTATGAGTTAAGCAGGGCAATTTCTAGTATCCTCACCTAAGAGAAGAGGGAACTGAGGCTCTGTAGGATGAAAGCCTTCAACTTTGATTAAATGAAGCTTCATGAGGATATAAGTTTTTTTGTACTGGGTATATAATTAAGGATGTTAAAATGAAGGTCTGAACTATAAAAGGGATAAATGCATGGGGTTGAAGGTTATTTCCAGCTTTTGCTATATAAGGTGCCTTAATAAAATTAAATAATGTCTAATTTAGGAACCTCAAGAGTTTCCTATTATGGGCCATCCATAGTCTGACTGAACGGTACTCACAAGTAGCTATATGGTACCTTTGCATCATATCTTAGATGAAACAAACATGTTTTTTATCAATAATCCCCTTGAATCCCCCCATAAACTATTCTAGGTATTGGAAGACAATACTTGTGGCTGGGTGAAGTGGCTCAGACCTGGAAGGCCAAGGTGGGCGAGTAGCTTGAGCCCAGGACTTTGAGACCAGCCTGGGCAACATGGCGAAACTCTGTCCCTACAAAAAATACAAAAAATTAGTTGGGTGTGGTGGCACACACCTGTAGTCCCAGCTACTCAAGAGGCTGAGGTGGGAGGATTGCTTGAGCCCAGGAGGTAGAGGCTGCAGTGAGTGAGCCTGGGCAACAGAGTGAGACCCTGTCTCAAAAAAAAAAAAAAAAAAAAAAAAAAAAGACAATTCTTGTTCCACAGAGAGTAATGACAATTCTCTGGGTTTTAATATAGTATATTAAAAAATAATATAAGTTTAAAATAATTTTAGATGTGTTTATTTAAAAATAAGTACTTAAAAATTTATAAGTATAGATCACTTTTCCTTGAAGATTGTAATTTTACTCTACTTCTCCTAATTATGAACTGTAGTACTGTAAATGTTAGTAGGATAAAATCAAGATTGGTAAAGCCAATTTGTTTCCTGCAAAGCCTTCTATATTGTTCATACCATTATTTAACATTATTCATTAGACAGAAAAATAGGCATTCCAAAACACAAAATGAATAAAATTTCTTTCAAAATTTTAAGTTCTTCCCATTATCTTTTCAATGGGGGCTTTGCATTTATGTCTTGTACAAATTTTGAAGTCTCCCATTTGCTCATTACCTGAAGTCTCCACTGACTGATCTTTCTAGCCATTCTACAAGGCAAGAATACAATTCAATAAATGTGTAAGGTTTAAGAAAAATAAAAGAGGAGGTTAACGGCCACTTACAAGGTTCATTTACCATAGTATTATAGGGCAAATGGAATATTATTCATATATATAAGCACTGTTTTCACTTACATGGAAATCATTTATTTATTGATTTGTCAACTTTCCAGTTATAGAAAAAATTATCTCAACTCCCACAATTGTTAAAATATAGAACAAAATCTCTAAGGGCCTTAGAGAGCTTCTGGTTTCATTGTATAGTCCTAACACCTGCGTTTTCAAACCTCATCACAGGTAGGGAACCCCAAACTTCATGATGTTGTTTTTGAGACACCAAGGAACTAGAAACCACCTAGAAACAATTTTAGTAGTCAAAAAATTCCTCTCAATAATGAAATTATATTTTATGTTGGAAACATGCAACATAAAAACAGGATAAGGGTATACGTTTAACAAAAATACAGTGTAGACATAAAAGGCTATTTCTGATTTTTTTTCTGAAAATTAGGAGGGAAAAGAAAATCAAAATATTTATTTATTTATTTATTTATTTATTTATTTATTTATTTATTTATTTATCTGAGACAGAGTCTCGCTCTGTCGCCCAGGCTGGGGTGCAGTGGAGCAATCTCAGCTCACCGCAACCTCCGCCTCCCAGGATCAAGCGATTCACCTACCTCAGCCTCCTGAGTAGCTGGGATTACAGGTGTTGTGCCACCACACCCGGCTAATGTTTGTATTTTTTTTTTTTTTTTTTTTTGAGACGGAGTCTCGCTCTGTCGCCCAGGCTGGAGTGCAGGGGCGTGATCTCAGCTCACTGCAAACTCCGCCTCCCGGGTTCAAGCCATTCCCCTGCCTCAGCCTCCTGAGTAGCTGGGACTACAGGCGCCCGCCATTGGGCCTGGCTAATTTTTTTGTATTTTTAGTAGAGACGGGGTTTCACCATGTTGGTCAGACTGGTCTCGAACTCCTGACCTTGTGATCTGCCTGCCTTGGCCTCCCTAAGTGCTGGGATTACAGGAGTGAGCCACCGCGCCCAGCCTATTTTTATTTTTATTTGTTAATTCTACCAGCTAGAAGTAAAGTCTGAGCACCACTGTCTTCTCATTTCTTCATTTTAGAGACCTCTCCCCTCACCCCAGGCAGCTATCCATTGTTCAACTCCTGCTACCATCTCCATTTCCACCCTTCTCACCCACTTCCTCTATTTCCCCATATCAACGGTGCCAAGTGGCTTAACATCATTTTGAAAGAAGTGGAAACTGAATTGTCAATCAAGTGATCATGAAGAGGTTAACCAATAAAGGCTTGCGGACAATTTTCAAGGATATCTGCAAGCCTGAAAACCCTGTCAAAACGACTAATGTAACTTTCAAGGAAAAAAGAAAGAATATACTGATACAGAGTGAGCATATAGAAGTTCCCATTTCTTTACCTGCTCACTATTCTTCAGAGAAAGGATGAAGCTGTGGCTCAGGGTTTCCAGGTGGGCAAGTGATTTCTCCAGATGATTCAAAGTATCTGCATAGGTAACTTTAGAATCCTTAGCTTCTTGAGCTTCGTCTTCTGAGTTTCTTTTCCTTGGCTTCTCAATAAAATGTTTGACTGTCTTAATAGCCTTTCTAGTCATCTCTTTACGGGCTTCCACAGACAGCTTAAAAAAAAGAATAGTGAGACCAAAGAACCCTGCATTATTACCTATTGCATATTCAGCAAGTGTTAATGAGTTAGAACAAAAGTGAAATTTTTGTATATATGATTTTAACCAATAAATAGCACTTGTTATACTAGTTTTTCTTCTGTGAAGAAAACAAAAAGTGAGGTGCCATTTGCATCATTAAACTAGTAATTAAGATTTTTAAAAATGTTAATATCCAAAGCAGGTAAAGTGATGAAACTAGTATTCACACTGACTGCCAGTTACAGTGCAAAAATGAGGAGTCATTTCTACAGCCATATTCCCAGTTCTGATCACTTATTATAAGAAAAAAATTCCAAAGAAGAAAATAAATACAGGCATAAAGATTTTAACTGGAATAAGACTATTAATATAACCTCAAAAGTAATCTAATTGATAGAAGAAATGATAACTAGCTTATTTTAAATTACAGGCTGGAATATTATGTAGTCATTAAAATTAGAATTATAAAAACAGTATCCAAACATTTTGGAATATGTTTGTCATAGAATGTTAAAACTTAGAAATCAGAATATAAAACTCTCTAGATAATGTTTACATTAAACTTCAAACTATATCTGCATATACAATATATGTATTTTATGTATTTTCTATTTTATGTGTGTGTGTATGTGTGCATTTATATATTTTCTATTTTATGTGTGTGTGTATGTGTGCGTGTGTGTGTGTGTATATATATATATATATATGTTGAGTATTGCTTATCTGAAATGTTTGGAACCAGAAGTATTTTAGATTTCAGATTTTTTTTGGATTTTGGAATACTTGCTAATTTAGCATCCCTAATTCAAAAGGCTGAAATCCAAAATGCTCCAATAAGCATTTCCTTTGAGCATCATGTTGGCACTAAAAAAGTTTCAGATATTGGAGCATTTCAGATTCCTAGATTCAGGAAATTCAACCTGTACATGCATATAAAGTATATGTATGTATAAAAATATAAGAAATATGTATTCAGACATATGCATATACATATATATATATTATTAAGGTGTTAGGATTATGAGCTATTTTTTTTTCTTTCCTTCTTTCCAAAGATTCGAAACATCGTTTTCACCCATTTATTCAGTGACACGCATCAGATTCCTGTATACTGTGTTAGATATATGGGAGTTATATTTTTCTAATTAATAAAATACTATCCTCAAGAATGTGCAGGAGTTATATTTTTCTAATATTAAAATATTAAGCTCTTAGCCTCAAGAATACAAAACTAAGTCTAAACTTTGTGCTTTGTTGATGGAGGAAGCAGACGCCTCTGAGAGATCCTAGCGCCTTCTCAGGCCTCACTGATTTGTGCTGCTTTGGATCCTGGGCTGTAGTCTTCTGTCAGCTACTCAAGTACATTTTTACTATATCCTCAAAAGGACGTGTTGATTTTTTTGTTTTAATAAAAAGAGATAAAGACTCCTACGACAGACTCTCATTTTTTTTCTACTTCCTAAAAGCAGTCATTGTACATGTCTGGTCATTCTGAAAAGCAGGACTAGGCTGAAATACATGGCATGAGTGACCACACCAGGAGGTAAGCTGCCCCCAGACCCTTCCTTTCCTACTAGCTCCCTCCAAGTCACTCAACAGAGTTATGACTTTAAAATGCTGACAGGACGCCTGTCATCCCAGGACTTTGGGAGGCCAAGATGGATGGATCACGAGGTCAGGTGATCGAGACAATCCGGGCTAACATGGTGAAACCCCGTCTCTACTAAAAATACAAAAAAAAAAAAAAAAAAAAATTAGCCGGGCGTGGTGGCGGGCGCCTGTAGTCCCAGCTACTCAGGAGGCTGCGGCAGGAGAATGGCGTGAACCCGGCAGGCGGAGGCTGCAGTGAGCCGAGATCGCACCGCTGCACTCCAGACTGGGAGACAAAGTGAGACTCCGTCTCAAAAAACAAACAAAAAAAATGCTGACAGGGGACATTTTCCTAATCCTATATAAATATTGATAAAAGAGATCTTTAGGAAAGTACTATTTCCAATGAAATTGGAAATGCACTGCAAATGCAGCTTTCAAACAAGTTCCGTAGTCCCCACTTCTTACCAGATTTCTGGCTCTAAGCCATTAAAAAAATCAGAGCCCACCATTGACTGACAAGTATTAATTATGTTACTGTGTTTGCCCACAAATAAACTGTTAACTCCTCCCTGTGATTCAGAAGTACAAAATACTAGATCTGTGTTTTGTTCAACAGACCACCCCTCCCTTCATACATGTAGATGAAGAGACTGAGCTCCAGGAGGCTCAGTGGCATGTTAGGGGTCATCGTGTACAAGAGAAGAGTAAAAACTGGAATCCAGAACACTTGGTTACCAAGTGCAGTGCTCCCTGCCACCTTACATTACACAGCTTCCACTCAACGATTTCTGCATCTTCACAGGCTCCAAGTTTATTAGAGAGTGCATGCTGGTTGAATGCTGAATGACAAAATCAAGACTGAATAAGAGTTTATAGCAGAGTGAATCTTTTATTATATTCATATTTGTTTCCCCAAGAAATATAAATTTCAGAAATTACTTGGCTATATCAGCTAGCCAAATGTATACACTCTTCCTAGCCTATTGTGTGATATGGAAGAGTTTCAAAAACAGACTGGCTACAGAATAGGGATAGGCAGCTAATTCACATGGGCAGGAAGTAGGGTCCTGGATGAAACAATGGGTCCCTATTCTCTTAAAGAGGTCCAGATGAGATCATTGTTGTCCAAGTCTTGACTCGCCTTTGTCAACCAACCATGGAATGAATATATGGTAAGCAGGAAGAACAATACATTCAGAAAAGTTGTGTTTAATATTTACTACTGGTGTGACTTTAGGAAACTTGACAAAGTGCTTCAAGCTTTAGTTTCTTCATCTACAAAATGAAAAAAAATGACCCCTGCTGCACAACTTTAAGAACTTAAGACAATATGTAAAACAGTCAGCACAGTGCCTTGCCCATAGTAAGTGCTCAGTAAACAGATGCTGACATTTAATTTGACCAATGGATAAAATACATGTGCCATCCTCTCCCGTTGGTTTGTCATCTTCCTAATAAATTTGTCACATGTTTCCCTTTTAGAAAAACCTTTTTTTTAAATAAGCTCCCCAAATTTCTCAGCACGGAACTCAAGAACCTTCACAAACTGGTCCCTAGCTAAGTCTCTGGCTTCGTGGTATAATTGTAACTCGAACCCTAAGCTACAGCCACACTGACTCTTTGTCATTACCTGGTGCTTTTACTTGCCGTCTTGTCTCAAGGAAATGCTCCTTTCCCTCTTTTTTGCAAGGCAAATTCCCAGTCATGTTTCATTATCGAGACACTTGGAGTCAATCTAGCCTCTACAAGCATTCCACTGGCAAGTCCTCTGCTCCAACATCCAAGTGCATAACCCACCTACTTTGTATGTATAAACTGTCTCGTCAGCATTACTGAGTCTAGCCCTCACACTGAAGTCTATGCTTTCAGAAAACTAGCTGTAGGTTATGAGAGACAGGTGTAACTTTTTCAAGAGTTTAAATTGTTTGACTTCATCACTACAGTGTCATTAGAAAATTTTCTATTTAAAATAATCCTTCAAGAGAACTAAATATTTCAAAATAACTATGTAACCTGACACTGAACAAGGCAGAGTGTAAATAAATGCAATCCTAAGTTAATTTTCCTGAGCCAGCTAGAACCTCTAAGAAGCAGAATGATATTATGATTAAAAATATGTAAGGTGTTTTATTTGACTAGGCGTTTTACTTAATTCAAGCTTTTTATTACTATACTTTGTAAAAACAGGTTCATTGCTGAAAGACTCCAGGGTATGGTTAAAAAATATATGTTTAACACTGAATTTACATCTAGTAGATTTATTTTCTTTAAACTGTTCCATAATGGAAGGAACAGAAGTAAAAGAAAGAAATGATTAAAAAAAAATGTACCAGAGTAAAAAAAATGGCAATTTCTTTACTGTATCTAGTGGCCCCACGGTACCATTATTCTTAACATTCTTTTCTTAAGCCCACAGCATTAACATGTCATTCATGTATATCATTACTATAATATCAAACCAAGATGATATTTTTAACTGTTCCCTGCAGCAATTAGTAGTTGCTATGAAAAATAATAATGGATTTTTTGAAATAAAGATAAGTGGCTAAACCGTTTCATCAGTTAATAAATAGGTACTAAACATCTACTTTCCAAGACCTGTAAAAAATGAGATAAAAACATGAACCAGGCTTACAAAGAAACCACATATATCATGGGAGATAATATAGTGAGAAGGGGGTGGAGGGACTGAGGAATCATGGATGACATCAGCAAATCTTATTGGGTCAAGCTTCAAAATATATCTAGGTTCTAACCACTTCCTACCACCTTCACTGCCACCACTCAGTTCCCAGCCACCATCATCTCTCATAAAGAGCACTGCAACGGTTCTAACTTGTCTCCCAGTGTGACAGAGATAGTGGTGCTCACCAAACACAAGCATTCCAACTCTTCCACTGCATTTGTCAATTCCCTTGTAGTTAGGATGAGCTGTGTTCCAGCCAGTGAAATCTGAGCAGAAGTGACATATACCATTTCAGAGCCGGGCAATAAAAAAACCCACATGGCTCACTATCCAGTTTCCCTTTTTTAACCACAACAATTAAGGAGAACATGGGGCCCAGATGGTGCCAATACAAAATGATGGGGCTTCCATCAGCCTGGATCCTTAAGTGACTTTGTGGTACAGGCCCCTTTGCAGTCTTTTATCGGATTAGGTGCATGAGAGACTATCTACCGAAAGCCTCTACAAACCTTAGCTTATTCTGACACACAACAGGTACCAAGAGGGAGGCAATATGTGGCTTTGGTTTTCAGATATCAGGCAATGAAAAAAAAAAAAAGATTAGAAAAATACCGTAATCTATGATATGCTATAAAAAATACTTAATAAAACTATTATCTGTGGTAACTTGGGGGGCAGATCATACCCCTAATGAACTTGGGAAATGGAACACCAGAAATGTGTTGGGTGTTATATGATGCTGTGGGTATTACATGAAGTACTGTCCAGATCGGAAGCAGGAGTGAAACAAAATAAACAGCCCAGAAATTCAGGGCCATACTGGGTTAAAAAACAAACAAAAACAAAAACCAACTTACTAATTCTAGACCCCATGAGTAAGAGATAAGACGGAGAAATCCTTATATAACAAATGCCAAGTAAAACCTTTAGAAGATTAAAATGATTCAGGGAAGAGATAAAACAAGGGCGTGACACTCCGTAAATTCTTTCAATTGGACAAAATGACTCAGGGCAGAGATCCAATTAATGATGTCATCCTTAAACAGAAACCTGATAGCTTTAAGCTAGCCCCCTTTAAGTGGAGAGAGAGAACGTACAGGGGTGATACATCAAAGATATACAGAACAATATTTCAAAACAAATGAAAAGACCCTGTAGATGTGGCTACGGGCACATGACACTAACAGATATTAAATAAATAAGAACCTGACTGAATTTCTGAGATAGTGATGCTGCCCAAGAAACCACAAACCTGGACTGAAAATGCCTGTGACTGTTTAAAACTTAACACTTGGGCCTTCAACCTTGAGGGTACAGGCCTCCAACAAGCACTCCTCATGTGGCCCAGGAAGGAAGTGGGGAGGTCTTCCCTGGAGGGAAGAAACTGGGGTCATGGAGAACAAAGGATAACAAGGTTGCTCCTAGAAAGCAGAATTAAGGCCTAATTAAGGCCCCTTACCTACCCCACAGTAGGGAAGCCTTCATAATGTCTGTACAGCAGATTTTTTAAGCTGCCTCACAGTCGTGTCTGCCAAATATCTCTTATTGTCTCCCTTTCCAAGGTGAGCGCTTAATGCAATTATCTTGTCCCTGTTTCACCATGTAAGTTGGGTGTCGGGGTGGGTGTGGGGGAAACAGGGCAGAGGATTTGTCCATTTGGTTCACAGTCTGGATCACAGCTGGACCTGATGCGCAGCCTACTGAGTATTATGCCAACTTTGGGCTCCCTGGAGGGACTAGGACCCTGGGTGGTTTCCTCTAGTGGAGAAGCAGAGTGTGTTCTGTGGTGGAAAGAAGGCTTGGTGAATAAAAGGGTGGGCTGTAGCAGACAGTGGTTTCTACCACACATCTTATCCGCTTCTCTATGCTTCTCAACCCCCTTGTAGTTAGACAGGGTTTCATGGCTAGGTGGGCCCATGAAACGTGAGAGAAGTGTCATGTATCACTCTGGCTAAGGCAATCACACCCGATTTTCCAGTCCCACTCCTTCTCCTGACAAGGTACTTGAGGAGACCCCAAGTGGGTACGGGCCCTGAGGGAGGCGTCTGTTGTGCTAGGCCACTGTGACTCTGGGGTTGCTTTGTTACTCCAGCACTACCCAGCAGCACGATGGTATCTTAAAAACACACATCTGCTCCAGCCACGCCTCTGCTCAAATCCGTGTAATGGCTTCCCAACTCACTAAGAATAAAAGCCAGTCTTTCATGCCCTATCAGGCCCCATGCGATCTGCTCTTCCCCTCACCCTGCCTCTCTGATCCTATCCCCTCCCTGCCTTCACACTCTCAGGCCACTTCAACCACCCCGGCACCCTTGCAGGCCCCCTCAGAGTCTTCACAGTCATCGGTCTCTCTACTTGGAATGTTCTCCCAGGCACCCTCATGACTTGACCCTCTACTTCTCTTGGGACTTCACAAAAATGTCATCTTATCCGAGAGGCCTTCCCTGACCACTCCATGAAACATGGCACTCTCTCCACCTCTTTCTCCTGGCCCTGCAGTACTTTTTCCTCCTAATTGACATACTGGGCTTCTATTGCTTATTGTTTGTCACTGCTACATTCCCAAAGCCCAGAATTGTGGCTCATACATAACAAATGCCTCTCTGTTGAATGGAAGGATGGATGGATGGATGGATGGATGGATGGATGGATGGACGGACGGACGGACGGATGGATGGATGGATGACACTGTTTAAAAAGAGAACAGTAAAAGTGCATTTGAGGAAGCACGTAAGTAGGAGGGCTCATGACACATCTCTAACTACTAGAGCACTTTAGTTTAGACATGGTGTGGCATAAAGGGCTGGACAGTAAATATGTTAGGCTTTGCAGGCCACACAGAGTCTCTATTAGACACTCTGGTTTGTTTGGTTGGTTGGCTGGTTTTTGCAATCCTTTAAAAAGATGTAAAAGCCAATCTTAGCTAAGGGTTGTACAGAAACAGGCAGTGGGCTAAATTTGACCTGTGGGCCATCATTTTCTGATCTCTGATTTATAATATTAAACAGTTCTAGTTGAAAAGATAAACTGAGAGTAAGTTATATGTGGCCTGGAATGCCAGGCTAGATAAGGAATCTGACTTGGAAGCCACTGAGAGCCACTTGTATATTGAAGATAATTACATGGAAATGTCTCCTTAGATTCCCATTTTTAAAACACTGTAAGAAAATCTTATTTCAAAGAAAAACTAAAAACTATAGTTATCTGAGAAAAACATAATCACCCTTTCTTAGGCCTTTGCCTGTGTTTCTGGAATCAGTGCAGGGGTTCACTCCTCTGAGGAGCCTTCCTGACCTATATCAAAGAATATTGCATTGAAATTACCTAGTTACTTGTACATCTCCCTGACTAAACAATGAGATCCTTTAGGATAGAAACTGTGCTTTTAAAATCTCTGTATCCCTAGACCTAACATAATGTCTAACACACTGTAGACTAAAAGTAAATAGCTATTAAATTACTGAACAACTCTGATCAACATACGGAGAAAACAAAGATTCTTTACAAGTGCAATAAAATTACATGTTCTCAACATGTCCCTGGAAAGTTGTGGTTCAGAATGCTCCAAAATTACCCAGTTACTCTGCAGTAAGTAATTCCTGTAAGAAGGCCCTAGGAGACATTTAAAAAGGACACTTTAAGTGAGTTGAAACAAAGAAACAAAAAACTGAGACCAAATGTTTGCCATTGGGACAATGCCACCCTGGATCGGAAGTCATGCAGGAAGGGGCACAACGGCATCAAGCTACTGATGGCTGTTTATTCATTCAACATACATCCACTGAGTGCACACCGTGCATCTGCCTTGGGCTGAGTGCTGGTGACAAAATTAGATCAAGGCCCTGCCCCTGGGTATGTCAAAGTCTAGTTGTAAATACGGAGAGATAAAAGACATTACAAAGAGGCATGATCATCCTACAACTACAACAGGGTAAACACAAGGTGCCATGGAAGCCCTCAGAAGGGCCACTCTGCAGACTGGAAGTGATGGGCATGCAAGGTCAGGAAAGGGTTGCTGAAAGGTGACATCTCCAAGGAGAGTCCTCAAGAGTGAATAGAAACTAAGACAAGAAAGGAGGAATGTGAAGAGGTCACTAGTCAAAGGAGCAAGTGGGGCACCTAGAAGTACATGGGCTTGGCTGGAATGCAGAATGAAAGCGTTACGGGAAAGGTGTCCAGATCCAGACGCCAAGAGAGGGTTTCTGGATCTCGCTCAAGAAAGAAGTCAGAGCTCCTGAAGGAAGCACTAAACAAGGAAAGAAACAACCAGTACCAGCCACTGCAGAAACACACCAAATTGTAAAGACCATCTATGCTATGAGGAAATCACATCAATTAACGGCCAAAATAACCAGCTAGCATGATAATGGCTGGATCAAACTTATACATAACAATATTAACCTTAAATGTAAACAGGCTAAATGCCCCAATTAAATGACACAGACTGGCAAATTGGATGAAAGTCAAGAGCCATCGGTGTGCTCTATTCAGGAGACCATTCAGGCTCAAAATAAAGGAATGGAGGAATATTTAGCAAGCAAATGGAAACGAAAAAAAGCAGGGGTTGCAATCCTAGTCTCTGATACAACAGAATTTAAACCAACAAAGATCAAAAGAGACAAAGAAGGGCATTACATAATGGTAAAGGGATCAATGCACCAAGAAGAGCTACTCTCTCTCTCTCTCTCTATATATATATCTATATATCTCTCTATATATATCTATATATACCTCTATCTATAGATCTATATATATTTATATAGATATAAAATCCATCACATAAAGAGAACCAATGACAATACGGGCTCATAAAGCAAGTTCCTAGAGACCTACAAAGAGACTTAGACTCCCACACAATAATAGTGGGAGACTTTAACACCCCACTGTCAATATTAGATCAACGAGAAAGAAGGTTAACAAGGATATCCAGGATTTGAACTCAGCTCTGGACCAAGCGGACCTAATAGACATCTACAAAACTCTCCACCCCAAATCAACAGAATACGCATTCTTCTCAGCACCACATTGCACTTATTCTAAAATTGACCACATAATTGGAAGTAAAACAGTCCTCAGCAAATGCAAAAGAATGGAAATCATAACAAACAGTCTCTCAGGCCACAGTGCAATCAAATTAGAACTCAGGATTAAGAAACTCACTCAAAACCGCGCAACTACATGGAAACAGAACAACCTGCTCCTGAATGACTACTCGGTGAATAACAAAATGAAGGCAGAAATAAAGATGTTCTTTGAAACCAATGAGAACAAAGACACAATGTACCAGAATCTCTGGGACACATTTAAAGCAGTGTGTAGAGGGAAATTTATAACACTAAATGACCACAGAAGAAAGCAAGAAACACCTAAAGTTGACACCCTGACATCACAATTAAAAGAATTATTGAGAAGCAAGAGCAAACACATTGAAAAGCTAGCAGAAGGCAAGAAATAACTATAACTAAGATCAGAGCAGTACTGAAGGAGATAAAGAAACAAAAAACCCTTCAAAAAATCAATGAATCCAGGAGCTGGTATTTTGAAAAGATCAACAAAATTGATAGACCACTAGCCAGACTAATAAAGAATAAAAGAAGAATCAAATATCAAATAGATGCAATAAAAAGTGATAAAGGGGATATCACCACTGACCCCACAGAAATACAAACTACCATCAGAGAATACTATAAACACCTCTACACAAATAAACTAGAAAATCTAGAAGAAATGGATAAATTCCTGGACACATACACCCTCCCAAGACTAAACCAGAAGTTGAATCCCTGAATAGACCAATAACAAGTTCTGAAATTGAGGCAGCAATTAATAGCCTCCCAACCAAAAAAAGTCCAGGACCAGAGGGACTCAGAGCCGAAATCTACCAGAGATACAAAGAGGAGCTGGTACCATTCCTTCTGAAACTATCCAAACAATAGAAGAGTGAATCCTCCCTAACTCATTTTATGAGGTCAGCATCATCCTAATACCAAAACCTGCCAGAGACACAACAACAACAACAAAAAGAAAATTTCAGGCCAATATCCCTGATGAACATCGATGCAAAAATCCTCAATAAAATACTGGCAAACTGAATAAAGCAGCACATCAAAAAGCTTATCCACCATGATCAAGTCAGCTTCATCCCGGGGATGCGAGGCTGGTTCAACATACTCAAATCAATAAACGTAATCTATCACATAAACAGAACCAATGAAAAAAACCACATGATTATCTCAATAGACGCACCAAAGGTCTTTGACAAAATTCAACACCCGTTCATGCTAAAAACTCTCAATAATCTAGGTATTGATGAAACGTATCTCAAAATAAAAAGAGCTATTTATGACAAACCCACAGCCAATATCATACTGAATGGGCAAATACTGGAAGCATTCCCTTTGAAAACCAGCATAAGACAAGGATGCCCTCTCTCACCACTCCTATTCAACATAGTATTGGAAGTTCTGGCCAGGGCAATCACGCAAGAGAAAGAAATAAAGTGTATTCAATTAGGAAAAGAGGAAGTGAATTGTCTCTGTTTGCAGATGACACAATTGTATATTTAGAAAACCCCATCGTCTCAGCCCAAAATCTCCTTAAGCTGATAAACAACTTCAGCAAAGTCTCAGGATACAAATCAATGTGCAAAAATCACAAGCATTTCTATACACCAATAATGAACACAGAGCCAAATCATGAGTGAATTCCCATTCACAATTGCTACAAAGAGAATAAAATACCTAGGAATACAACTTACAAGGGATGTGAAGGGCCTCTTCAAGGAGAACTACAAACCACTGCTCAGGAAATAAGGGAGGACACAAACAGATGGAAGAACATTCCATGCTCATGGATAGGAAGAATCAATATCGTGAAAATGGCCATACTGATGCCCAAAGTAATTTACAGTTTCAATGCTGTCACCATCAAGCTACTGTTGACTTTCTTCACAGAAGTGGAAAAAAACTACTTTAAATTTCATATGGAACCAAAAAAGAGCCCACATTGCCAAGACAATCCTAAGCAAAAAGAACAAAGCTGGAGGCATCATGCTACCTGACTTCAAACTATACTACAAGGCTACAGTAACCAGAACAGCATGGTACTGGTACCAAAACAGAGATATAGACCAATGGAACAAAACAGAGGCCTCAGAAATAACGCCACACATCTACAATCATCTGATCTTTGACAAACCTGACAGAAACAAGCAATGGGGAAAGGATTCCCTATTTAATAAATGATGTTGGGAAAACTGGCTAGGCATATGCAGAAAGCTGAAACTGGATCCCTTCCTTACACTTTAAACAAAAATTAACTCAAGATGGATTAAAGACTTAAACATAAGACCTAAAACCATAAAAACCCTAGAAGAAAATCTAGGCAATACCATTCAGGACATAGGCATGGGCAAAGACTTAATGACTAAAACACCAAAAGCAATGGCAACAAAAGCCGAAGTAGACAAATGGAATCTAACTAAACTAAAGAGCTTCTGCACAGCAAAAGAAACTATCATCAGAGTGAACAGGCAGTCTACAGAATGGGAGAAAATTTTTGCTATCTATCCATCTGACACAGGGCTAATATCCAGAATCTACAAAAAACTTAAGCAAATTTACAAGAAATAAACAACCTCATCAAAAAGTGGGCAAAGGATATGAACAGACACATCTCAAAAGTAGACATTTATGCGGCCAACAAGCATATGAAAAAAGCTCATCATCACTGTTCATTAGAGAAATGCAAATCAAAACCACAATGAGATACCGTCTCATGCCGGTTAGAATGGCAATCATTAAAAAGTCAGGAAACAACAGATACTGGAGAGGATGTGGAGAAATAGGAACGCTTTTACACTGTTGGTGGGAGTGTAAATTAGTTCGACCATGTGGAAAACAGTGTGGCAATTCCTCAAGGATCTAGAACTAGAAATACCATTTGACCCAGCAATCCTATTATTGAATATATACCCAAAGGATTATAAATCATGCTACTATAAAGACACATGCATACGTATGTTTACTGAGGCACTGTTCACAACAGCAAAGATTTGGAACCAATCCAAATGCCCATCAATGATAAACCAGATAAAGAAAATGTGGCACATATATACCATGGAATACTATGCAGCCATAAAAAAGAATGAGTCATGTCCTTTGCAGGGCCATGAATGAAGCTGAAAAACATCATTCTCAGCAAACTAACACAAGAACAGAAAACCAAACACTGCATGTTCTCACTTATAAGTGGGAGCTGAACAATGAGAACACATGGACACAGGGAAGGGAACATCACACACCAGGGCCTGTCGGCGGGTGGGGAGCTAGGGGAGGGATAGCATTAGGGGAAATAGCTAATGTAGATGATGGGTTGATGGGTGCAGCAAACCACCATGGCACATGTATACCTATGAAACAAACCTGCACGTTCTGCACGTATATCCTAGAACTTGAAGTATAATAATAAAAAACAAACAAACAAACAAAGTCCATAGAGTGGAAGCAAATTTATTAAGAAAGTAAAAGAATAAAGAATGTCTACTCCATAGGCCCTTGGGGCTGCTAATTGCCCATTTTAATGGTTATTTCTTGATGATATGCTAAATTAGGGGTGTATTATTCATGTCTCCCCTTTTTAGATCATATAGGATAACCTTCTGACATCACCATGGCATTTGTAAACTGTCACGACGCTGGTGGGAATGTAGCAGTCAGGATGACCAGAGCTCACTCTCGTCACCATCTTGGTTTTGGTGGCTTTTAGCTGGCTTCTTTACTGCAAGCTGTTTTATCAGCAAGGTCTTTATGATGTGTATCTTGTGCCGACTTCCTGTCTCATCCTATGACTTAGATTGCCTTAACCTCCTGGGAATGCAGCCCAGTAAGTTTCAGCCTTATTTCACCCAGCTCCTATTCAAGATGGAGTTGCTCTGGTTCAAATGCCGCTGACACAAGTAACAGTCTGTCAGAGAATGAGGAAGAATGAAGCAGAAATGACAACATGAGGAAGCGCCCTGCATACTGAGCTGATGACAGTATCATCATCTTCATGCCTTGGGAGGCATAAAAGGATCTCCAGCAGGAGAGCAACACAATCAGCACCAGAGGTTTTAGCTAATGGCTTGATTCATAATTCACCAAGATGACCTACATCATCTGCACCTACTTCACCGCTGTGAAATCTTGCTAAGCAGACTTTTTTTCTTTTAAAAATGAACATAGCGCCGGGCACAGGGGCTCATGCCTGTAATCCCAGCACTTTGGGAGGCCGAGGCGGTTGGATCACCTGAGGTTGGGAGCTCGAGACCAGCACAACCAACATGGAGAAACCCCATCTCTACTAAAAATACAAAATTAGCCGGGCGTGGTGGCGCGTGCCTGTAATCCCAACTACTCAGGAAGCTGAGGCAGGAGAATCACTTGAACCCGGGAGGTGGAGGTTGCAGTGAGCTGAGATCGCGCCATTGCACACCAGCCTGGGCAACAAGAGCGAAACTCCATCTCAAAAATAAATAAATAAAAAATAAAATAAAAATTAAAAAAAAAAGAACATAGCATGACTTTGAACATAAGGCTGTTATTTAGGAAATGGCAGGTGACTTAAGAAAAATCCAGGTGCTACCTACAGAGTGAGGTGGAAAAAATCAGGGTTTACAAACAGTTTATTATTTAACTAATTAAAAAAATACACAGATGTCCTCTCTTTATAGGTTTCCATTTACAAACTCACCCTATTTTTCATCCATCTCTCCCTCCTCCTTTTCATGTTCAAACACTTTCATACTCGCTATGAGCTAGGCCTGGCCTTGGCACAGAGGATACAAAGGTAAATTAAGACAGAATCACTATCCTGGAAGAACATACATCCTAATGGAAAAGTCTACATGGAAATAAAAATATATAAAATGTGACAGAAATATAAATTAAGTATGTGGGTACACCAAGAAAAAAAATTGTTTTAGAAAGGCAAGTCTTTAAAAAGAAGGTGACACCTGAAGCAGAACTTGAAGCATCAGCAGGAGTTCATGTGGAAGAAGGAGGGGAGGGTGGATTGCAGGCAAAGAGGACAGAATGAGGAATTAATTAAATAAAGGCTTTTATAGAAGAAGAATGTTCTAAGGCTGTAACTCTCAACGTTTTACTGTGCTCCAAAAAACCTACAGGATATAATATATTCTCACCAAAAACAGTAGCTCATGACCGCAAGATGTCTCATGGGGTAGGGGAGTGGGTGCAGAGCAGCAGCTGTAGTATATTTGGGAAAGGAGGGGGAATCAATTCTGAAAAAGATTAAACCATCCCAGGAGTTCAATCACCAAAGCCAAACATCATTCCTTCTCCAGTCTTACTCCCAAGCTATACCTGCAAAAGCTCTTGGTGGTGCAAATGTGTGTATGCGTGTGCTTAGGCAAGGGATTGTCCAGCAAGAGAAGAGATGCAAAGGGTGCTGGGGCCACTGGGGGTGCCATGCTGGGAAACTTACACATTAACCTTGGGCCAGTGGTCTCCAAACTGAGGTATGTGTGCCACTAGCACACAAAGCCTTCCAACAGGGACGCAGGCACAGGCAGTTTAAAGGGAATCTGTTTCTAAATTAATTTCCACCTTCTCTAAGTATTCTTTCCTAAAACTGATCAAGGTGTGAAGCCTGTGCTCTTTCCCAACTCCCCTTTGACAACAGCCTTCAACTAACACAAGAAAGGCATGTCTGACACTCTTCCTGAGTCTGACTCTGATACATTGTTCTGATGTCTAAAGAGCTCCAGAACACCAAAGGGACAATTCAGAATGCTGGTGTATAACAGACTCCAATGGAGACCACCTTTGCAAAAATTTTAACAGTGAGAAAATTATGGCAGTGGGGGAGATCTAATTTAGCCAACCCCCATCTTGCCTTTAGCCTTCAAGCTGTCAGACATTTAGTTTATAGTTTAAATGATAACAGCCCTTGCCCCAAAACTCAACCGCCTTTGTAAAGTGAGTGAGAGACTATCAGGCTAAGAGGAGAGAGGAACGTGAATTCTCCTAAGATGTAGACATAAGCAATTGCCAGCCATTATTACATTCTGGGGTCACAAGATATGCAACTTCTCCAATTACTCCTGCAGATAACGTCACTATTGTAGACTGGCCTTCTGAGATATCTATTCATGTGTTTTGCATGTCTGAGATCCATGGCTCCACCCAGACCCACCCAGAAGCAATTGGGCACCCAGGAGGCTCACTTCCTACACTCCTATGATTGCACCCAATTAATCAGCAGCAAGCACCCATTTCCTAGCCACCCACACCCCTTCCCCCAAACTGCATTTTAAAAAACCTTAACCTAGAAGGCTTCAATTGATTAAGTGATAACTCCATTTCCAGCATGGCACGGCTGGCCTAGAGTCAATTAAACTCTTTCTTTACTGCAAAGCTGGGGTCTCCGTTTGTGCAGTGGTAGAAAGTGATTACAAAGTGGTAGAAAGGTGATTACACAGTGACTGGATAACAAACTTCTTCTTGCATGTCACAAGGTTCCCAGTGCTTTGCTTTCTTTTTTTTCTTCTAAGTTATTTTTAAAAAAATTCAACAGTTTTAGGGGAACAGGTGGCGTTTGCATGGAAAAGTCCTTCAGTGATGATTTCTGATATTTTGGTGTACCCATCACTGGAGCAGTGTATACTATATCCAACGTGTAGTATTTTCTCTCTCATTCCCCTCCACCCTTCCCCACCAAGTCCCCAAAGTGTATTATGTCATTCTTATGTCTCCGAGTCCCCATAGCTTAGCTCCCACTTATAAGTGAGAACATAAGATGTTTGGTTTTCCACTCCTGAGTTACTTAGAATAATGGTCTCCAACTCCATCCAGGTTGCTGAGAATGTCATTATTTCATTTCTTTTTATGGCTGAGTAGTGTTCCATGGGGTGTGTGTGTGTGTGTGTGTGTGCACACGTGTACCTCACATGTTCTTTATCCACTTGTTGGCTGATGGGCATTTTAGGCTGGTTCCATACTTTTGCAATTGCGAATTGTGCTGCTATAAATATGCATGTGCAAGTGTTTTTTTCATATAATGACTTCTTTTCTTCCGGGTTAAATACCCACTAGTGGGTTGCTGGATCAAATGTTAGTTCTATTTTAGTTCTTTAAGGAATCTCCAGTACTGTTTTCCATAGTGGTTGTACTAGTTTACATTCCCACCAGCAGTGTAAAGATGTTCCCTTTTCATCATATCTATAACAACATCTATTATTTTTTGATTTTTAAATTATGGCCATTTTTGCAGGAATAAGGTGGCATCTCATTGTAGTTTTGATTTGCATTTCCCTGATAATTAGTGATGTTGAACATTTTTTCTTGTTTTTTGGCCACTGGTGTATCTCCTTTTGAGAAGTATCTATTCATGTCTTTGCTTACTTTTTGATGGGATTGTTTGCTTGCTTCTTGCTGATCTGTTTGAGTTCCTTGTAGATTCTGGATTAGTCCTTTATCAGATGCTTAGTTTGTGAATATTTTCTCCCACTCTGTAGGTTGTTGAGTAGCTGATCATTTCTTTTGCAGTGTAGATGCTTTTTAGTTTAATTAGGTACCATCTATTTATCTTTGGTTTTGTTTCATTTGCTTTGGGTTCTTGGTCTTAGCCTAATCCAATGTCTAGAAGAGTTTTTCCAACGTTATCCTCTAGAATTTTTATGCTTCAGGTGTTAGATTTAAGTCCTTGAACCATCTTGAGTTAATTTTTGTATTTGGTTAGAGATGAGGAGTCAGGTTCATTCTTCTACAGGTGGCTTGCCAATGAAGTATCCCAGCACCATTTGTTGAATAGAGTGACCTTTCCCCACTTTGTTTTTGTTTGCTTTGTCAAAGATCAGTTGGCTGTAAGTATTTGGCTTTGTTTCTGGGTTATCCATTCTGTTCCATTGGTCTATATGCATATTTTCATACGAGTACAGTGCTGTTTTGGTAACTATTAATATAGCTTTATAGTATAGTTTGAAGTTAGGTAATATGATGCCTCCAGATTTGTTTTTTGTTTAGTCTTGCTTTGGCTATGAAGACTCTTTTTGGGTTCTGTATGAATTTTAGGATTTTTTTTCTAGTTCTGTCAAGAATGATGATCGTATTTTGGTGGGAATTGTATTAAATTTATAGACTGCTTTTGGCAATATGGTCATTTTCACAATATTGATTCTACCTATCCTTGAGCATGGGATGTGTTTCCATTTGTTTCTGTCATTTATGATTTCTTTCAGCCGTGTGTTGTAGTTTTCCAAGTAGAGATCATTCACCTCCTTGCTTATATTCCTAAGTATTTTATTATTATTATTATTATTTGCAGCTGTTGTAAAAAAGGTTGAGTTCTCGACTTGATTCTCGGCTTGGTCATTGTTGTTGCATAGCAGTGCCACTGATTTGTGTACACTGAGACTTTACTGAATTCATTTACAAGACCTAGAAGCTTTTTGGATGAGTCGTTAGGGTTTTCAAGGTATACAATCATATCAATTGGCAAATAGTGGCTGTTTGACTTCTTCTTTACCAATATGGACACCCTTTATTTTTTTCTCTTGTCTGACTGCTCTGGCTAGGACTTCCAGCATGATGCTGAATAGCATCAACATTATAGTGAAAGTGGGCATCCTTGTCTTATTCCAGTTCTCAGAGAAAATGCTTTCAACTTTTCCCTGTTCAGTATAATGTTGGCTGTGGGTCTGTCAGCGATGCCTTTTATTACCTTGAGGTATGTCCCTTATATGCCAATTTTGCTGAGGGTTTTAATCATAAAGGGATGCTGGATTTTGTCAAATACGTTTTCCTGCACGTATTGAGGTGACCATATGATTTTTGTTTTTAATTCTGTTTATGTGATATATCACATTTATTTACTTACATATGTTAATTCATCCCTGCATCCCTGGTATAAAACCCATTTGATTATGCAGTATTATCTTTTTGATATGCTGTTGGATTTGGTTATTTTGTTGAGGATTTTTGCATCTATGATCATCAGGGATATTGGTCCATAGCTTTCCCTTTTTGTTACATCTTTCCTGGTTTTGGTATTAGGGTGATACTGGCTTCCCAGAATGATTTAGGAAAGATTCCCTCTTTCTCTATCTTTTGGAATAGTTTCAGTAAGATTTGTACTAATTATTTGAATGCCTGATAAAATTCAGCTGTGAATCCATTTGGTCTTGGACTTTTTTGGTTGGCAATTTTAAAAATTACTGTATCAGTCTTGCTACTTGTTATTTGTCTGTTCAGAGTTTCTATTTCTTCCGGATTTAATCTAGGATATTTCCAGGAATTTATCCACCTCCTCTGGGTTTTCTAGTTTGTGTGTGTAAAGGTGTTCATAGTAGCTCTGAATGATCTTTTGTGTTTCTGTGGTATCAGTTGTAACATCTCCCATTTAATTTCTTTTTTTTTTTTTTTTGAGTCTCTCTCTGTCACTCACCCTGGAGTGCAGTGGCACAATCTTGGTTCACTGCAACCTCTGCCTCCCGCATTCGAGAGATTCTCCTGCCTCAGCCTCCCAAGTGGCTGAGATTGCAAAAGCCTGCCACCACACCCAGCTAATTTTTGTATTTTTAGTTGAGACGGAGTTTCACCATGTTGGCCTGACTGGTCTCAAACTCCTGACCTCAGGTGATCTGCCCACCTCAGCCTGCCAAAGTGCTGGGATTACAGGCCCAATGCTGTGCTTTCAACACAATTTATGAAGGATCTAAATGAGGCGTCTGCTGATAAATCATTAAAAATTAATTTTTAACAAAAGTTTGCTATATGATTTTTGGTCTATAACTTATAAGAAATTCAAAGAATTAAGTGAATCTGCTATGGCAAAACTTCTCCACCCACTTATTTATGTGAACAATGTTTTTAAGTACTCATATCTATGCAAATATAAAATAGAAAACTGACATTGAACTCAATCACAATCTAACAATAGTCATCCAAGAGCACATAAACTAGTTAAAAACAATATTTAAATCTCTACCTCATTAAGATGTGCATTTTGAATATAATTTTATTTTTATATTTAATAGTTATTTATCAAAAAAATAAATCAATGTTGCGGGAACTCAGGGACGCCGAACGGAGGGACTGGCTGGAGCCGTGGCAGAGGAACATAAATTGTGAAGATTTCATGGACATTTATCACTTCCCTAATACTCATAATTTCTTATGCCTGTCTTACATTTAATCTCTTAATTCTGTTATCTTCGTAAGCTGAGGATGTACCTCACCTCAGATCCACTGTGATGATTGCGTTAACTGTACAAATTGATTGTAAAATGTGTGTTTGAACAATATGAAATCAGTGCACCTTGAAAATGAACAGAATAATAGCGATTTTAGGGAACAAGGTAAGGGAAGGGAACCATGAGGTCTGACTGCCTGTGGGGTTGGGCAAAAAGAGCCATATTTTTCTTCTTGCAGAGAGCCTATAAATGGACATGCAAGCAGGGAAGATATCCCTAAATTCTTCTCCTAGCAAGGAATATTAATATTAATACCCTGGGAAAGGAATGCATTCCTGGGGGGAGGTCTATAAACGGCCACTCTGGGAGTGTCTGTCCTACGCGGTTGAGATAAGGACTGAAATACGCCCTGGTCTCCTGCAGTACCCTTAGGCTTACTAGGATTGGGGAACCTCGCCCTGGTAAATTTGAGGTCAGACCAGTTGTCTGCTCTCGAACCCTGTTTTCTGTTGTTTAAGATGTTTATCAAGACAATACGTGCACAGCTGAACATAGACCCTTATCAGGAGTTTTTGATTTTGCCCTTTGCCTTGTGATCTTTATTGGCCTCAGAAGCATGTGATCTTTGTTCTCCTTTTTGCCCTTTGAAGCATGTGATCTTTGTGACCTACTCCCTGTTCATACAACCCGTCCCCTTTTGAAGTCCTTAATAAAAACCTGCTGGTTTTGCGGCTCAGATGGGCATCAAGGACCTACCGATATGTGATGTCACCCCTAGCGGCCCAGCTGTAAAATTCCTCTCTTTGTACTCTTTCTCTTTATTTCTCAGATCAGCTAACACTTAGGGAAAATAGAAAGAACCTATGTTGAAATATTGGGGGTGGGTTCCCCCGATACATCAATGCTGCTCTGATCAAATATATGCTGCAATAATTGAAAAAATAACTGAATATAGATTTTTTAAAAAAACCCTTGAAACCCTAGAGTCACAAGACATTTTTTAAATGTTACTTTCTATTTGATTATTTCTGATGCAGAGAAACATGATTTTAAGCACAAAGACGTTGAATTGCATTACAATAAAATTATACGAAAGTGAAAACTACACAAACTCTCCACACAAAATGACTCCATCCAAACCCCTGCATTAATACGCTTGACCAAATTTTAGCAGGGCTTCTAGCAAGGCCATGTCCCTAGAATGACTCCAGTCCCCGTCAAAATGCCAAGAAAGTTCAAAGCTGTCAGTAGAATGCATTGTTTGTTCTAGCCAACACCTGGTGATAAGCCAATAGGCTCCTCAACCCCTCTTTACAGCAGTTACTTTAGAAAGCTTGCAATTATAATCCTTTCTCTGTCCCTTTGAGATGTAAATCTTCTACCACCTAGTGTGTTTCCTGAAGGACCTGGGATCAGTCTCTTTGCAATATAAACACTCAAGGAGCCAACTCTCTGTGGGAGGGTAAGGGCCTCACTTCCATGGATGCCTTGTTCCAACTTGCACAACTACCTGCTGTCATAAAGACATGAGCAGTTTGTTTCTTCTCCAGATAAGTGCCAATTTGCAAACCAAGATGGTTCAGTTACATGGACCAAACCTCCCTTAACGCCCCTTGTGCCTTTCCTTTCACACACCCCAGTGTTGAAAAAGTATTCTGCCTTTTTTGTTTTGGTGAAGCTGAGCTTGGTTTATGCTGGGCTCTCTTCCCTCTGCAGTAGTTAGTACTTAAGAAAATCTGTCTTTACTGCCTTTAAAAAGTATCTGGCTTTCTCTTTGACAAAAGACACAGTAGAAATGGTTTGAGGAAAAGGAAAGATGCAACCTTTCTGACAGCTGTAGATGTGTTCTTGTATGTTTTTAAGTGATAGCAGTAGATATCAAATCACATATGTTGTATACAAATAGAGCTATGTTACAGTTTTACTTTAAATGTGAATATTTAAAATGTGCTGGAAACTATGCCTTCCTTTGTAATCATTTAAAATTATAAAATTTTTAGATATCAAGTGTGTGAGAGGTAATCAGGTGATTTTAATTTAGCTACATGAGTAAAAAAGGTTCAAGTTCACAGCTTTGTAGCACTGTTTTCCTAAAGTGTGATTTTCAGACCACCTGTATTGAAATTACCTAAGTGCAACCTCAAAAAAGCAAATTCCCTGGCTCTTATCAGGCTTACTGACTCAATCCGTGGGTTTGGGAAAGACATCGGCATTCGTGGAAAGAAACCAGTATCTTGCATGAGCATTTCCTGGTTAATTCTAATAGCAAAGAAAGTGTGCAGCTCTGGAGCCTTTAAGCTTCTGAGTGACCCAACCAACTGGCCAATGGTGAGTTTAGGAGGTGAATGGAGGTGGGTCCTGGGACTTGAAACAAAGGTACAGTGAGGTGGTCACTGCAAGAGTCTGGACAGAGTGGATGGGGTTGAAGGAGACAGGCGATTTCGGTTGTAAATGACATTATGTTAAAGGACTGAAAAACACTCCTATGCTGTCTTATGCCAGCTCCTGGAGCAGGCACTCCTCTGATGTATGTCGTCAGCTGCCAGTAAGTTGACACAGTAGCTTTCAAACTTTTTTGCCCAAGACCAACAGTAAGAAACAATATTATGTATCAAAAGTCAATTATTATACATATATATACACAGACATATTTGCATATACTGAAAGCAAACAAAAATGTCAGGAAACGATATGACCCCCTACTAAGGGGAGATACATTCTGATGTTTCCGATCCTAATCCACAGTCTAGTGGTCTGTTTTGCTTGTGTGTCTTTAATGCTGACCACAATGCTCAAACTAATTACAGGACCCACTAGTGAGTTATAACTCAGAGTTTTTAAAGCACCTGTAAATCTGCTCTGATGATAACAGGATGGCTTGCAGGAGCCAGCAAACATTGGAGCCACAAAAGAGACATCAAATTATCTCAGCTATATTTAACTAACTTCATTAAAACAATAAATCACTTTATGTTTTGCTAATAGCCTAACAGTCATCTCTCTGTGTGCTGATGCCAAATGCTGTGTGTGCTTTTATGGTGTACACTCTCCTCACCAGGCTGTGGACCCCCACTTAGTCATTCTTTTCTTCTCAGTGCTTAGTATAGCACGTTAAGTGCTGTTTATAAATCGTATAGAATATGATGAAACGGTATTTTAAATATTACGCAAATGAAAGTGAAAGTTAAGTTTTAAAATTTTTGCTTTACTAAAGCTAATAAAATATTCAAACACAAAAATAATCATACCTGTCTTGTCACATTCATTTATACACTTAACATCACCATAATTATGCTTTTTTGCTTAATTATCAATTGCTCATATAATAAAAGTGAGTAATGCAGGGTATAGGCCACTTTACCTTAAACTTAACCCTTTGCCTTGTACAATAACCACAGAAATAGTATTACTCTTCAGCAAAGTGTAGATGGCCCTCTCTTTTTTACTGCTCACTTTCAGCAATGATACAAGCTAATACATTCCTAAGTTTTTCAATAGCTTGAAGGTCACCTTTATCTTCATGGAGAGGGGCATGAAAAATGTTAGAAATGAGATGAAATGTTACTGAAATCAGTAATAAATACATCTATTGTTATTGAGCACATACAGGCCTTAACAAAATTTGAAAGCATTCATTCACATTTTCCATTTAGAAATCTTCTATTACATGCTTGTAGTGGTATATACCACAAATTGTTATTATTAATATCATTGAAAGTAGGTCCACTGTATTTATAGCAAAATCAAATGTTGATATGAAAATCTAGGTCTTATCCTAACACTTCAAACTACTCAGGATCATGCAAAACCAAGAGTTAGATCATCCAGGGCAATCTCATCCCTCTCACCAGAGTGACAGGTAATCCAGGCTGGTGCTAATTAGCATCTGCCATACCAGGGGCCACAGGGTTGATTCAGGAGTGCTCTAACCAGCATAAAGCTTAGAACTTTCTGTTTGGTCTTATAGGAGGCTCTGTCACTCTATCTGGATGGATGTGAATCAGGAAGCAACATAGCCCCAGTTATTACCAGGTATCGTCCTGCAACTACTACAACAAAGTACTTTATGGTGAAACTAACATGACAGAAAGTAGAGAAAAGAAATGGAAAGAAACTGGCTCCGTGATGAAGCCTGCTGCTTGCACAGCCAGCCCTGAAGTCAGCCCCACCTCTGGATCTTTCACTTACAAGAGCCAGTAAATTTTCTGGTAGTTAAACCAATTTTAATTGTCTTCTTACTTGTGTCTAAAAACACTCTAAAACTAATCTATATGTATACAGCAGTGATTATAGTTCCTCATTATACAAAGGCAAAAACTTAACTCAGAATATAGAGTAATTTTCCCAAAGTCAAAACTGGATAGAAACTCTGGAAGGTCTGACTATAAACCTGTCTCTTTCTACATTACCCCGCTACTATTAAAATAGCTTATGATGTGTCTAAGATCTATCAAGATTCAATTCAATTCAACACACTGAGAGCCTACAACATTAAACAATAAAGTTTCCCAGATTTTCCTGTGTCTATGTTCATTTAAAATTGTTTTCTCTGTTCTCCTCATGAGAATTTTTAATACCTGGTGATCAAATGGCATCAATCTTTCATAGTCTTTACTCATAGGGTGGCATAAAAAGGCCCTCATCAGATGAGGCATACTGGACAAAAAATGGTTCTATAATGATTAAGGAACTCTGCGAGGTGATTCAGTGAATAAAATGTTAAATAGCTGGTGGAATTTCCTCAAGGCACATTCAGGAAAATACAGTATGAAAACAAATGCAGGTAGCACACATGCCCACATTGCAGTAATGAGCCCAAATCCAGGTGTTTGCTGCTCATGCCTCAGCTTGGGCCACCATCATCTCTCCCACATCAGGCTGCAAGAGGCTTCACAATGAAATTTCCGTGGCCCTCCACTTCTGTTCCTTTCTCCAATCATCACAAAAGTGGTGAGATATATGTATCTTTTCTTGAGACAGGGTCTCACTCTGTTGCTCAGGCTGGCATGCAGTGGCATGATTTTGGCTCACTGCAACATCCACCTCCTGGGCTCAAGAGATCCTCCCACCTCAGCCTTTTAAATAGCTGGGACTCCAGGGTTTTCACCACGTTGGCCAGGCTGGTCTTGAACTCCTGGCCTCAAGCAATCCGCCCGCTTCAGCTTCCCAGAGTGTTGGGATTACAGATGTGAGCCACTGCACCCAGGCTAAAAGTAATCTTTCTAAAACAAAAATATGACAATGTCACTACCTGGTTGACAACTTACGTCTAACTGATCCATTCCCAAGATGAGGTCTATCCTTTAGCCAGGTATACAAGAGTTTTCATTCCCAGGCCCCTTCCTATCTTTCTGGCCTCATCCTATGCTCCAATTTATACCATATTATTTAAAATTAACTAAAGGTACTAGGTTATTTCATGTTTTTATTAAAACTGCTAAATATGTCTTGAATGTTCCCATCTTTCTAATATTTCCTTCTGTAATGCTCATGACAAATACCCTCATCAGTTAAAGACTCAGCTCAAATACCTTTTATACTACGGGGCCTTTCCTGGCTATATCTCCAGCTCCACTGACTCTATTATTAACCATTTCTACCTTTCTGCCTCCACATCTTTAACTGAGTTATTTGTTTACCATCCCCATTTATGAAGAGATCTCCCTGGCTGTCAAGTCGACATCCTGCGATAGCTGCAATTTTACATCCTATGGGTGCCACTACTTGATGAAGCAGTAGGCACTAGCAGTGAGGAAAGGGCATGGCTGTTTATTATAAGTTTCTTCACTGCACAGGCTAGATAGTGTATTTATGAAATAGCTATTAGGAGATAAATCTGTCTGTAAGTTTGAAAGGTACTTAAATGAGAGGAGGGAGCTTATACGATGAAGAAAGAATGGAAGAGCAAAGGGAGTCCAAGTCACTAAAGATTTACAGTTGAGTAATAAACAGCTGCAGAACCATGAAGTTTGCCAGAAAGAGGAGAGCACTGTAGTAGGGAGGTTATTTTCAGATTCCTTTCCCTCACTGCTTTTATCGTGTTAAAATATGTTTTGGTATTTGCTGGACATAATTCTGAGATCTTTTATTTATTCCTCTGTCTTCCCCAAGATTTACACCCCCTATGAATTTAGAATCCACATGCTTTGCAGGAAGGAGAGTGTATTCCTTCCAGCTTATTAATGAGCACCAACAGCTCAGCATCCCACCAGAGTCCTCTCCAGGAGCAGAATGCATTAGCATTTATGATTGTACTGCGTACATGGTCCTTTGGCCAATTTTCAATCTCTCCTACTAAATGATTACCTTCGCCAATGTGAAATAATTTTCCAAGCACAGAGAAGGAGTTTTCAGCTTGCCAGTCAGGCCAGTTAATCACAATCACCCCGGATGGGCTTCTGCAGCCAAATTTCTCAGGCAAGGGAGGTAGTGGAAAGCAAGAGTTTAGGAGCGCGCCCGTATGTGAATCCTGACTTTGTCAATTCTAGCTCATAAAACACGGGAGCAGTTATCTAACTTCCTTGGGACTTAAATTCTGTGTCTGTTAAAATGGTGACAAATTTACTTCATGGAGCTGGTGGGACAATTCAGTCATGTTACAACATCTCTTCCTCCTCTTATATAATAGCATCTGGTGGAAAGGCTGGATGTGACGAGGGAGACGGATGAAAATGTTTTATCTGCTCCACAATTCGAGTGCAGCCTGAGTGCCTAGGACAGACTTTTGGAGGCATTAGTTCCCCTTATTATTATTATGTGGTGACACTGACATCCTTAAATCATCTTTTCTCCAGTTCATGCCACTATTCACAAGTATTCATCGGCTTCGTGTTTCCTTTCCACATCATATGCAAACTTCTTTACTTGTCTTTTGAGGGACTCTTCATAGCATATGGTCCATTTGGGCCAAATTAACTTTCCAACTTACTAAAGGTAAGACATTGTATAGGCTGATAGGCATGCAAAATACTTATGTCTTGGCTGTGCCTACATGGCTATATCAGGCTACAATGACCCTTCTCTTTTCAGTTCCTTTAGCAGAAAAGTGTCATGCAATCTCATGCGATCAACATCAAATTTGGAATCAGGAGACCTGTGTTTGAAAAAGGAATTGGATATCTCCTGCTTGTTGAACTTTGGCCAATCACTCTCTAGTAATCTGACCCTCAGACCAGAGATGATAATACTTGCTTAATAATCACCCTCACAAGATGTGTGTGAATATCAAATGAGCTAGGGTATAGGAAAATTATAATCCTCAAATTCAGAACTCACTATCATGCTATCTTGTATTCCTTGCTTTGTTTTTGTGAGTGAATACACTGTTTTCCTAGGTTGCAAGTCCACTAGAATGAGGGACCATATCTCAAACTTCCTTTGGGTTCTCACTACAGGACTAGCATAGGGTTCGGTAACAACAAAGCAGCAGCAACTACAATATTAATTTTAAAAAGTAGCAAATATGTATTTTCATACTTACTATGGCCCATGCATGGTTCAAATCACCACTACTACGAAGTTATGTAGGTAAGGAAACCTAATATTTGTACTTTATAGTACAGAACTGCCTGAATTGGAAAGGGAAGATTCTAAATGTTTTAATCAACATGGAAATCTGCATAAAGATAAAAGCAGGCACCAGGCAAGAGGAGAGCAAAAAGTGAAGAATAAACAGCAGGGTAAGTCCAAGAAAAGCCAAAGCACTGGAGAGGAGGTAGGTTTGTCCAAACCATGCAAATTCTAAGGACAGCCGATAATACGGTTTGGTTCTGTGTTACCACCCAAATCTTGCCTTGAATTGTAATAACCCCCATGTGTCAAGAGCGGGACCAGGTGGAGATAACTGAATCATGGGAGTAGTTTCCCCCATGCTGCTGCTGTGATAGTGAGTGAGTTCTCACAAGATCTGATGGTTTTAGAAGGGGCTTCCCCCTTGGCTGGGCACTCATTCTCTTTCCTGCCACCCTGTGAAAAGGTGCCTTCCTCCATGATTGTAAGTTTCCTGAAGCCTCCCCAGCCATGAGTCAATTAAACCTCTTTTCTTTATAAATTACCCAGTCTCAGGTATTTCTTCATAGCAGCATGAGAACTGATGAATACAGCAGACATTGTTAACATTTTGAGAGCTCCTAAGTACGGCTACAATTAAAAACTAAAAGAGGCACTCATTAGGATGCCCTTAAGGGGCCCCAGTAATCTTACTACATTTTTCTTGTCTGTCTGCTTTCCCAGTCTCCTAAAACACTACTTTGTACCTTACCCTCTCTTCTCTCCTCAAATCTCTCCTGCTATTGGGAGAAACCGACAGGATCCTATCCAAGGTGAATTGTTCCACCTGGATTCCAGGTCTCATCCACTCTCACCCATTATGACAGAAACACTGAAGATTTAAAAAATATAATATTTATTAAAGGAAAATATGTAATAATGAAAAAAATGATGATATATGAAGGAAAGGGTAGAATTTCTTGATTTCAAGATTGCTTGTCAGTGTTTGTTGGTTTCCCCTCATCCTCAATTCTTAATATTGTAGGGTCCTAGGGCTTCATTCTCTCTCCTCCTTCCTTCTCTACCTACTTACTTACTTAAGGATTTTACCGAGCCTCCTAGTTGTGACTCCTCTTTATGCACTGAGAATTCCCAAATGTATTTCTAGTCCCTACCTCTCTAATACACTCTAAATTCATATAGATAGCTGTCCACAGCTCAACTTGGATGTTTGAAAGCCATATCAATCTTTTAAAAAACTATTTTGAAATAATTATAGATCTAAAACAAGTTGCAAAATAGTACAGAGAGATCCTGTGTAGCTATCTATCACCCAGCTTTTCCCACAATGACATCTTACAAAAAGCCATATCAATTTTAATATATACCAAATCAAACTATACCCAGAAGCTATTTCTTGACATTCAGTAAATATTATCTCTTCTTTGTACACATGGCATTTATTAATATACTTAAATAGTATTTCTTATCTTATAGTTCATTCAATATGCATGCATGCATGCACACATATGCTTCAATAAACTATGAGCTTCGCAAAGGCAAGGGCCATGGCAATCTTTTATTTGTCTACAGCATGCAGAATAGTGACTAAACATTTCCTGAAAGTATTTGGAACAAATAACCTTATTCAGGCCAGAATCAAAGGAGTCAAACAACTAGACCAAAGCCAGAGATCAATGGGCAAAATACTTATTTTGATCAAAAAAAAAGTTTGAATAAACAGTTTGTGTTCTCTAACCCTGAGAAAACATTATATAACACTTTTATAGTTGAGTTCAGTATGATTATAGATTAGCAACAACAATAACTATAAAATTTAGTGGGGGAGAAGGTTAAAAAAATGAGTATACCACTTTCTGCTTAGGAATAGAAGCTTCGCAAATGCAGTGTCTTTAAGACAAATATGCATTAGATATATATCTTTCCTATTTAAAAACTTACGAAAAAGATCACAAGATCTTCATTCAAAGATGTAATGTATATACCAAAAATTATAAAGGTCAATGTAATTTAATATAAATATATAAACCTCTAGACACTGGAAAAGGCAAATAATTACACATACATGTATTTTATTCAGCTTTAAAGTGTTATATCTTGAATAAAGTAAAATTAACTTACTTATAAACAAACAAAAATATGTATGTACATATGACAGTACACTTCACTTTGACAAATATTTTTCAATAATTGTTTCCCATTTTTCCACTTTGGCCTTAATGACAGTACTTTTATAAAGTATTATTAAGCCTATAAAGTCTCTAAAATCTTATTATATGTGAGGTTTGGCTCCAAAAGATGTACTATTATAGTGCATAAAATGTATAGTGATTTCTGTAAAAGACAGATAACCTCTAAGGTTTTATAATTTATTGTTAGCTAGACATTTGGTTGGATATGTGTAGAAGGAACTATTTTCTCCATCTTTCAAGTTCCTACCTTGGCCCATAAAGCAGGAAGCTCCCGCTATGAGTCCCAAGATGTCAAGTACTCTTCACTCTCCCATTTCTGAGGAGAGAAGGAGTGGCATCTGATAAGTGAAGTGGGGAGAAACAATTGATACACTCTTCTGGTATTGTTGTTTTCCCAGTGGTAAACATCTGTGGGTCAGGACCAGACGTTTGCTGCAGAGAAGTATATCCGTCCAACAATGGTTACGGAGGCTCTGAGAGTGACTAGCCTGAGTTGATGTGTGCTGAAATACACACTGCATTTCAAAGGCGTGGTTTTTTTAAAAAGGCAAAAGATCTCACTGTCATTTTTATATTGATCACATGATAAAATGGTAATACTTAGGACAATTTTACCTAATTTGTTTGATTTTTTAAAATGTGGCTATTAGAAAATTTCAGCCTCCACATGTGGCACACATGATAGTTCTGCTGGACAGCACTAATCTGGGGGCCACCTCGCTGGAGCCCACAAATAGGAGGCAGACCTTCTGACAAAGCATGTATGCTCTGCAGAACTGACTGTCCTTCCAGGGCTGTCTGAAGATTGAGTGCAGGGAGTAGTATAGGAGGACAAAAATAGCAGAAAACTGACATGGAAAACAAAGCCACAGTCTCCAGGCCAATTCTACCAACAATAAAGCTGGTATTTTCCTTTCTGTGGTACCTGATTCCTCTGTCTCTTAACTGATTGCAACTTGAGAATGGACAATGACAATTATTTATTACTTTTTCCTGATTAAAACCCGAAGGCATGATAGAAATATTTCTGCTCCCCTGGAAGTAGCACAAGCACAAAATTCAGGGAGAAGCACGCAGCAAAGAAAGTGGTCTTCTCTAGGTCCTTAGGGGTTTAAGTTTCAAAAGCTTCTAAGATTTCAGTGGAGAGTTCTGCCCTGGGTGGTTCTCAGCTGAAACAAAAGTGGCACATGAGTGGGAAACCTGCCTGGGAAGCAGGTTTCTGAGTCAAGTGAGATTCCCCAGCAAAAAGACAGTGACAGCCACTGGACACTTAACTGAGAGGAACACGGGGCTTCAGTGGGGAAATGGAAATCAGGAAGGCAGAGTGACCACGGGCAGGGATATGTGAAACATATCAGTCTCTGCCAGAGGAGGCAGTATGGATGGACGGATACATTGTCTTTCCTCCATGGTAGACATATGCCTCAGTTAACATCCTGATGGGAGACTATTTAAAAATTTTTATTTTATTGATTGATTGATTGAGACAGGGTTGCCTATTTGAATTGTGAGCTGAAGTTGCTGCTTTTTGCATGCCGGGCTACTTTTGCTTACATTTTCTTCCAAGTGAACAAAGCGAGACTGTGACTTCAAGAAAAACAACACAGAATTTGTTGTCATGATAAAATTGGAACTTTCAAGCAAAAATTCAAATTTTGGAAAACTTGGATCCACCACTGTAAGGCTGACAGCTTCCCAATACTTACAGACTTAGCTGCTAAGTGCTCATATTAATGAATGAGATTTTTTAAAATATTCTCTGATGCAATCTATCAACATTTGGATCATCTATATAACTCAGGGAACTGAAACTTCTAAATGCCTTCATGCAATTATATTACAAAATCATACCTGGGAAATAAATCCATTCAAGTGCAACCTAGACCAACAGTTTTAATGCGACAGGGTACAAAAAGTTCAATAATATGGCTTTGTATTTCACACTGCAACTAGTCTTTAAGACTTTATCACATGTTGAGTTTCAGTGTAGTATCAAAGAAGAATACTCCAAATTATAGGCTATTAAAATATCTCTCCCTTTTCCAACCTCTTATCTGTGTAAGGCTGGATTTTCTTCACCTACTGCAACCAAAACAACAACAGACTGAATGCAGAAACTAACATGAGAATCCAGCTGTGTTCTATTAAGCCGGACATGAAAATGTAACACAGTGCTGTTTTTCAATTATTTTCTGTCTTGGAGATATAGTTGTTTTTCATTAAATATGCTATTCATGTCAACCTATAATGGGTCTATTATTGGTATTTTAAAATAAATTAAGTTTAAAATTTTGTCTTTAATTTTTTTTGTTTTAGACAGAGTCTCTCTCTGTCGTGGCACGATCTCGGGTCAGTGCAGCCTCCGACTCCCTGGTTCAAGTGATTCTCCTGCCTCAGCCTCCCGAGTGGCTGGGATTACAGGCATGCGCCATCATGCCCAGCTAATTTTTGTATTTTTAGTAGAGACGGGGTTTCACCGTGGTAGCCAGGATGGTCTCAATCTCCTGACCTCGAGATCCACCCACCTTGGGCTCCCAAAGTGCTGGGATTACAGGCATGAGCCACCATGCCCAGCCTGTCTTTAACTTCTAATATGATAAATATTATTAGATATAACCTTCATAAACAAAAACTCTTTAGAATCCTCAATAATTCTTAAGAATATTAAAGCATCCTGAGATCAAAAGTTTTGAGAATGACCAATCTATAATTATTTAATCAACCACTTAAGTATAAAGTACCTACTTTATACTGTGCTAGGACATAGGAAATAAGAGATAAAAGGCACCATCCCTGTCCTCAAAAATTTCCAATTTCATTGGCAATGTACTTCTCAATTAACATAACTTAAAAATTCTTTTACTGTATAATTTTTAAAAACCTTCATTTCATGTTTCTTATAAACATGTCTTTCATAGCTTAATGTCTCCTATGGAAAATAATACCATATATGGCACATAGCAAATGCCTAAATACTTCATGATTCACTCTGAATCTGACATATGGCATCAGAAAATCATAATATACATTAAATAAACATTTTAATGTCAGTTTCAGACACTGATTACTCATGGTGAAAGAGGTACTGCCATCCTTAGTTAAAAGATAGTATTGGCAATATAGAGACCCTGAAGTTACAGCTACAATGCAACCTTTTGATCAAGACTTAAACTTATACTATAGATTTCACTTTTTGGTCAAATTATGCTTTTTAAGATTAATTTATTCTACCAGATTTTTATGCCAACAGGCTGAATAATAGGATAAAGGAGGAAACGGTGGCTTATTTAGAGAATCTGAACAGCAAACAAAGATACTCTTATGCTGTTTTCATAACTCCAGGAGGCAGAACCAAACAGTGGAGATCAAAATTAGGCAAAAGATACCTTTTATTAAATAAATAAAGCAAGTAAGCAGGGATACTGGCTTAATTATCAATAGAAATGAGTTTGAAGGTTAGAAAGTAGGCTAGATAAGAGGTTCTCAATAATTTTTCTGCTACAATCCAAAGGAGACAACATGTTTCCCATTAGAAGCAGTGGTTTACGATGGCAATGAATCACAAACGGTGGGAGTTGGAAAGGCAGCACGTGCAAGGTGGGGGAAAGGGGAGTGGGTAAATACCTATCTAATTCCAGGTTGAGTAACACTGGGCAAGGTACCAGAAGGACTTTTTAAACTGTATGATTACCTGGGAATTTTTAAAGAAGGATCCTGGCAAACTTCTTGACAGCATTTCATATGAGAGAGAAGTATTTGCCATGCATTTATCTATGGATGTAGCAGTACTAGCTATTGACAGCAAGTGGAAAGTATAAAACACAAAGGCTAAGATTATACATATGCTCCCCATTACTAACCACCTAATACCAAGCAAATTGTGTTCTGACCTGCCTTTCAGCCTCTTTTACAACCATTTTCCTGGATTTCTAACCCATTCACTTGTTCTCTGTCCCTTCTATAAAAATGCTTATAACAGCTGAATTGACAAGCAATAGAGGAGCAACTCTAATCTGATTCAACAACAACAACAACAAAAAAAAGCATTTAGATTTGGTACAAATACACTTTAAACATTTGCTTCCTTTTTCCTTCTGCATATTAATCATCTCAAATGGCACACAAATTCACTCTCTGACTGCAGGACATAATACTATTTGTAAATATTTTCCCCAGAGATTCTAGGAATTCTGCAAATGTAAATGGCAATGGAATGACTGTTACCATGAAAGTGAAGAGCCTTCTCTGGTATGTTTTACCAGTGGATTGGGCACTCAGTTCAGGCCTTGGGAATATTCCTTTCTGAATTCTAGTATCTGAACAATTGCTTATTGTTCTTGTTATGCACTCGAGAATTAGCTTACCAGTTCTTTCCAAAAATTTCTTTCTAAATTAAATGTGGGTACACATTTGAAAACTGCACACTGTGTATGAATAGTACACATTTATTTTACATTTTTAACATCATGTACAAGCTGTGGGAACATCTGGTGTTTTGCAAATTTGGGCAAATCCAGCTGCATTTCCTCTTCCAAATATGTTCTCTGACATTTGCAGGTTGTGTTTCATTTTGATTTTTATACTCTCTCTCTCTCTATCTATATAGGGCAGCATTGTGTGCTTTCAAACATGCATTTTTTCCAACTTTATACTTCTCCTTTCTGAACTAAAAATTAAAAGCTTGCTGATTAATATGAGAAAAAATGTTGTGGTTAGACTAAAGATGTAAATTTTAAATGTATCTGTCTCACCTCTCTATAATTTACTTGAATCAGTAGAAAATCGCCTCTTGAGAACAGTTTACAATGAAGAAATATATATGCTTGCATTATACCATCTGAGCTAAGAGAAAGCAATACAGTAATTAGCAGACTGAATCTTTACTGAGTCAGGTGCACCTCTAACCCAACAAAATACACATATGTGCACCAACAACTGTGCCACATATTTTCAGGGGTTGGCGGACATCTTGAAAGAAGTATAAGGTTAAGAAACTAAAGCGATGAGAATGTGAATAATTTAATGTGAATAATTTAAAATCACCTAACTTAAAGCATGGTAAATAACAGCTAAAACGCAAATGGACTTTACATCCTACTCTTATACTTAATCATAAATAAAAGATTGCTGTTGCCAAGTCTAAAACTCTCTGTCCCCTCTACACACACGCTCACGATTAGCAGACAGCCCCAGATGATCATGCTGGCTTCCCTTTCTTCCCTCACATAAAATATTTAAAACAACCTCCAGCCTGAGGGTGGAGTGGAAAACTGCCTGGGAGCAAAGTCACCCTCACCATCCTGGCTGACCTGCTGGCCTGTTAGCCCCGAAGGTTAGTTCACAAGTCTCAGATCTGAGCTGGTTCCTTGGATTTTAAACTCCCAACTTGGATCAGTTCCTTCCCATATACAACCAGGTTCCTGCCTGGACTTTCTCATTTAGATTCAGCCCTGCTCTGGACAAATCCCAGGACATGCTGCTCCTACTGGGCTAAAAATGCTCAGGGCTCTCTGGTTCCACTGCTCTCCCACAGTTTCTCAAATGGTTCCAGGTCCCCTGACTCTAGTTGCTTGTTCTATGACTTCTTAGAGATAGCACAGTTCAATGGTTAAGAGAAAAGGCCAGGGGATAAATCTCCATGAGTTCAAATTGAGTTCTCTATTACCAACTTAACTTTGCTAAGCCTCAGTTTGCTCATCTATAAAACTAGGGTAATAATATTATCTCCCTCACAGATTACTCAGCCACAACCTCTGTCTCAAGGAAGCAGAAGTCTAAGAGAGATACCTGAAGCTAAACCACACAGCTGATAAGTGATAGGTTCAGAGTTCAAAGCCAGGTTTATATGTCTCCAAACACATTCTTTTCAAATACATTATGCTCTTGTCTTTTAAAATCACCCTTATTGGCCGGGTGCAGTGGCTCACATCTGTAATCCCAGCACTTTGGGAGGCTGAGGTGGGTGGATCACGACGTCAGGAGATCGAGACCATCCTGGCTAACATGGTGAAACCTCATCTCTACTAAAAATACAAAAAAAAAAAAATTAGCCAGGCATGGTGGCGGGCTCCTGTAGTCCCAGCTACTCAGCCTCCTAGCAGGAGAATGGCATGAACCCAGGAGGCAGAGCTTGCAGTGAGCCAAGATCATGCCACTGCACTCCAGCCTGGGGGACAGAGCGAGACTCCGTCTCAAAAAAAAAAAATCATCCTTATTTTTCTCTTTAAAAACAAAAAACATGATTACTCCTTTTTATAGCAGTGGTTGTAAAATTTAAAACCAAGATATATTACTAGGGTTGCAATAATAAGAAAATAAAGAAGTACTTGGTTATCCACAACTACTAATCTAGTGATTTGGTTAAAACTAGCATTCTTCACAGAAGTTGGAACCTCTGCCTGTGCCAACCTCCAAATGAATGATTTGCAATTCTTGGCCTTTACAGTCTATTTCCAGGATAATACTAACTAAAATAACAATCTTTGCGATAGGGTACTGGGCAGACCTGGTGACTTGCACGGAAGGAGAAGGCAACAGCAAAGATGGCAAGAGAGAAGATTAAACAGGAGCTCCAAAGGCAACAGAGTTCAGCAGTTGAGTCCAAATGCTAAGATTTTCCAGGAGAGAGAATGCCCAGAGTCCAAGTAGTGAAAAATGTCCATTTGTTTAGCAGCGGTGTCTAGGTGAGGGGGCAGGAAAGGGGAGGAGGAGAACCCACATTATCTATTCTGAGTGAGGCTACACATTGCTGAGGGATTGAGTGCAGTCAAAGGAGGCCAAACTGATGGAGGAGACATCAGAAAATGCAATATGCACTCTCTTCAATAATTCTATCACCAAGATATATACTGCATGATATGAATAACATCTTTTTTATTTTTTTATGTTATTATTTTGAGACAGAGTCTCACTCTGTCACCCAGGCTGGAGTGCAGTGGCATGATCTCAGCTCACTCCAACCTCCGTTTCGTAGGTTCAAGCAATTCTCCTGCCTCAGCCTCCCGAGTAGCTGGGACTACAGGTGCATACCACCACACCCAGGTAATTTTTTTTTTTTTGGTTTTTTTTTTTCTTCTAGTAGAGATGGGATTTCACCATATTGGCCAGGCTGGTCTCAAACTCCTGATCTCAGGTAATCTGCCTGCCTTGGCCTCCCAAAGTGCTGGGATTACAGGCTTGAGCCGCTATGCCCGGCCAATAACTTTTTTAAAGACTCAGGCTAACCCAAGCTAAGTTGTTAGCCTGGTTTCCGAATGCAGGTAATCTGGGCTGGGCACTGGAGCTCCTTTACATTTGTCAACTGGAAAGAACAGAATGGCATATTTACTATAAAGTGACATGAGAACTGTAACATGTACTAAGTATACGTGTAAATGAGAATAGTCATCTCTATTTTAGCATATTTGTACATCTACAATAGAGAAAAAAAATTTCCTAATTAAAACACCTCATTCACAGCAAATGAACAAAAACTTTTTAAAAAGCCAACATGTAATTATTTTCAAGAAAGGAAACAAAAATAAAATCTACAGAATGTAGGAGAAATTTTCATTTCTTCTACTGTGCTCAAACCACTTTAAAATATCTTTTTGTTTACCTTGGTCACAGCTTTTGGAGAAAATGTAACTGCATCTACCACAGTGATGAGGTCACCTGGGTGGAGACGATCAAAGTACTTCATGCAGACATCATAGGCATGAAGCCACTCCGGTGAAGAGCCTGGGACTTGTTTAATGAGATGAGGGTCTCCAGTCCAGAACAACTTCTGTAACCAGATGGTGTACAGAGAGCTTGGGGAAAGCATCTGTCCATCCTTTTCAGGGATTTTGGGAACAAGTTTGGAAATAGACAAGATATTTTGACTTGAAAGAACTGGCTCCAATGCTTCAAGAGGACTCATGTTTTCATCTGTCAGCTTTTTGTAATTAAGACCTAGCAGAAAAAAAAAGAAAGTAGGTAAGTGGTTCATTCCAATGTAAACATAGAGTCACTTTCAAACACACACACATAGCCCTCTATATGTCTGAACGCAAAGATCTATCAACTTAGCTCTAAGTAGCTAGTTTATATTTTCTATTAGAAAGATCAGGAGATCTGAGTTCCAGTCACAGCCTGAAACTTATTCGGCTTTGTGATCCCAGATAGGCCATTCATCTTCTGTGTGCCTCCATCTCCTTGTTTGTACCCTAGAGATGACAATATCTCCATGCCTTTCGAATCCGCCGCAGCACCTATGTTTTCTTCTATCAGTGCTTCAACAAACTGCATTACATTTCTTTGTTATTTATCTGGCATTTCACTAGTTACTTGAAGGCAAGGATTGAATCTTATTCCCTTATCCTCTGTGTCTAGGCCAGTGTCTCATTTGATTATTCAGAAAACAACTGATAAACTGATGGGAACTCTCACAATTATTATGAATATCAAACAAACAGATTTGAATGTGCCTTGCAAATTATGAAGTATAAAAATTAAGAGGTCTTAAAGTGTTTAATTTCTTAGTTATGAGCATAAAGACCATTCTAAAGATTTCCATAATTTATCAAATATTCAAAGGCTCTTAAGTGTTCCATGCATATTTTAAACATATAGGCTCCAGTGGAATGAAATTCTGCTCAACTGCCTATTATAAAGTGTCTTGGCCTTGCCATTTATATACATAAAATATAATCAATGGGAGTAGTGAAAAAATCCTGGAGCAGAAGTCCAAAACTTTGGATTTTAGTACCAAGTCTACCATAAGTCACTGTGCGACTTTCAATAGGTTTCTTACTTTTTCTGGTATTTAATTCCCTCAACTATAAGTGAAAGAGTTGGAAAGATAATAACTAAAGTCGATTAGCTTCAAAATTCTGTGGTTTCAGAGCTCTGCAACCATAATGCATGAACAGGATTGTGTACAGAAAATTAATCCCCAGATTTAATTGAAAAGAATGAATTCAAGCAGGGAAACAACCATCCTACCTGATGCAACAACCTTAAACTTCTTCAGCAGTCGAATGTGGGTTTCTGGTTTAATGGCACAGTTCCCCAAATCTGCACAGCCACAGTTTTCCAGAAGAGTGAAATAATACTGCAGCCTTTCGTGATCAAAGCCACCAATAGTAGGGTAAATATACTTGACCATGTGCTGGTGAAAGGCTTCTGGATCAGTCTTCAAAGTCTCAAAGAGATGAAGGTCTTGGGCTCTATTTTCAATTTCTAGTGTGGACAAACTGAAATTAAGAGCCAAAGGAACTGTGTTAAGATTTTGTTCCTTTATTAAAGTGATTTTTTTTTTAACCAAGGAAGAAACACTACTTCTTATAGCTCCCTTCTTCCTGCCTACTCAAAGACAGTAAACCACCACCAGAAGCCAGTCAGCCTGAATAAAGGAAAACAAATGTGTTAGATGCCTACTAACATTTAACTGACTACACACTCGTCATGTTATCTCACGGGGGTCTACAGCAACCCTGTGAAGTAGCTTTAACTTCAAGTTCCTGCAGTTGGGAGAGCTGTCTGATGTCTCCCAGCTAGAAAATAAACCAACATCTGTCAGCGTCCACTCTTAATCATTTATTCATTCATAAAAAGGGTTTAAAAATCTATACTTCTTCACAGAAACATAAACAGCCTTATTATTTCAGGAATTTAGGAAATGATACAGAAAAAACCCTAAACTTTCAGGCTTAAGATTTACATGCAAGAGTCTTGAATTAATATTCAATAAACCCAAATTTTATGCTGTGTCCAGATAAAAGAAAAATAGAAAAAGAGGGATAATTAAACTTTCACTTGGGTTATCTGCAGTAATGCTACTTAAATAAAACACATATCTTAATATTTTCATCCTAACTTAGATGTCTTTGTAATCTAATTTTAAAAAGTCACTTAAACTCTTGGGAAAAGAAAAAGTAAGGTATTTTTGCTTGGTTGATTGGTTTGTGCTTTTAGAAGGGGAAAGGAGGGGGTTAATTTTGGTCTTGTGCTTCTCCCTGGACAGAATCTGGACAGAGCCTGTGGTCTAGTGTAATCTCAATGCCCCTTACGTGATGAGTTTCATACTCCCTAATTGTAAGAGTCCTTCAGGCAGCCCTGCATTCACAGAAGTACCCAGGTTCTAGGGTTCTCGGAAGCAGCAACAGAAGCATCTGGGGGCAGTAAGTGAGACCTTGGGCAGCAACAAAGTTAGGCTTCAAAAAGTTCTAAAGCAGCTCCTCTGAAACATGACAACTTGTTTACTGAAAGTGCCCAAAGACATGTTTTTGGTTTATGTAGATAAAGTTAGTATAAATCATGTTTTAAAACTTTCAGGGGAATGTGACAACACTTGGGTTAAAAAGGGTAATCTACAAAGTCAAAGCATCAAGTAATTTTTAAAAACTGGTCTTTTTACTTTTGCTTCAAGAAAAACCTTATTTTTCCATTAAGACACAGTGCAAACATTTACAAGAATATCTCTATCTATAAATATGTCCCCAGTCTATAAAAATTTCTCTCACTGCCTCCTCTATTGGCACATGCTGAATATCCTTCTATTCTGTTATTCGTAACGTATTTTAAGTACTTATTACCTTGTCTATCTTCCTTCCTAGACTGTGCTGCTTGATGGCACAGACCTTATTACATCATCTTAATCTCTAGTTTCTCAATACCAAGAACCAGAGTGTGGCACAAAGGAAACATTCAATATATGTATTATGAACGCCAAATAGATGAGTGGATGAGCAAAAAATTAGGTGTCCTCTATGTACAAGGCACTGTGCTCACCACTGGGGAGGATATAAAGACTTACAGCATAGAGCTCCCATCCAAATTTGAAAATCCAGTTGAGTTACAAATACTTACAGTTAAATAATGATGCAAAACAATAGTATCACCTGACAAAGGGCACAAAATTATAGTCCAATTAAGAGAAGGATCACTAAAAGCTATGCCTGCAGAAGATGTAGAAATCAATGATAATGGAAGGCTTAGTGAAAGAAGCACTTGAATTTGGCAGGAAGGAGTGAAGCAGAAATAATGTGAACAAAAGTATCAAGAAAGCAAAACGCCTGTACAAGGAACAGTGAATATAAATGGCTGGGTGGTCAGAAAATATACTTGATAATATCACTATTCAACGAATACCATCATCTCTGAAAGACAGTGTACACACAGTAGTATGGGACAGTGAATCACAGAATTTCTGATGTTCCTTCATAATTTGCAAAATGAAGTCTAAAAACAATGTAGTAAGGAAGTAAATAAGAAACTGTGTAGTCGCAATAAAAGGAATCTTATTGACAAAGATTTGCAGGCAGAACAACATGCCAAAAGGAGGAAAGAAAACAAATTTGTATTTATCATGCTGATTACTTTCTTGCTAAGTTAAAGTTGGGTAATTATCAACTTATAGATGATAAATTGCCATTCAGAGAGGTTATATGACTTGTTTAAGATAAAGAGTCCAGATCTGTCTGGACTCAAAGTACACAACTGCTCAGGACATCACAAAGCAACCATCAAGGTCAAGCACCCATATCAACAACCACTTCAAAACCAGGATTCTTTCTGCAACACAGATATGAGTTCTCTCTCCCAGCAGCAATAATCGAAAAGAGTTCTCCTGTCATACTTCATTCGTAACACCTTGATAAACAAAGTATTCAAGACAGACTCATCTACAAAATGGACAATGACTATATCATAACAGCTTTAGTTCATCTATGTTTGACTTGATTATGAATATAGTCTCTCTCAATCAACATTACTTTCCCTCTTGCCCACTCACTTATTCTTCTGTGCCTACAATTTAGTTTGCCTGCTGTGCAATTTTACCCAATTATCTTGTCAAGACAGATACTGGAATACCTTTACTGACTCATGATAAATACCCAAACCTCCCTTTTCAGTAAATTACAAGGTGCTAAGATCTTTTATAGATGCTAGTAATCAATAGCTCATTTTAATAGTTTCCATTCTGAAGAAAGAAGCTGTTATCTTCCCTTTGGAACCAGAAAAGGGAAATCTTTCTTTGAAATCTTTGTTTAGAAAAAAATTCCAAAGAACCCATATTCAAGAGAGTAGAAAGAAATACCATGAAACCACTGTGGACTTTTCACTAATCAAATTAATGATTACCCTTCAAACCTGTTTAAGTGATTTTTCCTGAACCAAGTTTTAGTTATAAAGCAGCTTATATACATAGTGCATATTTAACTTTCAGAGATTAACTAACAGAAGAAGCCAGCATTAGTTGCACTCAATGCACAGAAATAAATTATTCATACTAATCTCATGATTAAGGTGTTCTGTAATGGCTTCCAGATGTCAGTCACCCAAAAATGTGATTCAAGAACATCATGTATTGAAAGGACTTTTATTTGTGTAAGAAAAACAAATTTATTTAAATACATTTTTCTTTACTCAGCTGAGATGGAGTGATTATAAAATTTCATTAGCTCACTGAAAGGAGTGCTTAGAAGGAAAGAGGAAGGAGGAGGCAAGAAGGAAGAAGGTGAATGGGAGAAGGGAGAAGGCTGCCGGGAGAGGGGGAAGAGAGAATAAAGAGGATGGGGAAGGGCTGGAAGTGAAAATGTACACATAACCTGCCAGCACTCTTGTTGCTATTAGCTCATTAACACTCATAATAACCCTCTGCAAAAGGTCTAATTATTCCTATTATCTGAAGGAAGCTGAGGCTCAGACAAAAATCACACAACTAGTAAGAGATGGAGACTGATTCTGAGTTGAGTCTTTCAAGTTCGGCTTTCTGCTTCTACTCAATAAAGCAATGAAGCTGATATTTTCACGTTGAAATTTTATGTTGGGTACAGTTCAGCTGCAGTGGCTTGTAAGCATTTTCCCCAAAGGCTAACCCTAAGAGCATGAAGATCTATGAATCAACGTGAATGATCATCACTGCTGGTGAACAGTGGCCTCACCATTGACTACTGAGCAACAAGACAATCTACCCTCCAAATCACAACTGCTCCTGCCTGAGGAAGTCAATCCAACATCTTAGCACATAAATGCCTCAGGATGACCTTGATGTAGCAGACTTGATCTATAATGCAGCCTGACAGCTGAATACGTGATTTCTCAAGGAAAACGTGGTCAAGATAATCATGGCATTTTTTAGTTTTGCCAACATTCTGGCCAAGTGTCTGCAAACTGAAGAATGGAATTTAACTAACTTTTCAAGAACACCCAGGGAGTTGATGAGAGAATCAATAAAGAGTGTCTTAGAGTCTATTTCTCATCATGCTGATATTCAGTGAGTTCCTTTATGGAATGTTTTATGACAGGAACAGAGTGAGAATGTTGAAGGCCATATGAATAGGCTTTGTCTCTTCTATAAGGACAACCTGGTATCCCTAAAGCCTTTTAATTTCTCATAGAATGTCAATTCTGACTTGTTTATATACTTCATATTACTACCTTGCCAACAAAAACAGTTTTAAGAAACACTATAGCATAGAAATAGTAATAGACACCACTTACAGAGAACTTACTAGTGCTAAGCACTATGTCATCTGATTTAATTCTCACAAAGCGTATATCTTATCATTGATACCCATACTGACTTGAAAAATAATTGTTGAAAAATCAGATGTGCAATGTTAGGTTGCCAGGGCCATGTGATGGGTCTGGTAAATCTAGCCTGTTCCCAGAATTAATAATAATAGCTACTATTTTTTTTAACACCTAATACATATCAGGTATTCTGAATAAATCTCTTCAATCTCACAGCAGTTCTGCAAAATGGGCTGAAAATAGTCATTTTGCAGAGGAGAAAACTTAGGCTTAAAGAGATAAAACAACTTGTCTATCAATAATATTCTACAAGAAGGTCACAGAGCCAGAGCCTGCAGCAGGTTTGCATAATTTAAAGCTTGCGCACTTTCCACAGGCTATAAACATACCAAAATGCATTTTCCTGTTTATGTTTTGTGCCACTATCAGGCGTTTCTGACTATTTGGAGAAAAACAGTGTTAAGGATCACAATATGAAAATGAAGGTTACAAGTTACAGATATATGGAAGGAATCACTTCCACTTTCATAATGGCAGTAATCAGTATTTCTGGTTTTTAGGATTTCTAGATTTCTTCTTAGGCACAATGCAAATCACAGTCCTAATCAAATAATCTGTTCCCCTAGACCAAAAGAAAGAGCAAAACCAAATTTAGGGCTCAATTTTAACAACTGTGTAAGACCTATAACCTGAATATGGACATTCAACATTCCTACTCTAACAAATATTTCCCCTGGTCTTGTATTTTTGTTTTAGTTTTCAATGTCATGACATACTTTTGATCATCTAAGTTACCTTAAATCCTGGGGGATTAATAACTAATAGGGGTTAGATGCTCCCTCTCTCTCTATTAACCACTCTCACACTAACTCTTCAACTGAGCCAGAGTTCTTCAAGGAAAGAAGAGACATAAGGGCCAGAATTTAGAATTCTTTACAGTGTAGCAACCCGGACACAAACCTATGTGAACAATAGTAACCTTCAGGCAGAAATTCTATTTTCTGTTTCAATTCAGGAAAAGGTAAGGCAGATGCAATATAGTTTACTCATCTCTCCTCAGATAGACCTTGTTCTTACCCATTCTTGCATCTGGGACCAAAATAATCCTACTAAAGAATATGAAATCAGCTCTGGAAAACAGCACAGCACATTCAGAGTCCCTATGACCTGGGACCCTCCCCATGTGTCTAAAGGAAACAACAGTAAACTCACCAACATTGAAGAAGGTGCTATTATGATCTCTAGCAACCAAGATAAATCACTTGTATAACCATTTGAGTGACCAAAAAGTAGATATTAGAGTGAAACCAAGGCATAGGATGTTTGGCCTTGAAATCTGCTGTCTAAATAAGAAGGGAAAAGATGGAAGGTATTACCGAGTCTGGCAGTATAAAGACATGTCCTGTCCTCCATTTAGTTCTCCTTTGCTTACTCTGTCCCAGCCACAATGGTCTTCCTTTAGTTACTCAAAAACACCAAGAACTGTCCTGCCCTTCTTTTCTGATGGCCTGGAATGCCCTTTCTTCCATTCCTCTTCAATAGTCAGCTCTTTCCTCCTCACATCCAAGAGAGGCCTTCCCCATCTACTTCGTGTGCATTTCCTTTATGGTACTTACTACAACATACAACTTGCTTTTCGGCAGCTTTTGTGGGCGTCAGGGTGACGGGGGAGGGTTCCCTATTAGAATATAAGCTCCATTAGGGCAAGGATGTGTCTGTCTTGTTCAGCACTTAACACTATGCTGGGAATACAAAGATACTAAGTAATAATAATAATATTTGATGAATAAATGTGGTACTATTATATCAGCCAGAAGCATCCTCTGCATTTCAAAATGACCCTGTGTCCAAAACTGAAAAGTACTAATCAAATCAGCAGAATTAACAAGAATGACACAAATAATCATAATAGCCTTGATATAGTTTGATTGCATGCCCACCCAAATCTCATCTTGAATTATAGTTCCCATAATCCCCACGTGTTGTGGGAGGAACCCGGTGGGAGGTAACTGAATCATGGGGGTGGTTACCCCCATGCTGTGCTCACGACAGTGAGTGAGTTCTCATGAGATCTGATGGTTGTATAAGGGGCTTTTCTCCATTTGCTCTGCACTTCTCCTTCCTGCCTCCCTGTGAAGAAGGTGCATTTCTTCCCCTTCGTCTTTCGCCATGATTGTAAGTTTCCTGAGGCCTTCCCAGCCACGTGGAACTGAGTCAATTAAACCTCTTTTCTTTATAAATTACCCAAGCTCAGGTATTTCTTCATAGCAGCGTGAGAATGGACTAATACAAATTTAAAAGAGCCACTCAGTTATACATTTTTCACAGATTTTCTCTAATCTTCACAACCCTCTAAGGTGAGGATAATGATCCCTGTAACCCAGAAAACAGCGACTCGAAAGGATTAAGAAACATGCTCCAGGCTACATGGTTGGTGGCTGTGGGCAGATTTGGATCTTGAAAGTTCATCTGACTACAAAACCCATGCTGTCATCAATAGGCCACAGGTAATCTGGTAGTTACTATTGTCTATAAAAATCCACCAACATGTCTAGAATAGCCAGAAATGAAGATGGCTACTAAGTTTGTAATGAGTGACAAATCAGCCTTGAGTCTGGGGGGTTCAACATGCCCCAGTGGAACCAAGAGGCTGAGAGAGCCAGTGTCTGCTAGTTGGAAGTGATTCTAGGCATTCATGGCCACCCAAAGCCATCACTGCTATTTAAAACTAGCAAGACATTAAAACAACAACAACAAGAAAAAGCGGGAAATGGAAAAAAAAAAAAAAAGAGTCCAGCAACTCAAAAACATATGTGTTCATGAGAATTATCTCTGACAAGAGTGAAATTCCAGGAAAAACTTCCATTAATGAAGCTGTGATCATATGTCAGATACTACAGGTTAGATATCTTACCACTAAATAATTTAATTTGTATTACTCCTTGCTTAAAGAGGAGGAAAATGAGCTTCAGAGAAGGGAATTATCTTGCCCATGGACACACACCTAGAAGTGACACCAATAGGATTTGTTTGATCTAGCTATTTTGATTTTAAGGCTTATGATTCATCTGCTATATAATGGTATCTCACCCAACCCTCTCTGTGTACACTTATTCGCAAATGTGCTGATGCAGGTGATACCTCCAAAATCAACCAGGATGAAGGGGAATGTACAATTATGAGAATAATAACTTCACAGGGGAAAAAATTACTTTTTAAAGGAATAGTAAAACAAAACCCTAAAACAAACAACATTATTTCTCTTGCAACTTCCCAGTGGCACTCACTCAATAAATAAATGTTGGGCAATTTCTATTGTATTAACAAGGCTGATTTCTAATACTATGTTACCAAGTTAGATTAAATAGTAAAGCAAACAGCTGCCTTTTAAGTAAAGAACAGGCAGCACCTAACACCACTTACTAAATCAATATTAAATGCTTTGCCACTCACAAGTGATGGTGCCAGGAGGTAATGATTTCCTGCTTTTGTAATTGCTGTGCATCTGCATAATCACAGTGCTACCAGGTATAATGATATGCTAGGAACAGCCTTGCACATCACTCGATTGCCTGATAATTTATAATATATTCAGAGACCAAGGAAGCATCCTGTTTGTACAGATACAACATCCTTTTACGTAACATTCAATGAAAGAAAAAAGATATTTAATAAAATGCCAGGATATTTTTAAATGCCAGTGTGTGTATCATAAGAAATATTTATTTGAACATATTACTGTGCTTCAAAAATGACGTCCATGCAATATTTATCACAGATCACACTATCTTCCATGTAGCAATTTAATAAATACTTAAAAAGGAAATGTTAAAATTTCTAAGTGATTAATAAAAATTAAAGGTGCTAAAAATAGCATTTCTTGACCATTCAGCAGGATTTGACCCCACTCAATACTCACTCCCTTTCTTTAAACTCTTTCTTCCCATGGCTTCCCTAAAATAAGATTCCTGTTTCCCCTCTTACCTACCTCTCCTGCTGCTCTTTCTGACCCTTTTGTTAGCAGCTCTTCCTCTACCATTTTAAATGTGGAAGACTTCAAGCACTGCCTCAAGCTTTCTCCTTTCCTCATTCTCTGTTCTTTCCCCAAGCATATCCACAACATCACTATTTCTCATCTATGTGCGTATGACTCCCAAGTTAGTATTTCCAGCTCCATTTGAACCCCAGATCTGTAAGATCCAACTGCAGACTTGGCCTTTTCTCTCGGCTGTTTCAGTATGGATAACTTCCTGATTCCCTTGTCTTCCTATTTTTTCTTTTTTTGAGACAGAGTCTCGCTCTGTTGCCTAGGCTGGAGTGCAATGGCGCGATCTCTGCTCACTGCAACCTCCACCTCCTGGGTTCAAGCTATTCTCTTGCCTCAACCTCCTGAGTAGCTGGGATTACAGCGGTGCCTGCCACCATACTCAGCTAATTTTTGTATTTTTAGTAGAGACAGGGTTTCTCCATGTTGGCCAGGCTGGTCTCAAACTCCTGACCTTAAGTGATCTACCTATCACAGCGCGGCCTCCCAAAGTGTTGGGATTACAGGCGTGAGCCATGGCGCCTGGCCTCTCTTGCCTTTTCCTCACACTTCCCCCAAAATACCTTACTTCATTGGGTGCTTCCTGTCTCACGGAGTGATGCCACCATCTGGCAAGTGAACAAGGAAGAACCTAGGGATGCTTCGCGACACCTCCCCTTTTACTCACCCTCATATCTAGTTTATCCTTATTAACCAATATATTAAGTACTATCTATTTCACCTTTTAAATATCTCTAAAACCCATTCTGGCCTGCCTTTCTGTACTTCAAATCCCTTCTCCAAGCAATGGTCACTTGTCATGCCGTCTGTTACCATAAAAGCTCCCTAACTGGTCTACATATGTCCACCCTAACTTTCCTAACATCTTTCAACACAGTAGCCAAAGTGATCTTATCAAAATGCAAAGCTGGTCATATTATGTCCTTGTTCACCAGAATCCTTAACTAACCTTCTATTATCCTAGCCTTCTATTTATTATTCTTAGGAAGAAGTCAAAAGCCCTTGCTAGGGCCTCCACAATCTTGCTGTACAGCCTGGCTCCTATGCCTTGCCCCAGTCTCATCTCACGCCATGTTCCACCCAAATCCCTGGAACTCACCAACACTGTCCATTTGTTCCTAATCAAAGGGCCTTTGAACTTACTGTATTGTCTACCTAGAAAATGCTTCCCTTCTACTTCTGTCGTTAATTCCAACCCAATATTTAAGTCCTGCTTAAGTGTTACTTCCTGGGAAAAGCCTTTGCTAACTATGCCAAACCCTCCAATTGAGCTCAATTACACAGTACTTATCAGTTTTAATTTCACATTTGCCTATGTCATTATTCAATTATCATCTGTCTCCTACTGTAAGCTATAAGTTCCAAGACAGCTAGGATGCCTGTTTTTGCTCATCATTGTAACCCTAGTGGCTAATACTTAGTCTAGTACACAAAAAATTTTCAGTAAAAACATTTGAATGAATACATCAATGAATGGTAAAGGTGTATCAAAGATGTATAAGGAAAGAACTTACCAAGACACTAGTCCACTGTAGATTAAAGGAAAACTAAAATTGTACTTTACAACTTCTTCAAGAGTCTTCAAAAATAGACTCTAAAGAAAGACATGGAAACAAACGTACATATGAACTGTGTGCTTACCCACTGTCCGTGAAGAGGAACTCCAAATGGGTCATAAAAACTTCCCAGCGGGAGACACTGTAACGTTGTGCCAGAGAAATAGCAATGCTGTAGACGCTTTCCTCTAGAGTTCTGCAGAAATGTCCATCAAGCCCAGGAAGGGAGAGAGGAGAAACACATGACTTCAATCAGCAACGAAAATGCTCATTAGGACTGCTCTCCAGTGAGAGAGGTGCAAGCAGTGTGGTCCTTAATAAGACAGTTCACAGTGATCCAGGAAAAGTACTTCCAAGGAATTGTAATGCTCTTTTTCACTGTGGTGTATTACAATTTACTAAGGACTTGTCTAGACCAGTAGTTCTCAACTGTGGATGATTTTGTTCCCCAGGGGACATTTGACAATGTCTGAAAACATTGTGAGCATAAAAAGTGGGGCAAGGGGCAGATGTACTACACTACTAGCATCTCATGGGTAGAGGCCAGGGATGCTGCTGAGCATCCTGCATAGACAGTCCCACACAGGCATCCCGGGCAGCCCTGCGTGGGCATCTCCCAGTAGGCATCCCGAGCACCCATGTGGGCATCCCCCTGTAGGCACCCCGAGCACCATGTGTAGGCAGTCCCGTGGAGGCATCCCGAACACCCGCAGACATCCCGCATAGGCATCCCAGGAATCCCCAGGTAGGCATCCCCGCATAAACATCCTGAGCACCCCATGTAGGCATCCCCGCATAAACATCCTGAGCACCCCGTGTAGGCATCCCCGCATAAACATCCTGAGCACCCCGTGTAGGCATCCCCGCATAAACATCCTGAGCACCCCGTGTAGGCATCCCCGCATAAACATCCTGAGCACCCCGTGTAGGCATCCCTGCATGGGCATTCTGAGCACCCCATGGAGGTAGCCCGAGCACCGTGCGTAGGCAGCCCCGCATGGGCATCCCGAGCACCCAGCGTGGGCATCCCGAGCATCTGCATAGGCAGCCCCCACAGCCAAGAACTGTCCAGTCAGAACGTCAACAGTGCTGCGGTTGAAAAGATATGAACTAGACTCCAGAGCCTACAATCAAAAGATAGTGCATCCCTGGTCTAGGGGTAGAGATTTGAGAAAGCACAATTAGTCACTTAACAAACTTCTATGTTTTCTACCCTGTGCCAGGTATTGTGCTAGCTCCTTAGGAACTAAAAACAAACAAGCATTTTTCTTGAGGAATTCACAGCCTAGTGGAAGACAGGAAATGTGAACCAGCAATTAAATATAGCGGTGGTAGAGCTAAAAGAGAAGACCATGAAGCTCCACGAGAATGGAAAGTGACCATTGTGAACTGCAAGTAGGAGGATAAACACACACCCAGCAGAGGGTGGGAGGGAGAAGAGCCTTCTGAGAGAATGAGGGCTTCTCAGACATAAGAGAGAAAGCGAAGGTCAAAGTGAGGAACGTACTGGGTCCTCAGGCCTGCTAGGGGACCTGCGTCTCATTCTCCAGGCAATGAAGAGTCCATGAAAAGTTTAAAACAGGGAATGACATCGCCAGATTTGAGAATCTCTAGGCATATAAAGAGTTCCAAGAAAGCAGTCCCGAACACCCACATTATAAGGCCATTTTAGAAAGACTACTGCAGGACTCCTATTTTCCAGAAGAGAAACGTAGGATGGAATTTTTAGTTGGAAGAATGGTGTGGGTGAAAGCACAGAGACAGAAAAGAAATCTCTTACTATTAAGTCACTCTGCTAAGACTGTATTTCCCCAAGCTAAGGAAACCATGCCATTTATATGCTTGCATAGCCAGGGGCTGGCAAACGTTTTCTGGGAAAGGTAATATAGTAAATATTTCAGGCTTTACTGCCAGTCTCTCTGGCATAGTCTTCTTTTTATGGCTTTTGTTTTTGTTTTTGTGTTACTATAAAACCTTAAAACAAATGCTAAAACCATTCTTTGTTCATGGGCTATAAAAGAGACCAAGGCTGGATTGACTTTGTCAACCCATGGATTAGGTCATTGTCAATTAGCAATTCTTATTTTTTATTTATTTTTTATTTTTTGCGACAGGGTCTTTCTCTGCCTTCCAGGCTGGAGTGCAGTACTACAATCAAGGCTCATTGTAGCCTTGACCTCCCAGGCTCAAGCCATCCACCCACCCACCTACCCACCTCAGCCTCCAGAGTAGCTGGGACTTCAGGAAAACACTGCCACACCTAGTTTTTTGTTTGTTTTTGTTTTTGTTTTTTTGGTAGAGACAAGGTCTTGCTATGTTGCCAGGGCTGGTAGTGAACTCCTGGCCTCAAGCATTCCTCTCACCTTGGCCTCCCAAAGTGCTGGGATTACAGGTGTGAGCCACCATATCTGGCCTAGAAATTGTCTCTTGAAGTATTTATTTGAGTACCTACCTCCACATCATGGAATGAGAATTCCTTGAGAACAGGGGACCATTACTAATTCATCCTTTCTATTATGGGGTTATGGCACATTGCCTGGCACAAGACATTTTCAATAAGGACTGATATCTTTATCTCTTGATAAAGGTGGGAAGGACCCAAACTATGTTATACCCTCTTCACAGTTACCCTGCCTGACCCCTGAGAATGTATTCCCTGAGACATACAGATAGTAAAGGACAGGTACAATGCACTTACAGAAAACTAATGCCATGAAAATGGACATGCAGCTGGGCGCGGTGGCTCATGCCTGTAATCCTAGCACTTTGAGAGGCCAAGGCAGGCGGATCACGAGGTCAGGAGATTGAGACCATCCTAGCTAATACGGTGAAACCCTGTCTCTACTGAAAATACAAAAAATTAGCTGGGTATGGTGGCATGCACCTGTAGTCCCAGCTACTCGAGAGGTTGAGGCAGGATAATCACTTCAACCTGGGAGGTGGAGGTTGTGGTGAGCTGAGATCGTGCCACAGCCCTCCAGCCTGGCGCCAGAGCGAGACTCCATCAAAAAGAAAAGAAAAGAAAAAAGAAGAGAGGAGAAGAGAGGAGAGGAGAAGAGGGGAGAGGGGACAGAGGAGAGGGGATAGGGGAGAGAGTAGAGGGGAGAGGGGAGAGAGGAGAGGGGAGAGGGGAGAGAGGAGAGAGAAGAGAAGAGAAAAGGGACATGCAGTGAGAAAGACAAGGAAGAATGGTCACTCTATGTACAAGTGAAGGTGATGCTGCAAACGGAAGGACACAAATCCTTCAAGAATTCTTGTGTGCAAGACATTGACAACCCAGCTCCACAGTAGAAGAGGAAAGCAGCAAGCTGGTGGAAACTCTGAGGCATCTTAAAGAAGCCATTCAAACACTGCTGTATATTTTTCTAAGTAACAGATTGTACAGAAGATTCTATTATATATTTATCAAAAGCATATATTTGTCCTCTAGAACATACTTCAAATAGCATATGCTAGCTGTATGCTTAACAAAGAAAATAAAGGCCAAAAACTCTAGCAAAATGTAACTGATGATATAAGGCACGCCCTGCCTTATGAGTTTTTATTCTGCATGATAATCACCTTCTAAGAAACCGTGAACATGGCACCAAGGATTACCAAACGTCCATAGCAAAAGCATACTGGACTTAAGAAACCCAAGCTCAACTCCTGGCTGTGTGACTTTGAGCAACTCTTTAAAGCTCTCTAGTTCTGATTCCTTTTCTTAAAAGTCAGAAGGTTGGCTTAGGTTACTTTCAAATTGGACACTAAATGACGTTATGAAATTATGAACCTCCAGAAGGACAGAGGAGAAGAGAAAAACAATTCCATATTTCTCTTCTTAATTGAGACCAGCTATAGGTTGTTCCTGCTATTTTTCTTTTGATCTCTCTATGCCATGCCTCGTTCTAAAGATAATTTTGGGTGTAGAAGAAGAATTTGGGGTATAAGAAAGAAGTTCAGGCTAATATAAAATTATTACAAAGAACCAAGATGAGTTTGCCACCTTCTCAAGGATTTAAATGATAATGATAAAAAATAACATACTCCACTATCATAATGAAGATTATCTTTGCTATTTTAAAGTAATTTGTCAGGAGAGAAAAATAACCATTAAATGTACGCACCATTTTACCTTAGTTTCAAAGGCTGGAAGCCTAGAGACTGAATCACATCCACTGCTTTTTTGAGAATGCAATGGGTTGTAGGGGAGGCCTGTGGTGCTGTGGTGAAGATGTGAGGCTTTGGATGGATCCAGGCTAAAATCATAGCTGTGATTCTCACCATCTATGGAACTTAGGCAGTTACTTAATATCCCTAAGCACCATTTTTCTTAACTATAAACTAGGGATAACAACATTTTATCTCACAGGGTTATCCTTGAGGATTAAAAGACATTTATACAAAGTTTATAGAGCACTTTGCACAGTGCCTTGCCCATGATAAGCACTCAATAAATTGTGGTCTTAGAAACAAAACATCTCTACTTAATAACTGTTGTGGGTGAACACATTTTCCCAACTTCTGACATGTAAATACTTCTCATTTGACCTGAACAACTAAAACAAAAAGCAAACACCAGCACTAAAACCAAAGGGAATTCCACATTGAGAAACCAAGGTCTCCGCCTGGGCCTTGAACTGAGCAACCATCTCACAACAGGCCTGCTCTTCCCTTGACAGGGGGAAGGGACTAAAGGAGAAACAGCTGGTTTCTGGTTCTCTAGAAGACCAGGACAGATAAAGTCACCCTGAACAACAAGTCAATTGTATCTAGTTTACCATACTGAAGAAGAAATTAAAGTGCCATGTGCTTTGAAAACTGAGATTTCTAGCCAGACACAAAGGACAATCTTATTTTTAAATTTCCATCCTGAGCTTCCCATTTTTCGCCCCTGATCACATGTTATTACCTCTAACATGGTCATAATCTTAGAACTGGGCTATCAAAACTACAGGAAACTTTAAAAAAAAATAGTAACTTTAAAAAATAAGCTTAAAAAATCATTATTTGATATTTTTGAGACAGGGTCTCGCTCTGTTGCCCAAGCTGGGGTGGAGTGCAGTGGCATGATCTCAGCTCACTGTGGCCTCCACCTTCCGGGTTCAAAGGATTCTCGTGCCTCAGCCTCCCAAGTTGCTGGGATTACAGGCATATGCTACTACACCTGGCTAATTTTTGTATTTTTAGTAGAGATGGGGTTTTGCCATGTTGGCCAGGCTGGTCTCAAACTCCTGGCCTTAAGGGATCTTGAGATCTTGGGCCACCTTGGCCTCCCAAAGTGCTGGGATTACAGGCATGAGCCACCACACCCATCCAAAAATCATTATTTTAACTAATGATTTAAACATCATGGGAAACTTTTTTTAGCTGGGAATGCTGGCTGCATCTACTGATCGGTTTGGAGAAGGCACACATCCCACATAAGACTAGATGAAGTTGGGGAAAGCCCTATTCATAGCAACCATGAATGTAAAACTTCAAAGGACTGAAATTAATAGTCCTGGTAACTGAACTTATTCTTTTGCAGTTTAAATCCATCCCCTTATGAAACAAAGGGTATCACTTACTCTGCCAGACCAAGGATAGTTTCCCTTTTATACTGGTCATCTGCAGTAAACCGCTGCACGTCCACACCCTTCCGAAGGCCCTGAAGGATCTGCGCCTGAGTGAAATCCAGGAGACGTTCATTGTAGCAGTGTAACTGCTTGGTCAGTGAAATAAGGTCTTCAGGCCAGGCTTCGTGCTCATGTCGAGTCACATGCCTGGTGACCATCTTGATTAGTTCTTTGGGATCAGCCTATGAAAGACATGGAAAAGAAGACATTTTACCAACATCATACAAACACGAGCAAGTGAGTAACAAATGGAAGAAGACCATGTCTGCAAGGAACTGTTTGGCCCTGTACACTATTGCCATTTCATAAGGCTCACAACGGCCCTGAAAAGTCAGTTGCAGAAGTGGCACTTTACCCAGTTAGCAGACCACAAAGACAGGACACAGAACTAGGCCCAAAAACAGCTTTTTGAACTCTTGCTCTGTTATTCTTCAACCTCAAAACCTCCGAACACTTAAAAAACAATATATTCTTGCTCTTTCAACTATTATAAACCTCCATCAGATTTGTCTGCCAACCATCTGATCACTCACAGTAACTCACTCTAGAAGTAATTTTCATCGCCATTGCCTCTGGATAAATTTTCTGTGGACTACAGTAAGTGTTCTCAATAACAAAGGTGCAGTTCAATAACCTCACTATAAATGGCTAGACCCCTGAGGAGAAAAGTATTTTCTCCAGGGATAAGTTCGGGAAAAAACCTCTACCCTGTTCCTGAAATCATAAATAGTGCAAGTTGCATAAAAAAAGGCATCCAACCAATTTTTACTCCTCTAATTTGGGGCTCAATGGGATATTATTCTACGATTCTTAGCAGCTTCTCTAATAACAAGAAACTCATTCAAATAGAACACAACCTAGAATCCAACAGCTGACAGGAAAGGAGAGTAAGTGATTAACTAGCCACATTTATTTATATTAAAGTTGGTCTGGGTGTTAATGAAGTTACAGAGCTGAGCCATGATTTTGGAATTACTAATAGGGAGTTTAATACTTGAACAGCATTAATTCAATCCATCCCAATTCCTGGGAAGACATGCTACATATTTAATATAAGCAAATTAGAGAAAAAAAAAAGAATCTACCTTTGGTTCTCAGAAACACACAGCTAATTATAGTAAGCTGTCAGCATTTCTAATGTGTAAGCCATTATTCTGATCTGCACAGGAGATTTGTCAATGTCGAGTCTAGATTACCAAACCCAGCCTGACATTCTCTCTCTTGATCCTATTAAGGAACAATCTGGGAGTGCTGATAAAAAACAGTTAAAGGTATCTTCTTAGATTCTGGCATGTGGATTTGAGTAAAAGTCAATCTTACTATATTTATTTTTTTCCCTACCTCTATGCATACACTGAGTCCTACTCTCAAAACCACAAATATGTGTCTCAAGTTAAAAGACCTGGGTTTGAATACGAACTATTCCATAGTAAGCTACAAGGCCATCTTTCATTCCTTCAATAAATTTCTTGTGCACCTGTTATGTAACAAGTCATTCACTAAGAGGACACGGCCCTTCCCTACAGGAATACAGTCTATTAGGACAGACAGTCATGCAAACAACTGTAAAATGGTGTGACACAAGTAAGCCTAGGGTGCTCTGGGAATACACAGGAGTGGGCAGGTGTTATCGAAGTCTTCTTCAAAGAGTTAATGTCTAGGTTAAATACTCAGGTACCATACCAGTAATAACGAGGGCAGCAAAAAACAGGGAGACAAATTCCAGTAAAAGGTAGAAAATGTGCTAACACCTATATGGCTAAGGCTTGAGGGAAAAATGAAGTGTATAAGCCAAATCTAACTGCAATTAGAGAGTGATTTGGGAACCAGCTGCATATAAACAGTATTCCTGGCGACAGATTTAGGCAAAGGGGATGCCGTGCCCCAGCTCTTAGTGCATCTATGGCTGACATTTAACTAAATCCCTTTTCTATCTGTTGGCCAAACCCCTCAGGGCACCATCCTGAACCTCCAGCACGTGCACAGCCACCTCTGCAGTTCCCTGACCCAGGGATGCTGCTCATGGGCCAGCTGGCCCATCTTCACCTGCTCAGCACTCTGGTGTGCACTGCCGTGGCCTGCTGCTCTTATGCCTCATCTGATTTGCACTTTTCTTCCCAGTTGTAAAGACAGCAAGACCAAATATCCAATGATCATGGTTTTAGGGTGGCAGGAGAGCTCTTTTCAGTTGTTCCTTGAAGGAGTTCCTAGTGCCCCAGATTTACACCCCACAACCAAATCTATGTTCACCAAAACAATGAAGAAGGCTTTTCTTCATGTATATTCTCACCTGGTGCTTTCAGACTGAAGTTTTCAGCCTGAACTTGCTGAATATACCTTGAAGGAAAGGCTATAACCATCTAACCTATCTCTGCGTATAACTCCATGTCCCTCTCTTTACCAGGCTATTGTTTCTATCCCCTACTCATAGAACCAGCTACCTTAGTTCTCCCAATGGTTTCTCATAGTTTTCTTCCACATTCATTTTTGACTTTTTATTATCTCCAAGATTTAATACATGTACTGGCAGAGTGGCCTACACTTCTCATTAGCCTCAATGGTAGAACCCCTGCTGATTTCTATTCTTTTTGTATTCTAATATAGTCTATGAAACAAATCCCAAGGCTAGGTGAAGAGAAAAGCTCCAAAATATAAGTGTATAGCAAGAATGAGCATGGTTATTGCTACAAACATTTCCACAGGCTCTTATGTAATCTGCAGAAAGTTTTGAGTCTCCACATACAATCTTCGCATGTGACAAAAAGACAGTAGTGTCTCCTTTTGCCAATGAATAAAATGACACAGCACAGTGAAATAAGCACAGACACACAGAGCTTACTAGCTGAATGACCTTGTGCAAATTACTTAACTATGAACTTCATTGTCTCATCTACAAAATAGCAGTGATAATATATAGCGTTCATGGTTGTGAGAAGCCTAAGAGACAATATATATAAAATATACAAACCAAGACCTGGTAGGAAGCAGGTGTTCCAAAAATAAAAGGAATTATGGAATTGGCTAAAAGCCATATACAAATCATAGTTTAAGTGTGCCTCTACTGTATAATTCATTTTGCATTGCCTTCTCTTAAATTAAAACTTCTGGAGGGCAGAGATCATGTGTATATCATAATTTGCAGAACACAGCACAGTCTCTTGCACAAATCAGGTACATGGTCAAAGGGGGAGCAGATTGGACTGGCTTTGAAGTCTGTAGTACTGGTTGATATTGCAGCTTCCCCACTCAGTAGAGATGCAGTCTGAAACAAGATACCTCCTATCTATTTCCTCACTTATAAAAGAATGTCAATAGCACATCCTCCTCACAGTTTGTTATGAGGTACCAAAAAAAAAAAAAGGTATTTTAAAGCTCTCCTTTCTCCATTATTCTATGAAAACAAATTGGACACAGAGCTTACTCTAAAAGAATTAAAAACTACTGATTGACAAGGATGTACACATAAACAATTCACAGAAGGCATCCAAATATAAGCAGACTTACACAATCATAAGCCAAGAGTTTTGGGAACTCCATGGAAGGAGCAGTTGATTCCCTTTCTTGATTCCACTGGGTCTCAGTTTCTTCAGATATAAAGCAAAGGAGCATCACCAGGTGATCACCTTTCTAAGACTGAAATCCTACAGATGTATAAGAATTTTATCATTAAGAGGCTGGGCATGGTGGCTCACACCTGTAAACCCAACACTTTGGGAGGCAGAGGCAGGTGGACCCCTTGAGGTCAGGAGTTGAAGACCAACCTGGCCAACATGGAGAAACCCCGTTTCTACTAAAAGTACCAAAAAAATTAGCCGGGTGTGGTGGCACTCACCTGTAGTCCCAGCGTAGGAGAATCACTTTAACCTAGGAGGTGGAGGTTGCAGTGAGCTGAGATTGTGCTACTGCACTCCAGCCTGGGTGACAGCATGAGACTCTGTCTCAAAAAAAACAAAACAAAACAAAAAAAAAAACTTTGCAAATCCCTCCAGGTGTAGAAAGAAGGATGTTCTACGAGGCTGGAGGCTCAATTGAGGCCAGAAGTTTAAGACCAGCCTGGGCAACATAGTGAGACCCTGTCTCCACAAAAAAATTAAGAAAATGAAACTTAGCCTGCCATAATGGTGCATGCCTGTAGTCCTACCTACTAGGGAGGCTGAAGCACAAGGATCACTTGAGCTCAGGAGTTCAAGCTGCAGTGAGCTATGATCACACCACTGTTCTCCAGCCTGTGGGACAGAATGAGATCCTGATCTCAAAAATAAATAAATAAATAAACAAACAAATAAATTAGAATTTCAGGCCACAAATTATAGCCATCAGATTTCTACACAGTTTATACAACTTTAACCTCTTCTCACTTACTACATACAAATTATCTATTCCTCTGTGAATCATTTTTATTTCATATTCTTTGTAGGAGAAACTTATTCACTTTTCCCAACAGATATTTAAGAATAAAAACCTAGTATTTCAGTCTTCAGGATGGAACACGCCTACTGCTAAAACATGTACTGAGTCTCATTTTGCATTAACAACTCTGTAGGACAGGCATCTCTTACTGTCATCTCTGTTTTACGGATGAATAAAGAATGAACTTAGATCTAAGGCCTTTAAGCTGGTAAGTGACAAAGCAGTGCTATGACTCCCATGCATAATGCTTCCTAAGAACCATCCTTTTATATTCGGTATGTAGGGAGGGATATCTCTTAAAAATACAAGGCTCTTGATTGGACCAATGTAGACACAGCTCCCACTACATGTAAGACTTGCTGTTATAACTTGGCTTTGTGTCCCCACCCAAATCTCATCTCGAATTGTAATCCCCATGTGCTGAAAAAGGCCCTGGTGGGAGGTAACTGAATCATGGGGGCAGACTTCCCCCCTTGCTGTTCTCGTGATGGAGTTCTCATGACATCTGGTTGTTTAAAAGTGTGTGGCACTTCCCACCTTGCTCTCTTTCTCCTGCTCCACCATGGTAAGATGTGCTGGCTTCCCCATCGCCTTCTGCCATGATTGCCAAGTTTTCTGAGGCCTCCCAGCCATGCTTCCTGTTAAGCCTGTGGAGCTATGAGTCAATTAAACCTCTTTTCTTCATAAATTACCCAGTCTCAGTTAGTTCTTTATAGCAGTGTGCGAGTGAACTAATACACTTGCCATTAGAGTCCTTTTACAAATGACAGATTTTCAATGATAGATTTAATGCTGTCATTCCGTATTGTTCCAGGTAGACATTTTTCCATATATTCCTCCTCTCATGCCATATATATGTGCTTGTGTCTGTGTGTGTGTGTCTGTGTGTGTGTGTAAATATAAACACCCATTAGGTTTTCAACTGGATATTCTATTTGAGCCGCTTGCTTTTTCTTCTCTAATGATAACGGTGTTTTAGAATCACAAGCAACAATACCATTTTCTGTTAAACTCCCTGAAATAAATATACTTCCTTTTAAAATTCTGTCTTAATAAAGTGGTGAGGCTGGGCACGGATGCTTGTGCCTGTATGTAATCCCAGCACTTTGGGAGGCCAAGGTGGGAGGACTGCTTGAGCCCAGGGGTTTGGGACCAGCCTGAGTGACATAGTGAGACCCCATCTCTACGAGAAATAAGTAAGAAGGTGGTGGTTAGGGAAATTCTATTAATTTTTTGATAACAGGTTGTAAGTATATACAAGTTTATAGCTCATCAAATATTTGTGTATAAAAAAATTTTCAGTACTTCAATTTATTGTATAAAACATGATACTGAGAAGAACTTACAAAAATGAGAGGAGACAATTTCTCACAAAAGCTTCTAAGAAAAAATTACTTACAGGGGAAAAACACAGGAGTTGGCATCAATGACCTGGATTACTAGTTTTTCCCTCTGAGCTGTAAATTTTCCATTTCTAAAACTGAAGCAATTTCTTCTGAATCCCCATAAAGACTAAATGAAACTGGATGAATGAGCATTTGTAAGTTCTAGCTCCCTATGCAAATTATTTTCTGATCATTGCCACTGGTACTTTCTATCTCTTCCTCAAGAAATTTTACTGGTTATGATTACTTCCGATATTCAAATTAAATTTGAGTAAAAATTCTTCCCCTGAGCTTATCACTACTTCTCCCAAAATATTCCAAAGCATCTCCTACTCATTCCAACACTGCATTTCATACGTTCATTTATTCACTGCACAAGTACACAACAATTAAAGTTTCGAAAGCATTTTCACGTGATTTTCATTTGACCCTCCTATCAAGCTGGGGATGTGCACGGGAAACACTGTTTCTTGTTTTAGAGACACGCCCATTTGTAGTTGAAGCATCCGGAGCTGTAGTCTTGCAGCTGGAGAGTGACTCAAGCCACCTGGCTTCCCACCCGCTTGCCCCACACTGCTGAGCAAGTCTCCATGAGTTGCTCTACATCCAGCTTCACACCCAGAATCACTCGGAAGTCTTGGTGTTCAGAGTACACTCAGACTTCCCTCCCTCTTTCCAGCATCTGACTTCAGTGACATGACGCATGGGTATGAAAGCTTTTAGCCTCTAGGAAGCTTATGAAGAGCTCTCTGGGCAGCTTCAAAATCTTCCATATTCAGTATTCAAAGTGATATGGCAAAATAGCACAGGCTGCAAAAACTAACAGCATAAAAAGCCATTCATAATTTAAAAAGGAAATTGTGAAGAGTTAAATTACTTGATTTTCCCCTCAAAACTTGGCAATGCAGTTCTTCAGGGAGGTGAATAAAGTATGATTTCTTTAAAGAATATGGTCAAATCCCCGTAAAAACAAAATGTGCATAAATATTCATGACAACAAAATGCTCAATGACTTAATCTACTGCTTACTACTAGAGGTAATAAATCTATTCTGGTTTAATAGTCTCTACATTTCTTGGTAATATTATTTCGAAAGTTTTAAACAGGTGGTGTGTTTCCCCTTTAGGGTTGTTATTTTGCTTGAGATAATTTTCTACTTAGTATTTTCAATTAGTAGCTTAAAAAAACGCATTTTAGAAATAGTCTACCATAAAATTCTGAATGTCATCCCCCGCTGAGTTTGCTTCCCTAGTCTATAAAACTAAAGGACGTTTCCATTTTTAACCGATTTTACCTTCTGAACACTTTTTTAAAAGAATGCTGCAAAGATCACACTTCAAAATACATTTACAACAATTACAAAGGTAAGATATGAGGGAAAAAAAATCAAGATACAGAACAATGTGCACAGCCTACTTACATCTGTCTAAAAAATAGTTATATAAGTATGTACAGCCATCAACTATCTCTGGATGGATACAAATGGGAAACACTGACTTATTATTATATACTATTTTCAACACTTGAGTTTTGGGGTCACATGTGTATTTTTTAAAAACGTAAAAATGAGTTAATTAGAACAAATACTAGAAGAGAAAATTCTCTCAGACTGACCATTTGCTAACCATCAATGCATAAAATTAAAAGGAAAAATGCAGGCGAGGGAGGCAGCTCCATGGATCATCTGAGAGAGCTGCTGGGCTCCAGGGGGCCTCTGCTGGCTCAGGACGATGCTGCCCTTCAAGATGCACAGGCTGTGCATGAGAAATAAGCCCACAAATTCTATCAATACTTTTATCCAAGGCTAGTAATCTACCTAAGTTAGCATTCCTGCAGCGCATATCCAGGAGGTGGAAAGAGAAAATGTGAAAAGACTGTGGAATTAGAAACAAGTTGAACTGACAACTGAGTGAAAGCTAAGCTTCACTGGGTGTTATTATGTGCAGGCAACAAATTGAAACCACTTTGATTTCAATTTCCAAGATGATTCATCTGGAGTTTGTCATATTTAATTCCAAACTCAGCAGTGCTGTTTTATGCAGAGGAAGATGCTGAAAACACTCAAATAATGAGCCATTAGGCAGTCAATGAAAAACTCCTATATACTTAAAACATCCAACATCCAACTATCATGTCTACCAGTGTTTCCTTCAAATCCATGAGGGTCAGAACTCACAACTGCAAACCTGAAGCCTCAAGCTGTCCTGACATGCAGCACTTGACATGACTCCTGAACTCATCTACATACCATCAACAGTCACTGAACAACTACAGTGGGCTAGGTCTGGTGATACAGGAAGCAAGAGAATTCCTGTCTTCAAATAAGGTTGCCACACTGAGCGGAGAGAGATGTGTATCGACTGTCATCCTAAAATAACTGCTTCCATGGGTGCACACACAAGGAACAGACAGAGATGGAAGGAGGCCAAGTAAGTTTCAGAGGAGGCGCCTCTGAGCTCAGACTTGCCTGCCCACAGCGGGGAGAAGGAAGAAGTATTTCAGATGGGGAACTGGATCTGCATGTGCACAGAGGCACAACAAAGGATGTTAAATTCAGAGAAATCTAAGTTCTGAGCAGCCAGAACATAAGCTTCAAAAGAAGCAGTGTCAGGAAGCACGGCTGGAGGGGTAAGGAAGAGCCAGCCAGTTCACTGAGGGTCTTATCTGTCATATGCAGGATGTTACCTGGTAGACATGGAGTGGCACATGAAAATATCCTGCTGGGAATTACCCGTTAAGTTTGCATGCCACCAAGATCACTCATGTCTGAAAAAGACTGACACTGCTTCTCTGGAAACAAAGCTTGAGCGGTCGCTGTCCAAGTAAAAAGCAGGTAAAGCCTGGAATCAGGGGCTTTACATGACAGGATGTTACTTTTTACCAGAGTAACCTTGAGGAAGTAACCACACTTCTGAGTTGTATCTTCTATAAAGAAGATTCCTTTTCTGAGAAATGAGGTTGCTCAAAGGATCAAACAGCAGAATGAACGTGAAAGGTACTTTAAGACAGCTGTTTAGAAAAATCCCACACCGTGTTCTGCTCTGCTCTCACACCACAACAATCACCAACACAGAAGATGTCTGTGACCAAAAATGGGGGAAGAGTTTCTCCCCACCAAGTGAGCAATCAGTTTGGGAGCAGACAGGAACTGGTGTCCTCCAATTCAATTCCTGGAGACAGCGCCAGATCTGATGTCCAAGAACAGAACACATCCAGCTCAGAAGAAAGATGAAAGCCAGAAGGCTCAGCAAGGCAGCTTATCCCACCTTCTTCCAGTAAGATGAAAAGTATTTACGTTCAAAACAATAGAATACATGCGCTCTGACAGAGGTAAGTACAGGGGAGTACAAAAGCACATGGGGGAGGACCCAATCCAGCTTGGAGGACTGGAGAAAGGTTCCTGAGTGAGGTAACACCTGAACCAAGTAGCTAAGCAAAGAAATGGTAGCAAAAAGCATTAAAGGCAGAGTTTTTGGTATGGCTGCAGCATGGAAGGATGAAGTTGGAAAAACAGAGGCCAATCATGGGATGTGCAGAGCATGCTGGGGCAACGGGAGATCCTGAAGGATTTTGGGTGGAGAGGAGGATGTCTACACCTCCATTTTAGAATGACTACTCTGGCAGTTGTTTGGGGGAAAATACAGAAGTAAATAAATGAAGACAAGGTGATGTTCACGAGGCTGTCGCAGGACGTTTAGGTGAAGAACTATGAAAGACTGAATTAAGGTGAGAACACAGGGTGGAGAGATGGAAACAAATGGAGAGGTGGTAACTCTCACCCACTCACTGGTGATGTATCTGTCTGTCTGGAAGACATTCAAAAAGGCTTTGCATCTTGATAGGAAAAACATCCTGGATTCTCTCTAACTCTTCACTTCTACTTTTAGACCTACAATCGGATGCTTTCCAGAAGTTGCCAAGAAGTCCCTGGAGAACTAGCTGACTCATGCCCATGTGCTATCTCAGGCTACCAGAGAGCACCTCTTTCCATCTGGAGCAGCTGAAAGGTTAGAAATCCGGTGTTCAGGCATCATCACTGGGCCCCATGTACTGTACTGGCTTCTGTTCCCACAGGATTAATGCTGCTTCCTCAAGCAATGACTCTGAACAGCGGCTACCCTATGTTGTTGCACCCAGAAAGGGAATGGTGGTGGGTGGCTGGAACTATGCCACAGGGTGGGTGGGTAGTGTGACAACCAGGAATTAGAGAACAAGAGATAGCATGAGGGCAGGAGAGCTCCAAGGAACACTTTCAAAGGAAGAGACAATTTGATAGATGTGATGGTTAATATTAAGTATCAACTTGATTGGATTGAGGAATGCAAAGTATTGTTCCTGGGTGTGTCTGTGAGGGTGTTGCCAAAGAAGGTTAACATTTGAGTCAGTGGACTGGGAGAGGCAGACCCACCCTCAATGTGGGTGAGCACTGTCTAATCAGCTGCCAGTGTGCCTAGAATAAAGCAGGCAGAAGAAGGTGGGAGAAGCCAACTGGCCAAGTCTTCCAGCCTTCATCTTTCTCCCATGCTGGATGCTTCCTGCCCTTGAACATCAGACTCCAAGTTCTTCAGCTTTTGGACTCTTGGGCTTACACCAGTGGTTTGTTAGTGGCTCTTGGGCTTTCAGCTGCAGACTGGAGACTGCACTGTCGGCTTCCCTTCTTTTGAGGTTTTGGGACTTGGACTGGCTTCCTTGCTCCTCAGCTTGCAGATTGCCTATTGTGGGAATTCATCATTGTGGGTAGTGTGAGTCAATACTGCTTAATAAACTCTCCTTCATATATACATATATCCTATTCCTTCTGCCGCTCTAGAAAACCCTGACTAATACAATAGGAAAACAGTGATAGAAATAAGAACGACAGTTAATGGGCAGAGATGGTGGGTTGATAGAAGCTGGATGGAAGAAACAGAAATCGGGGTAAGAGGGAGAAAGGAATAAAAACCCAGATGTATTCTTTATACCACAATGTCAAGCTCTATGTCCTTTAGAGTAGGTACTCTAACGCTGAATTGATAAAAGGGTACACAAAATATAAGACCTGGAAATAAAACACACTTTCCACCAAGTGGAAAGAACTGTAGGAACACAGAAGCAGAAACCAAGATAAACACACCTACTTCGAACCCTTATCCTTCAGTATTTTGCTTTATTTCTTGGCAAGCTTTAGCTGTGGACACCCCAAATAGGGTTTCCTGCAGAGTGACTGTGGTGTGTGAATTTGGAAAGAGTGGTGGCCAGATACAAAAGGTGGGATGGAATGTAATGGTTTTCTCCTGACTTATCTGAGTCACAAACAGTACATGCATTAGGACTTTTCATTTTGGTACAAAGTAATTTACTATCAGGGAAAACAAGAAAGATATAAGTTGTACTACAATTTTCCTCCAAGAGAACTACTTTAATTAAAGAAATGAAACTGAAGATTATAGGCCAAAATGTGGCTGTGGAGCCAGCTTTTCAGCTTTCTTAAAAGCTGTAACTTGTTGTCTGTCCAACATCCATCTTCAGTTCTCTACTTTGCTGCCAGTCTAATCCACATTTACTTAACTGTCTCATATGGATTTAGAGCAAGCAGCAAGGTCTTGAGGTCCAGCATCATGCCATAGTCATCTTCCAACACCAAGGCTCAGAAGCAGGGTGTGGCACATGAGGGATGCTTAACGACTGACAGCTGACTGATGGAGTGGCTGATATGGTTAGGTTTGTGTCCCCACCCAAACCTCATCTTGAATTATAATCCCTATAATCCCCATGTGTCAAGGGAAAGACCAGATGAAGATAACTGAATCATGAGGGTGGTTTCCCCCATGCCGTTCTGGTGGTAATGAGTGAGTTCTCACAACATCTGATAGTTTTATAAAGGGGCTTTTCCTGCTTTGCTCAGCACTTCTTCCTGCTGCCTTGGGAAGAAAGTGCCTTTCTTCCCCTTTGCCTTCTGTCATGATTGAAAGTTTCCTGAGGCCTCCCCAGCCATGCTGAACTGTGAGTCAATTAAAACTCTTTCAAGTCTCAGGTAGTTCTTTACAGCAGTATAAAAACAGACTAAAACAGTAAATTAATACTGCAGAAAGTGGGGTACTGCTATAAAGATACCCGAAAATGTGAAAGCAACTTTGGAACTAGGCCATGGGCAGAGGCTGGAACAGTTTGGAGGGCTCAGAAGAAGACAGAAAGATGTGGAAGGGTTTAGAAGTTCCTAGAGACTTGTTGAATGACTTTGACCAAAATGCTGATAGTGATACGGACAATGAAGTCCAGGTTGAGGTAGTCTCAGACGGAGATGAGGAACTTGTTGGGGACAAAGACGACTCTTGCTATTCTTTAGCAAAGAGACTGCTGGCATTTTGCCCCTGCCCTAGAGACCTGTAGAACTTTGCTTGAGAGAGATGATTTAGGGTTTCTGGTGGGAGAAATTTCTAAAAAGCAAATCATTCAAAAGGTGACTTGGATGCTCTTAAAAGCAATCAGTTTTATGCATTCACAAAAAGAGATGGTTTGGAATTGGAACTCATGTTTAAAAGGGAAGCAGAGCACAGTTAGTTCTAGGAAGTAACTAACTTGCTTTTGATTTTACAGGCTCATAGGCAGGAGGGACTTGCCTTGTCTCAGATAAGCCTTTGGACTTGGACTTTTGGGTTAGTGCTAGAACAAATTAAGATTCTGGGGAACTGTTGGGAAAGCATGACTGGTTTTGAAATGTGAAAGGGATATGAGATTTGGGAGAGGCCAGAGGCAGAATGATATGATTACGCTCTGTGTCCCCACTCAAATCTCATCTTGAATTATAACCCCCATAATCCCCAAGTGTCAAGGGAGAGGCCAGGTGGAGGTAACTGGATCATGGGGGTGGTTTCCCCCAAGCTGTTCTCATGAGATCTGATGGTTTTATAAGGGGCTCTTCCCGCTTTGCTTGGCATTTCTCTTTCCTGCCATTTTGTGAAGAAAGTGCCTTGGTTCCTGCTCACCTTCCTCCATGATTGTAAGTTTTGTGAGGCCTCCCCAGCCATGCTCCATGCTGAACTGTGAGTCAATTAAATCTCTTTCTTTATAAATTACTCAGTCTCGAGCAGTTTTTTTTTTTTTTTTTTTTTAGATGGAATTTCACTCTTGTTGCCCAGGCGGAGTGCAACGGCGCGATCTCAGCTCACTGCAACCTCCGCCTCCCAGATTCAAGCGATTCGCCTGCCTCAGCCTCCCCAGTAGTTGGGATTACAGGTGCCCGCCACCATGCCCAGCTAATTTTTATATTTTTAGTAGAGGCGGGGTTTCACCATGTTGGCTGGTCTCGAACTCCTGACCTCAAGTGATCCACCTGCCTCGGTCTCCCAAAGTGTTGTGATTACAGGCATGAGCCACTGCACCTGGCCTGGGAAGTTCTTTATGGCAGTATGAAAATGGACAAATATAGTGGCCTTCCAATCTTATGTATTCAGGAAAGGTACAGCATGGGGTAGGCAAACAGTAGGACCTTAATAAAGATGATATAGTTGGAATGGAAGAGTGAGATCTAATTTCAGCACCAGCAACCCAGTTCAATGACATCCACTTAGAGACCTCAGTAAAATATATTTTGAGAACTCAACTGACCTTTAGGGGGAAAAAATTCAAGTTTACAATAAGGTACTATGCATTTGGTCAAAGTAAAGCTTCACTGTGTTTCAATGTACTTAGAGTTTTAGAGGAAATTATTTGGCACTTGTGTACACACATAGCACTAATGAAAAGGTAAGAGTAAAATACATTTGCCAAATTTCCACTTAATCACTTCAGTCCCTTAATTTATAATACATATTAATGCATGTTTCTTATTTCACATTAAGCCATACCTGAGATATAAAAAAACAAAATTACTAGAGTATAATAAAGTTATATAAAATAAGTATCTGTATAAAGCAGCAGTAGCTACCAAAGAACAAAAAACACCATTCCCAAAACAAAGTAACACCTTAGGCAAACTGGTTAAAAGAATAAAGCATTCCTGTTTCTTGTCCAAATGCTGACATGAGAATAAAATATGCCCAAAACCAATATACACCCAATAGTGATGGTGTCCTGGGAGAGTCATGTGTTATGGATGGTCTTTCCACGTGTCTTCTTGTAAATAAACACTGATGAATGAAAGCCTATCTACCACCACAAATGGAAGGTTTTCACATCATCCTAGTTCTTAGATATGATTTGGAAGGTTGAGGCAGCTAGAACTTTGACAGACACATGAAATTATTTCCTTACATAAAATATAAGACCTGGAAATAAAATATGCTTTCTACCATGTGGAAGAACTATAAGAACATAGAAGAAATCAAGATAAATGCATATTTACTTTTAACCCTTATCTTTCAGTATTCTGCTTTATTTCTTTGCCAGTTTTAATTGTGGAAATCTTTTTTTTTTTTTTTTGCACTTCATATTAGGATGAACTTTATTATTACATTGTTGTACAATTCATTGGTAAACTTAAAAAAATACAAATACATGATTTGACTGTTGTCCCAGAAAAGAATTTTGTCACATTGCCAGCTGTTTCCTCAGCATCTCCTGCTCCTCTCAGCAATTCTGTATGTAACTGCAATAGTTTGTGTGACTTGAGAAAGATGTGCCAAGGGCGTCCTCACAGTGAGAAGGGACCAGGCAGAAATCCTGGGGCCCTCAGCCTCCTTCTGCCTCCCCTCCCGGGGGATGTGATGACAGGACCCCGAAGCTATGGCTGTGACAGGTGGGGATCTAAAGGGGACAGTCCCATGAAAGACACATGGGCACACCAGCTCACTGGGAGCTTTTGCTTCCCAAACAAGATGTGGGCAGCATGACTCCAGCCTCCGGAACCCAACAATGTATCTTTAATTGTGGAAATCTAAAACGGGCTTTCCTATAGAGTGACTGCATTATCTGAGTTTGGAAAGAGTGATGGCGAGATATGAAAGGTGGGATAGAATTGAACAATTTTCTCCTAACTTAACCCAGTCACAGACAGTACATGCTTTGGGACTTTTCATTTTGGTATAAAGTAATTTACTCAGGGAAAACAGGAAAAATTTAAGTTGTATTAGAATTTGTTTGGGGTTGGGAAAGGAAGAATCCTGCCTCAATAAAATCTGGACCTTGGATTTATGTACACAGTGGATTTTAAAGTCTAATCAATTTAATTATCTACTCTTAAAATGATCCAATACAAAAATCAGATAATTTCACAATGCCAATAATTAAAACTGGTCTGTCTATACAAGTACTTGGAAGGATTTTTCAGCGGCATCTGTAATACTCTTGTGTCCACAAAAGAAGGCACATGTAACTTGAGGCCATGTTTACCTGCTTTCACTTGGAAATTAACAATAAAGTTACATAAAAGCTGTCTGAGGTTTTTGGCAAGTATGAATAATATGTTTCAACATTCTGTCCGTACAACTGACTACTCTCATACCTCTGGCTTAAAAAAAAAAATAAAAGTGCAGTATTGCTCAAAGAATTATGTTGCCTACTTTCCTAAGTTAGGCAAAGTCATCTTCCTTTTAGAAAGTAAGTTAAAAAAACAATTCTCCATTTTGCCTTTCCTACTACTTTAGCCATTCCTAAGAACTTAGTAAAATTAAGTAAATGAGTAAATTAAGTAAAAGTTAGAGGGAGGAAACAGTATTCACAATAAATATTAAACTCTACTTACTGATACCTGGAGAAGCAACTTTGTCGAATACAGGAAAGCCAAGAGCTGCCTGCCACTTGGAATACATTCTGGATACATATGTAATCAGTTCCTCCAAAAATTAAACACGTGTTTTGAGTATTTTAGAAAAGGCTTAACTCTGCTCAATAATAAGCTGGAAATCATGAAGACTCACCCTGTAAAGAGGATGGCACTTGTCCCTGAAACATGGGGCCAATCGGGCATAGATCTGGAGGCTATAGTAATACGCTGCCAGCTGGAGAGATAATGCAGAGGGGGACTGCTTTTCAAAGCACCGGTTAGCATCTAACACCTAGGAGGGAACATGTTAGAATTAACTCAGCTGAAAGGAAATTATGAAGATCATTATAAACCATTATATTTCTAGTCATTCCTGCAGATTTTTTGTACAAAGTTCCCATTACATCAACTCAAGCTCAAGATCAACTTAATAATGACTATATTAAAAATCACAAGGCACTATAAAACAAATCCTATGCAGTAAAAGTAGATGTAAAGATCGACATTTAAGCTAACTGTAGAATTGACTCTCTAGATACTGACCAGGATCCTTTCAGCACCTAAGAAATAAGAGGAGGAAACCCTTTATTTCCTTCTCCTGCCTAATTGCCCTGGCCAGAACTTCCAACACTATGTTGAATAGGAGTGGTGAGAGAGGGCATCCCTGTCTTGCACCAGTTTTCAAAGGGAATGCTTCCAGTTTTTGCCCATTCAGTGTGATATTGGCTGTGGGTTTGTCATAGATAGCTCTTATTATTTTGAGATACGTCTCATCAATACCTAATTTATTGAGAGTTTTTAGCATGAAGGGTTGTTGAATTTTGTCAAAGATAGCATTGGGAGATATACCTAATGCTAGATGACGAGTTAGTGGGTGCAGCGCACCAGCATGGCACATGTATACATATGTAACTAACCTGCACATTGTGCACATGTACCCTAAAACTTAAAGTATAATAATAAATACATAAATAAATAAATAAATAAATAAAAGAAAAAAAAGAAACAGGAGGAAATGGCATGCAATAAACAATTTTACCGATGAAAATTCACAGCATACATTTTCCATTTAGTCATTTTAAATTCTTCATTGGTAAGGGCAAACTTACTTGTGGTAAGGCAAGAAGGTAAGCAAGAGCCAAGGTCATGTCATTTGGCAAGGCTTCACTTGCTAGTTGCAAGAGAACTGAATGCAGAAAAAGAAACATTATTTTACTGAGGTTGCATATGATATTCATAGTTATTAAATGCCATGTTTTCAGCCCCATAAGATTTCAACAAATAATTAGTGGCAGAGACCTTTTAGGAAAGGCTGTTCAGCACCATCTAAAAACAGATCATATGGAACTGTGTTAAATAGTAACCTTGCCTTAATTCAGAAAAAGTATACTATTGGTTACTTACACATGAGGAAATTCTGTCAGGGCAGCTGCAAAGGTTAAGTGCAAAGACATGAGAGAGGCTGGTTTCCTAGAGCTGGGTATTTTGGTTTTAAAGATGCAGACCATGCTGCAAAATTGTGTATCAATGTTAGCTAATATGGAGGGTGATAATATGAGTACTAAAGATCAGAGCAATAAAATAGCTTTAGGAGTGCAAATTTAGAGTAAATCTTTTGATTACTACAATGATGATAATATGATTTTGTTCCTTCCAATAACACCCCTCCTCATCACGCTCCACAAAAAGAAAATCAGTCTTTCATTTTGCTTGTATGTCTTAAAATATCCCAACCATTAAAAACTTGTCTTTTTCACATAAATTTTTACACAAACCACAACTTGCCAATGTCATAGCTTTAACATAAGAGTATGCATTGTCAATACGGTCTGTGTTTGTACACAGCTTGTTTCAATAAGGATGTATCCTATTCATTTAGCATCTCAGTAGCAAATACTAAGTAGTCATATGTAATCACAATATGAATCCTTTATTTTTAAAAAACACAGATGCTCATGATCGGCACTAATGAAGGGGATAGTATACGAATAATTCAACGGAAATGATATTTGACTTTGGAAATGCACCACATGATTTTTCCAGAAGATTTACCCTCCCAATTATGTCTTACTTAGACTGACATTTAAGTTGTTTGTATAATCTCTGTTTAGCTGATAGTCTAGGCACTGGGGATGGTGGGAGGGTGAGAAGGAAACTACAAATGGCTCAAGTGTCAGAGGCTGACCTAGAACTCTAAATTTCCTGTGGATGATTCACAGAGAAAACCTACTGTGTCTTCCCCACTGTGTATCTACAAAGGGAACATCAGTTATCCAAATATTTATTTCCTACATGTTATCCGAACCTTAGGAACCAAATGGACCACCAGTCAGCCTCAGCTCCTGCAAGGAATCATACAGTTTTAGAGACATTTTCTAATCAAAAGCTATTTATTTCAAGGTCTACTTCCAAATTTATTCCTTCACTCAACATCAACAAGAACCTTCTTTGAACCAGACATTGCCTTATGAATTAGAATCCTTTCAAGAATAAAAAGACTCTAAACAAATAATGTAAAATGTAATTCAAAGGGCCCAAATCAAATTTTGTACAAGCTATTACAAGATCAAAGAAGAGGTAGCTGGGCATGGGGGTTCATGCCCGTAATCTCAACACTTGTCTACCCTGCCTCGCCTATTACTTCCCACGAAACCTGGGCCCTCACCCATGCCTTCTCCTGGCTCCTTCTGCCTCTAAACCACCAGGATGCTTCCCCACCTGGGTGTGTCCTGCCTTCCATTTTTAGGCATCTGTGAATATAAACTTCTTCCTTCGTGACAATCGTTTCCATGTCTGTGTGTCTTACCAATACCCAGATAAAACCAAAATCCCAGGCATGTTTTAGAACAACAACTACAACAAAATCTATACATATATAATGAATCTCTTGCCTACAAAATCCAACAGAATGATACAGCAGGAAGGAAACCATTGTCAGAACCAGAAAGTCCTGGGATCAAAGCTCAGGTCCCCAACTGATTGACTACATAATTTTGAGTTCCAGAATTCAGAATGTTTTGGACTTTAGGAGGTTGTGCTATATACATATCATGTATTACATAACACCCTAAGTATGGTGTGGGAACACCCAATAATCAAAGACATTAATATATCTGCTGCAAAACATCTGAATACTCATATTAAGTGAGATAAGCAGACTATAAAGTAGCCTCATGTCAGTTTAGTTCAGGTTTTGATGCCAAACAAATTATAAAAATCTTTCTGGTTTTCAAAGCATTTTGCATTTGGGGTCTGAAGCAGTAAATAAGGACTAAATGAAGTAAAGTATGCAAAGTGCAGAGCATCACTCTAGCACACAGAAAGTACCCAGTAGGTTCCCTCCATCCCTCTATAAACCACAGGCTTGAGTAAGCAAATTCTTTTCTTCAGTTACAACATGTTTTCGTTTCCCACTAAAAATGATTGATAAAAGGTTCTTCCAATAACAACCACAGTGCAACAGAGACAATTATTTCCATTTTAGATAAATCATAATTATTAATGAATTAACAATTGCATTTAAGCATAAAGACTAATTTCACCAAGAAGCAAGAACAGACTTAAATAGTCACACTTGATGAGCTGACAAACCTCTGTTATCTTATTTCCTGTGGCTTAGCTGCTTCTCAACGAGCACTCAGCAATCATTTGAATTAGTTCCCCCTCACAACCTCTCTACGGAAGAAGTTAGATGTTTTCCTCAACTTACAAGAGAGGATTCAGAGTCACAGTAACTTTTTTATTTGCCTAGTGCCAACACACAAACAAATCATCTCGGTGTTAGAAAAGAATTCTCCCCTTGATAACTCTCCACTCTGACAACTTCCACAGTCCCCTTTCTTTTCACTGCTAACCTTACAAATGAGTGGTCTGCCCCACTGCACCCATTACCTTGACACTCCCTCTTTCCTCAAGTCCCTCCATCCCTGGGTCCCAAGTAATATGACCTCCAAAGGTCACCAAACCCAAGGTCTTTTCTCTCTTCTTTTTCTCTTAAATCTCACTGTAGCACTAGGCACTGCCAGATAGGCCTGCCTTTGGCTTCAAGGACACTGAGTTCTCCTGCATCTGTTCCTCAGATGATCCTCCTCTGTGTGCGTCACCAGATCTTCGTCCTTGATTCTTCAATGTGAGTATTCAGTTAGGTCAGTTCTTCACTATCTCTTAATCCCACCTTACATCCTCACCTAGAGAATTCAACTACATTCTTTTTTTTTCTTTACTTTTTAAAGAGATGGGGTCTCAGTCTATTGCCCAGGCTGTAGTAGAATGGGACAGTCTTGGCTCACTGTAGCCTCAAAATCTGGGCTCAAGTGAACCTCCTGCCTAAGCCTCCCATGTAGCTAGAATGACAGGCGTGTGCCACCACACCAGACTATTGCTTTAAAATTTTTTTATAGAGACGGAGTATTTTCATGGTGCCCAAGCTGGTCTTGAACTGATGGCCTCAAGTGATCCTCCTGCCTCGAATTCCCAAAGTGCTGGTATTACAGGCATGAGCTACCATGCCCAGTCTCAATTCTATCCTTAAATTCAGCTGGTACCCTGGTCTATTTTCCCACTATTTAGGTTTGAACCATCTCATAAGACTGGCCTTACCAACTCCTTGTTGGACACTGCCACTCAAATGCTACCTCAAATTAATCATTCTTTACCCAATAACTTTCATATTTCTAAAATAGTACCTTATTTTCCCAATAAACTAAACTTAACACCACAGAGTCATCTTGGACTTCATCCTCTCCTCTGCTGCCAGCACTTGGTTCCTCGTCAAATCCAACTGAATAATTTCCAAAGAACTCTTTCACACATACTTTCTATTTTCACTGCCACAAACTCTAGGCTTTAATTGTTCAAAAATTAGACCATTTCAATAGCCCCCCAATGCTGCTCTACCTGATGCCTTCAGTCTTTCTCCTTCCAGCACTTTCTTAAAATAGCAGTTTCATATTAATTTTACTCAAGCACTCAGTAATTGTGTCATTCTCTAGCTCAGAAAAAGAATCTTCATTAGTTTCCCATTCCCTAAAAAACGAAAGTTAACATTTCCTATGGAGCGTTTAAAGTCTCCATAAATATGGGCCAACTTTAATTTGTGGTTTTAATTTGCCATTAAACCTACCCTGTATGTCAACCAAATCAGTCTGCTATCCAAACTCTCTGCCTGTGCTCATGCCATTGCTTTGTATAACAAAAATAATAAAATTAATCTAAAACACAAATACATATAATTTTAAAAATATATGCTCTGAGGAGCCAAACATGAAATAGGTGTTTTATATCACTTAGCTCTATGTGTCTCAAAAATCCTGCAAGAAGATAGTATTATCTTGTTTTTACACAGGCTTGGAAGCTTATGTAAATCTGCCAAACTCAGAAAGGCAGTTCATCTGTAAAGACAGGAAACAGAAGACCCAAAATAAAATCGATGTCTTTCTTGATCAGTACCTATCAGGCGATTGACAATGTTATGCTATGACAAACAATTAATATATGCCATTTTAAGAATGTGAATGAAGATATTCTTAGGATAAATTCCTAGAAGTGGAGCTACTGGGTCAAACAACACATGCAACTGCAATTTTCATTGCTACTGCCATGTGGTTTTTAAATTCTCACTTTGAGCATCTCCTCCAGAAATGCTGTTGAGCTTGTGCAGTTCACCCACCTGAACATCCATGAGGTCTAATTCCCTAGGGACTTCTTGACATCTGTTTCAACCACCCAAGCCAGCTGGAGAATGTGCAAAATTATTTTGACCAGTTAAAGACTTCATTCATGAGTTGACTCCTCAGAATTAATCCTAAGCAAAAGGCTCTCTGGCTTTCTATTACTCTTTCTAGGAAACTATGACTCAGACATTAACCACACGTCACCTGGTGAACTCCAGTGAAATCCAGAATAGTAATTCTATTTAAATTCTTCAGTGATTGGGTTCTATTATCCAGACAGCCCTCCTACAGATTAAAACTGTAAACTCTAGATAAAATATAAAAAACAAGTATTAAAAGGCCGGGCATGGTGGCTCATGCCTGTAATCCCAGCACTTTGGGAGGCCGAGGCAGGTGGATCACTTGAAGCTAGGAGTTTGAGACCAGCCTGGTCAAGATGGTGAAACCCCATCTCTACTAAAAATACAAAAAAACTATCCAGACATGATGGCATGCACCGGTAGTCCCAGCTACTCAGGAGGCTGACGCATGAGAATTGCTTGAACCTGGGAGGCAGAGACTGCAGTGCGCCAAGACAAGATCACACCGCTGCACTCCAGCCTGGGCAACAGAGAGAGACTCCATCACAAAACAAACAAATAACAACAACAACAAAAAACAAGTATTAAAAGCCACTGGATAGTTACCTAAAGCCAATAAAAACTGGAAGATGGCTGCCATTTGAAAGAATGAATGGTATTGGTGAGTTTCCCATCTTTACAGCTTCAATCCTGAGGGCAAGCTCCTGCCCGTGCCATGCTGGGCAGGTAAAACTCAGATAGAAAACCCACAGTCTTGAAAAACCACAGCCCAAAAAATCCACAACAGCTGAAAGTAAAAGAATTCTGGCGGTCCCTTATAAAACTAAACAAACCCATAATCTTTGACCCAGCAATACCATTAAAATTTACCTAAGAGAAATGAAAACACATGTCCACCAAAATACTTGTATGAGAGTTCACAGCAGCTTTTTAAAACAATAACAACCATAAGCTGAAAGACCCCAGGTATCCTTTAATAGGAGCGTGGATGTACAGTTTTATATGCCTACAATGAAATACTACTCAATAATTTAAAACAAAAACAAAAACCTACGGATGGATACAACATAGATGAATCTCAAAAACTTTCACTTTGTTATACAAAATATATGATTGCATTTAATGAATTCTAGAACAATCAAAACTAATCTACAGTGGGGAAAAATCAGAGCATGGGGTGCCCTGTCGGAAGTGTGGGTTGGGCGTGTGCTGGGAAGAGGCTAAGACTTTCTAGGGTGGCAATAAGGTCTGCATCTTGACAGGAGTGAGGGTTACACAGGTGCTGCACTTGTCACAATCTGTACAATCATACAACTAAGATTTTTGTAATTCACTGTAAATTTTAAAACACACAAAAGTAAAAAATAGTTAAAGATATGCAGTGTAGTGTCAAGAGGTGAAGTTTACTGATATCTATGATTTACTTTGAAATGCATCAGAAAAGAAGTTGGGTTTGGTTGATGAATAGAGGGGTGGAAAAATACAGGTACAGTAAATGTGGCAATATTAACTGGAGGGTACACAGGAGTGTACGGGAGTGAACGGAGAATGAGCAGGATTGAACAGGAGTTCACTGCAAAATTATTTCAACTTTACTGTGAATTTTAAATTTTCTCAATAAAAATGCTGGGGAAGAAAAATGAAAGAAATCCTCCCTGAAAACTGCGTCAAATGCTTAAGCTCCCTGTCAGTTACTTATTCCCCAAAGGGGGTTTCCTAGAAGACACTTCTGGACAAGTTATATATGCCTGGTCTCCAGCACTGCACTCAGCCAGCTGTTTCTGGCCACACTAAACCCATGGCCTCCCAGCTGCTTCAAGACTGGAAAAATCCCAGGCATCAAGTATACCACTCTCCACAGGATTTGAGATGGAAAGGAAAGGAATCTCTCTTCTCAAATCCCTAACACAATTGTTGTTGAAGTTATCTCATGACTTTTTTTCTCCCACACAATAATCCCAGGCATTAATCTCTATAATGTGCCTAGCCCAGGGCTCTCCTAACTAACATGAATTGTAGGGAACTGATGGGAACAGTGGAGAACATGAGTCTCCACTCTACCTCTGGGCATCAAAACTGTCTCAGCAGCCCTCACCCAGACTCAGAGATCCTAATAAAGTAGAAATCAAAACCCACACTTGGAAGTTTCTTAGTCTTGGAATCCACAAACCATATGAAGCAATATTTGACAAAATATTCAGAAAAGATGGTAAGTAAGTTTCACTGGGATGCACAACATGTAATACTGGCTAGAGACTGAATTACATGGACGTTGCCATTAAACATAAAAAATAAATAAATAAATAAAACCTGCTCTACATTTAGCAGTGTGCACGAATTTAATTTGTAATGCTAGTTCTCAAACCTTGAATATAAAGCATTGTCTAAACAAGTTATATGGCCAAAATCAGAGGAAATCTATGCTTAACTCTCCCCCCGTTCCAAGACAGCCAAATAGGAACAGCTCCGCTCTGCAGCTCGCAGCGTGATCGATGCAGAACACAGGTGATTTCTGCATTTCCAACTGAGGTACCTGGTTCATCTCACTGGGACTGGTTGGACAGTGGGTGCAGCCCACAGAGGGCGAGATGAAGTAGGGCGGGGTGTTGCCTCACACAGGAAGTGCAAGGGGTTGGGGGATTTCCCTTTCCTAGCCAAGGGAAGCCATGACACACTGTACCTGAAAAAAATGGGACACTCCCGCCCAAAATACTGTGCTTTTCTCAAGGTCTTAGCAACCGGCAGACAAGGAGATTCTCTCACCTGCCTGGCTCGGCGGGTCCCATGCCCATGGAGCCTTGCTCACTGCTAGCGCAGCAGTCTGAGCTAGAACTGTGAGGCAGCAGCCTGGCTGGGGGAGGGGTGTCGGCCATTGCTGAGGCTTGAGTAGGTAAATAAAGTGGCCAGGAAGCGCGAAGTGGGAGGAGCCCACCGCAGCTCAGCAAGGACTACTGCCTCTACAGACTCCACATCCGTGGGCAGGGCACAGCTGAACAAAAGGCAGCAGACAACTTCTACAGACTTCAACATCCCTGTCTGACAGCTCTGAAGAGAGCAGTGGTTCTCCCAGCATAGCGTTTGAGCTCTGAGAAAGGACAGACTGCCTCCTCAAGTGGGTCCCTGACCCCGTGTAGCCTAACTGGGAGACGCTTCCCAGTAGGGGCCAACAGACACTTCATACAGGGGGTGCCACTCTGGGATGAAGCTTCTAGAGGAAGGATCAGGCAGTAATATTCGCTGTGCTGCAATATTTGCTGTTCTGCAGCCTCCATTGGTGATGAACAGGCAAACAGCGTCTGGAGTGGACCTCCAGCAAACTCCAACGGACCTACAGCTGAGGAACCTGACTCTTAGAAGGAAAACTAACAAACAGAAAGGAATCGCATCAACATCAACAAAAAGGACATCCACACCAAAATCCCATCTGTAGGTCACCAACATCAATGACCAAAGGTAGATAAAACCACAAAGATGGGGAGAAACCAGAGCAGAAAAGCTGAAAATTCTAAAAACCAGAGCACCTCTTTTCCTCCAATGGATCACAGCTCCTCACCAGCAATGGAACAAAGATGGATGGAGAATGATTTTGACAAGTTAACAGAAGTAAGCTTCAGAAGGTCGGTAATAACAAACTTCTCCGAGCTAAAGGAGCATGTTCTAATGCATTGCAAGGAAGCTAAAAATCTTGAAAAAGGGTTAGACGAATGTCTAACTAGAATAAACAGTGTAGAGAAGACCTTAAATGACCAGATGGAGCTGAAAACCATGGCACGAGAACTTCATGATGCATGCACAAGCTTCAGTAGCCAATTTGGTCAAGTGGAAGAGTATCAGTGATTGAAGATCAAATTAATGAAATAAAGCAAGAAGACAAGGTTAGAGAAAAAAAGAGTAAAAAGAAACAAACAAAGCCTCCAAGAAATATGGGACTATGTGAAAAGACCAAATCTACGTTTGATTGGTGTACCTGAAAGTGACGGGGAGAATGGAAACAAGTTGGAAAACACACTTCAGGATATGATCCAGGAGAACTTCCCCAACCTAGCAAGACAGGCTAACATTCAAATTCAGGAAATACAGAAAACACCACAAAGAGATTCCTCGAGAAGAGCAACCCCAAGACACATAATTGTCAGATTCACCAAGGTTGAAATAAAGGAAAAAATGTTAAGGGCAGCCAGCACAAAAGGTTGGGTTGCCCACAAAGGGAAGCCCATCAGACTAACAGCAGATCTCTTGGAAGAAACCCTACAAACCAGAAGAGAGTGGGGGCCAATATTCAACATTCTCAAAGAAAAGAATTTTCAACCCAGAATTTCATATCCAGACAAACCAAGCTTCATAAGGGAAGGAGAAATAAAATCCTTTACAGACAAGCAAATGCTGAGATTTTGTCACTACCAGGCCTGCCTTACAAGAGCTCCTGAAGGGAGCACTAAACATGGAAAGGAACAACTGGTATCAGCCACTGTAAAAACATGCCAAATTGTAAAGACCATCAATGCTAGGAAGAAACTCCATCAATTAATGGGCAAAATAACCAGCTAACATCATAAAGACAGGATCAAATTCACACATTAACAATATTAACCTAAATATAAATGGGCTAAATACCCCAATTAAAAGACACAGACTGGCAAATTGGGTAAAGAGTCAAAACCCATTACTGTGCTTTATTCAGGAGACCCATCTCACGTGTAGAGTCATACATAGCCTCAAAATAAAGGGATGAAGGAAGATCTACCAAGCAAATGGAAAGCAAAAAAGAAAAGCAGGGGTTGCAATCCTAGTCTCTGATAAAATAGACTTTAAACCAACAAAGAGCAAAAGAGACAGAGGAGGCCATTACATAATGGTAAAGGGATCAATTCAATAAGAAGAGCTAACTATCCTAAATATATATGCACCCAATACAGGAGCACCCAGATTCATAAAGCAAGTCCTTAGAGACCTAAAAGAGACTTAGACTCCCACACACTAATAATGGGAGACGTTAACACCCCACTGTCAATATTAGACAGATCAACGAGAAAGAAGGTTAACAAGGATATCCAGGACTTGAAATCAGCTCTGGACCAAGCAGACCTAATAGACATCTACAGAACTCTCCACCCCAAATCAACAGAATATACATTCTTCTTGCACCACATCACACCTATTCTAAAATTGACCACATAATTGGAAGTAAAACACTCCTCAGCAAACGTAAAAGAACAGAAATCACAACAAACTTTCTCTCAGACCACAGTGCAATCAAATTAGAACTCAGGATTAAGAAACTCACTCAAAACCACACAACAACATGGAAAGTGAACAACCTGCTCCTGAATAACTACTGGGTACATAACGAAATGAAGGCAGAAATAAAGATGTTCTTTGAAACCAGTGAGAACAAAGACACAATGTACCAGAATCTCTGGGACACATTTAAAGCAGTGTGTAGAGGGAACTTTATAGCACTAAATGCCCACAAGAGAAAGCAGGAAAGATATAAAATCGACACCAAACATCACAATTAAAAGAACTAGAGAAGCAAGAGCAAACGAATGTAAAAGCTAGCAGAAGGCAAGAAATAACTAAGATCAGAGCAGAACTGAAGGAGATAGAGACACAAAAAACCATTCAAAAAATCAATGAATCCAGGAGCTGGTTTTTTTAAAAGATCAACAAAATTGATAAACCACTAGCAAGAGCAATAAAGAGGAAAGAGAGAAGAATCAAACAGATGCAATAAAAAATGATAAAGGGGATATCACCACCGATCCCACAGAAATACAAACAACCACCAGAGAATACTATAAACATCCTATGCAAATAAACTAGAAAATCTAGAAGAAATGGATAAATTCCTGGACACATACACCCTCCCAAGACTAAACCAGGAAGAAGTTGACTCTTTGAATAGACAAATAACAGGCTCTGAAATTGAGGCAATAATTAACAGCCTACCAACCAAAAAAAGTCCAGAACCAGAGATTCACAGCCGAATTCTTCCAGAGGTACAGAGAGGAGCTGGTACCATTCCTTCTGAAACGATCCCAATCAATAGAAAAAGAGGGAATCTTCCCTAACTCATTTTATGAGGCCAGCATCATCCTCATACCAAAGCCTGGCAGAGACACAACAAAAAAAAAAGAGAATTTTAGACCAATATCCCTGATGAACATTGATGCGAAAGTCCTCAATAAAATACTGGCAAACCAAATCCAGCAGCACATCAAAAAGCTTATCCACCATGATCAAGTAGGCTTCATCCCTGGCATGCAAGGCTGGTTCAACATATGCAAATCAATAAACATAATCCATCACATAAACAGAACCAATGACAAAAACCACCTGACTACCTCAATAGATGCAGAAAAGGCCTTCGACAAAATTCAACAGCCCTTCATGCTAAAAACTCTCAATAAACTAGGTACTGATGGAACGAATCTCAAAATAATAAGAGCTATTTATGACAAACCCACAGCCAATATCATACTGAATGGGCAAAAACTGGAAGCATTCCCTTTCAAAACCAGCAGAAGACAAGGATGCCCTCTCTCACCACACCTATTCAACATAGTGTTGGAAGTTCTGGCCAGGGCAATCAGGCAGGAGAAGGAAATAAAGGGTATTCAATTAGGAAAAGAGGAAGTCAAATTGTCTCTGTTTGCAGATGACATGATCGTATATTTAGAAAACCCAATCATCTCAGCCCAAAATCTCCTTAAGCTGATAAACAACTTCAGCAAAGTCTCAGGATACAAAATCAAGGTGCAAAAATCACAAGCATTCCTACACACCAATAACAGACAAACAGAGAGCCAAATCATGAATGAACTCCCATTCACAATTGCTACAAAGAAAATAAAATACCTAGGAATACAATTTACAAGGGATGTGAAGGGCCTCTTCAAGGAGAACTACAAACCACTGCTCAACAAAATAAAAGAGGATACAAATGGAAGAATATTCCATGCTTATGGATAGGAAAAATCAATATAGTGAAAATGGCCATACTGTCCAAGGTAATTTATAGATTCAATGCCATCCCCATCAAGCTACCAATGACTTTCTTCATAGAATTGGAAAAAACTACTTTAAAGTTCATATGGAACCAAAAAAGAGCCCGCATTGCCAAGTCAATCCTAAGCCAAAAGAACAAAGCTGGAAGCATTACGTTACCTGACTTCAAACTATACTACAAGGCTATAGTAACCAAAACAGCATGGTACTGGTACCAAAACAGAGATATAGACCAATGGAACAGAACAGAGCCCTCAGAAATAACACCACACATCTACAACCATCTAATCTTTGACAAACCTGACAAAAACAAGCAATGGGGAAAGGATTCCTTATTTAACAAATGGTGCTTGGAAAACTGGCTAGCCATATGTAGAAAGCTGAAACTGGATCCCTTCTTTACACCTTATACAAAAATTAATTCAAGACGGATTAAAGACTTAAATGTTAGACCTAAAACCATAAAAACCCTAGAAGAAAACCTAGGCAATACCATTCAGGACATAGGCCTGGGCAAGGACTTCATGACTAAAACACCAAAAGCAATGGCAACAAAAGCCAAAATAGACAAAGGGGATCTAATTAAACTAAAGACCTTCTGCATGGCAAAAGAAACCACCATTGGAGTGAACAGGCAACCTACAGAATGGGAGAAAATTTTTGCAATCTACCCATCTGACAAAGGGCTAATATCCAGAATCTACAAAGAACTGAAACAAATCTACAAGAAAAAAAGCAAACAACCCCATCAAACAGTGGGCAAAGGATATGAACAGACACTTCTGAAAACATCTATGCAGCCAACAGACACATGAAAAAATGCCCATTATCACTGGCCATCAGAGAAATGCAAATCAAAACCACAATGAGATACCATCTCATGCCAGTTAGAATGGCGATCGTTAAAAAGTCAGGAAACAGATGCTAGAGAGGATGTGGAGAAACAGGAACACTTTTACACTGTTGGTAGGAGTGTAAATTAGTTCAACCATTGTGGAAGACAGTGTGGCGGATTCCTCAAGGATCTAGAACTAGAAATACCATTTGACCCAGCGATCCCATTACTGGGTATATACCCCAAGGATTATAAATCATGCTACTATAAAGACATATGCACACGTATGTTTATTGTGGCACTATTCACAATAGCAAAGAGTTGGAACCAACCCAAATGTCCATCAATGACAGACCAGATTAAGAAAATGTGGCATATAAACCATGGAATACTATGCAGTCATAAAAAATGATGAGTTCATGTCCTTTGTAGGGACATGGATGAAGCTGGAAGCCATCATTCTCAGCAAACTATCACAAGGACAGAAAACCAAACACCACATGTTCTTACTCATAGGTGGGAATTGAACAATGAGAACACTTGGACACAGGGCGGGGAACATCACACATCAGGACCTGTCAGGGGGTGGGGGGCTGGGGGAGGGATAGCATCAGGAGAAATAACTAATGTAAATGACGAGTTGATGGGTGCAGCAAAGCAACATGGCACATGCATACATATGTAACAAACCTGCATGTTGTGCACATGTACCCTAGAACTTAAAGTATAATAAAAAATAAATAAATAAATAAATAAAATTTTAAAAAAACAGAAATCTATGCTTAAGCCTTCAAGCGCTAATTCTGTGCAAAGTAAGTGCCTCTGGAAAGCACTCAGATAAATTTAATTCTAGAACAAAACTCACAGAGGAAAGTTGCCCATATTATTGATTTGGAAATCATTAGCCATTAAATCATTCATTTTGCTAAATAAATAATGACCAACTTTCTTTAGTCTCCATAAACATCTTTTCATCAACTTTATTAAAAAGTTCTATAAAGTCAGATTATGTTAGGAAGTTTAATTTGTATTATGACCTACTTCTAAACCAAAGTCAAGAATTACTTTTTTACCACAATTTTTAATCTGTGTCATTTATAACCTACATCACCCTTCAATTCTGCTGAGTTTCTGACAAATGTTTGACACTATAAAATAGCCAAAGGTAACTGTTCCAGACATATTGGCATTATCAAAATATACAAAATGTGATAGGGAATAGGAAAATGCTTCATAAATTATAAACCCAAATGTAAATAAAAGAGATTATTATTATTAAAATCACCTCTATATTTAATATTGATGGTATATTAATACATTTTTTAATATAAATTGTAAGTGCTCTGAAATGTTTTTATCGCTCAATGATATTTGAAATTTTTAACTCCTTAGTAGACTCAGATTCTTTCTGTGGTGAAATATTAAAATCAGATTGTCAGAAAATATAATCTCAAGAAACACCAGGGCAGACAAAAAGTCACTGCAAGCCCTTAAAATCCCATAGACATGACTAAGAACAGTACACACACTAGGATGCAGACGCACTAAGAGCATACGCTCAGTTCACTGGCCCAATGACTCCAATAGACACACTGTACTTTCATCATGGTGAGGAGACATTCATTGTGCACCCACCACATAGAAAATCCTCACAGCTTTGAGGAAAAAAGAGTGAGAAGTAGATGTGGTACTCAGAGTTTGAGCCTTAAGTTGAAGAGACCACACACAGCCATAAAAGACACAGGGAGCTTTCTCTGTGCTGCCTGGTGAGAAGCTCAGAGAGTTAAGTCTCAGTATGAAGAATGGACACATGAGGCTGGGGAGAACCTAATATCTGAAGTGAAACTTTCCAAACAGTCTTCACTATGGTTTCACAACTGAATTCCCTGAGGTTCTCTAGAAAAAACTTGATGTATGAGCCAGGTGTGCTCTGGGCGGCTGAGATGGGAAGACTGCCTGAGCCCAGGAGTTTGAGACCAGCCTGGACAACACGAGGAGACTCTGTCTCTGCATTAACAACAACAAAAAATTAGCTGGGCATGGTGGTGCGCACCTGTAGTTTCAGCTACTCAGGAGGCAGTGGTGGGAGGGTCACTTGTGCACAGGAGGTTGAGATTGCAGTGAGCCACAATCACGCCACTGCACTCCAGCCTGGGCGACACAGCAAGACCCTGTCTCAAAACAAACAAACAAAAAAACAAAAAACAAAACAAAACAAAACAAAAAAACCCGGGCCCAACTCCACAGTTTCTGAAAAAAAAAAAAAAAATCACCTACAACGGATTCTAGGGCCACAATATTTCTTAAAAATTCCTAAGAGATTCTAAAGTATAACCAGGAAGGAGAACTACAGAGGTAAGTTTGAAAAAATTGTGAAATCCTAATTGGATCGAGTAAAGGGCAAGATGGTAGCGAGGACAATCATGCAGGTCAGGGGACCAGTGTGAGTGAAGGCGCACATCAGGGTGCCATCGGAGAGCAACAGCCCAGGACAGAACATTCAGGCTATTATGCCCATTTTATAGATAAGAAAATGGAAGCAAAGAAAAATGGAATAATATTCTTCTACTTGAAATCCCTACAGCTTTTGATAGAGGGTTCCTTCAAAATGTTTAAATTCACTCACAAAGCCTTGCATTTCTTCTCAGCCTACTATCGCTTCATCTCTCCACTGGCTGGCCACACATACCCTTCCTCTCCAGGTATTGGAATAGCCTACAAATCCCTGACAAATCATGAAGTTTTAAATCTTCTTTGCCTCTATGAATTTTATTCCCTCTTCCTAAAATATCCCATTTCTTCTTCCTCCAAACCCATCTCTCTATCTATTTCCCCTTATTCATCCTTCCAAGTCCAAGTCAAATATCGGCTGCTTCAGAAGGCCTCTTCACAACACCTTCTCCCTCAGCTGCCACTCTACAATTCCAGTGCCTCTGGGTTTGCCTATCATAGCGCCTGTCACTCACAAATCTGTCTCCCCAACTCTTTTATAAGCCCGTTGAAGGCAGGGACAATGTCTCCTACTTTATATTCTAAGTTCCTAGGACAGGGCTAGCACACAGGTGGCTCGAGGACCTCTCTTTCAGTGAATAATATCCACACAGTTAGAAAGGGAACTGGAAGAGATCCCTAGTCATCTTCAAGTATGTTTCTCCCACTCCCTAAAGCTCCACAAGAGAACGTCACTATTTGCTTTACTTCTCAAGATCATTTTGATGTCTCATCATTTAGTTATCAACTACAACAAAGATGGCTGAGCACTGTAAGGATTCTATGAAAACAGGAGGCCGACTAACCCAGAAATATGCACCTCTCAAGGGCCTAATTGCTTACATACTCAACATTTCTCCAAAAACAGCACTAGAAAATATCAGAAGCCTTAATACACTGAGAAATCAGTTTGAGAGAGTCTACTCCAAGAAAGCAGCCATCTTTAAGACCTTTAACTATGTGCTTCCATTATTTTGCCTTTTTGTAAACCATACCTTTTATATGAGAGGTATTCAAATTCACATACATGTACAAGCATACCTCATAGATACTGTGAGTTTTGTTCCAGACTACTGCAATAAAGCAAATATTGCAATAAACTGTATCACACAAATTATTCGGTTTCTCAGTGCATATCAAAGTTGTGTTTATACTATACTGTAGTCTATTAAGCATGCAATAACATTATGTCTAGAAAACCATGCATATATCTTAATTTAAAAATCCTTTATTGCTAAAAAAAAAGCTAATAATCATCTGAGCGTTCAGTAAGTCCTAATCTTTTTGCAGGTGAAGGGTCTCAATGTTGATGGCTGCTGACTGATCAGGATTGTGGTTGCTGAGGGTTGTGGTGGCTGTGGCAATTTCTCAAAATGAACCAACCTCTGCTAGCTTCATACTTTTCTTCTGTAGCTTCCTTACCTCTCTCAGCCTTCACAGAATTAAAGGCAGTAAAAGGGACCTGTTCTGGATTACACTTTGGCTTAAGGGAATGTTGTGGCTGGTTTGATCTTCTATCCAGGCCACTAAAACTCTCTCCACATCAGCAATAAGGTTGTTTTGCTTTCTTATCATCTGCGTGTTCACTGGAGTGGCACTTTTAATTTCCTTCAAGAACTTTTCCTCTGCATTCACAACTTGGCTAACTATTTGGGGCAAGATGCCTAGCTTTCAGTCTTTCTCAGCTTTCAACACACCTTCCTCACTAAGCTTAATCATTTCTAGCTTTTCCTTTAGAGATATGCAACTCTTCCTTTCACTTGAATATTTATAGGCCATTATAGGGTTATTAACTTGCCTCATTTCAATATTGTTGTGTCTCAGAGAACAGAGAGACCCAAGAAGAAGGAGAGAGATGGAAAATGGCTGGTCAGTGGAGCAGTCAAAACACACACAACATTTATCAATTAAGTTTACATCTTATATTGGTGCAGTTCATGGTGCCCCAAAACAACTGCAATAGTAACATCAAAGATCACTAATCACAAATCACCGTAACAGATACAATAATAACGAAAAAGTTTGAAATACTGTGAGAATTATCAAAATGTGACACAGACATGAAATGAGCAGTGTTGAAAAAATGGTTCTGATAGACTTGCTTGACATAGCGTTGCCATAAACCTTCAATTTTTTATAAAGCACTGTATCTGCAAAGTGCAATACAGCACAGAACAATAAAACAAGGTATGCTCACACTTTATAGACTAAATAATAAAAATATCGTATAAACCAATGTTTGCGAATGTTTTGGTTATTACTTCAGTCCGTTATTACGCCAAATAATAGGTCCACATCCAACCTAGTATTTTCTTAAGGTCTCAGATTCTATCTGTACAAACTACCTTGATAACCATTCATATTTAATCCATGAGCAACTGATGTAAGACAATAAAAAGAAAAGCAAGAAGTAATAAAGAATAATTAAACAGGGAAAGAGAAACATGACTATACTTTTCATATATATTCAATTTCAACTGTAATTGTAATATGTATGGTACATATGTAAGATGTACCATAAATTTAATAATAGCTTTTTGGAGAAGAAAAGAAACATAAATATATCCATAATTGTGATACATGCCCTGATTAGAGAAGGATAGGTAGAAAAACATGCATCTCAGAATTGAAGAAATATGATATACTTAGTAAAAACCTCTAGTGTTCAAGGGACCCGCACAGTGGATAGGGAAGTGGTATTTGCCTCTCCTCTCTCCAGCAGCATGTGAGTACTGATTGATAGAAAAAAACATCTAAAATAAGCTATAGTATCAGCTTTTGGGGGGAATTAGCAGTTCTATTCCCTGTATGCATTTTCCCAAATTTTACTTTACATAGGAACGTGCTCAGTTAACAGACGGCACTGCCCAGGCTTATTGGCAGTTAGAGGTGGCCAGTAATACAATAAAAAGTAATAAGTAATAAAATAATAAGTGCAAGCTGTGGATAGGACTTTCAAGAAAACTGCTTTTTCTTCACCCTTTTCTTCCTCGCTGACATCTGAAATATAGACAAGATAGCTGAAGTTCCAGCAGCCTTTGAATTATGAGATATTCACTAAGGATGGCAGAGCAGAGAGAGGGGGAATTCAAAGGACACAGTCAAAGAAACTATCCTAGAAACCTAAAAAGAAGGAGGCTAAAGGAAAAAAAGGTATAAATTGTAAGCTGTCTTCGGTAAACTTGCATGCCTTTAATTCTTTTCAAAAATTTCCACATGGAAAGATATTCCACCAAGCAGAAAATTCTGAAGATCAAATATGATCTACATTCTATTAAGCATAAAATCAGGAAATAAATTTTATTGAGCATTTTTTCCATTCACTAGGAGAATCACTTTACATAACTAGCCAGTTAAAGATAGGAATGATATTCATCCCTTTAAATCCTCAATTTACGTACAAATCCTGAAAATAGCAGGTTCTCAATAAGTGTTTTAAACAAAATTAATAAATGGATGAATGAACGAATGATGATGTCAAGTTATGCAATTCAAAATTACTGAAAAATTTCTTTTCCAAACTCTTGTTCATTCACAAATTTTTGGTTAACAATGTTCACCTAGAGTTACACACTGTCAAGGGACTAGAACCTTCTCTCTTACCTTCAGTTGTTGGAAATACTTCTCCTTTATTTTTAGCCTCTGCCAATTTTCCAGTTCTCAGCAATACTTCTGCAAAGCTTTCCACTGGAACATGCTGATAGGTGTCATAGGTCCCTTCAGACTACACAAAAGAAGCAGTTTCACTATCTAGTAGGGTGCCTTTTGTCCTACAAACATATGCTTAGAAAACAATTATAGGATGTTATGTTTTCTGGTGACTTGAATAATAACTGCTCACAAACTAAAGCATGTTATTTTATGAAACATTTTTAAACAGATTTTAATCTCATAATGGTCATAATATATACCAAAAAAATGTAAAAACCAATGAATAACATGAGTAAGAACCAAGACAAATAAGTATATTTTCAAGAAAATTTTAGTTTTTGTTTCTACTGTCTACAACAGCATGACAGTTAAATCTATCTTCCTAGACACGCTGTCCTTACCTCAGCGACAAAAGGATTTGAGATGACAGATTCATAAAAAGGATGACACCCTTGTTTCTCTAGATCTTCATTGGCTGTAGTTCCGATTTGATATGCACCACCACATTTTTGCCCCTAAAAAGAAAAAAAGTACAGAACAATGGATAAAAAGAAAGAGAAGGCAAGGAGGTAGAAGAAGTAAAAGCAAGGAAAGAAGGGAGAGAGGGAGGAAGAAAAGGCTGATTTCAAAAGAAACTGGTAATGCCTGCTGCATTTCCCACGACCTAAAAAGAGAGCCAGAGTCACACACATATCCGGCAGAGAATGAAGGATCATAACTACATGCTAAGAGCAGCACATCAACCCCACCCTGCAGTGCCTTTTTCTTTTCCTGGTCACTTTGACATCAATGAATTAGAAACACTGAAGCAATCGATGTTGTTCATATGGTGAGTTTTTATACTACAGTCAGAATAACCACTCGAAAACGTCATCTTGTCTGTGTTGCTGCCCTCCTTAAAAATCCTTTAGTAGCTCTGAACAAGGCAAACAACCAACAGCCGAACAACTAAACTATGTGGAACATCATTTGAGGTTGTTAAATGTTAACTAACATTAAAGGCTAACTTTCCACCTCAACCAAACTGCCTGCTTTATGCATCCTATCCGCTTCTATGTCTTTCTCTCCCACTGTGAGGGTCCTGCCATGCCGACTGCCTGGTTAGATCCTAACTTTCCTTTCAGGCCCAGTTCAGACCTTACCTGCTGAATCCTTGACAGATGGATGCAAGATGATATATGACTGTGTCCCTTTCATGATCCCCATCTCTTTCACAACTACCACCCCACACACGGCTTTGAGACTTGTTACCAGCACTGCAGAGTAGCAAGAACTTTAGTATGCCTAGATTATAGTTAATTATGTTTTGCTCTCTCCAAATAGATTGTAAAGCTCCTTACTGGAAGAGCCAAGTAAAAGGAATTCACCCATTCCTCCAAGGTTTATTGTGGTTACTTTATGCCAAGCATAGTCTAGGGAAACGATGAAGCTGCTGCTGCAAATGATAAAAATTACAGCTGAGATTTAATAGCGTCTCACTAAACGGCATCTTCATTTATCCAACTGTTTGGACCATTGTTCTTAGGTCTCCTCTTTCTTCCACATCCAGACCACCAGAAGGTCTAAAAAATATATCCCATCCCCAAACCAACCTCTTCCCACTGCCTTCATCACTACCATGGTTCAAACTACCCACTTCTCTCACCGGGAGGACTGATCTCACTGTCTCTTTTCTTCTCTTTCTACAGCACTTAAATGAGCATAGTAAAAGTAAAGTTGGATCACACAATTGCATTGCTGAAATTCTCCATAAGCTTTCCATCTTACTCAAAATCAAAATCTATAGTCGTTATCACAGTCTACATGAGGCTCTCAATGATGGGCCTCCCCACCACCTTCTGATCTCATCTCCTACCATTCTCCCCATTGTTCACTCAGCTCAGACCACACTGGCCCCTTTTATGTTCTGTGCAGATGTCAAGTGTGCTGCCCCAGTCCAGGGGAGCTAGAGTTTGTATTTGTTCTCCTTGGTTCAATCATATCTCTGCTCGAAGTGACTCCTTTTCTGAAAAACCTAACTTCTCTATCTTAATCAGAACTTCCCTCCTCAGTATTTACCCACCTTGCTTATGTTATCTCTGTCATGCTTGTTATTACCTGCCATTACATTATTATACAAATATGTATTTTCTGTGTCTCCCTCACTGACATGTTAAGTTCCACAGGAGAAGGGAATTAGACTGAAGTGTTTCTTCACCATATTCCCAGTGATTAGGACATTTGACAGGAAAATAATGCCTAATAAGTATTTGCTGAATGAATGAATGAGATGCACATGGAGTGTTTGTTTGAGGTGAACTGCTAATAGTTGTATGTTTTTCCTCTTTGTTTTCCAGTGTGAGATTAAAGGACTGCAGTATGAGAATGCAGAGCAAACTCAATTGCTCTACTGCCTGCCCTGACTGACTTCCAGAATGGAAGCAAGAATCTGTTCAACTGTTCTCCTTCCTGAGAGCCCCCAGTCTGCCTCCGAGCACTCTTCCTCAACTACCAGTCTGTAGAAATAATAGCAAAAGCAAGTAAGCATTGATAAAATTTTTCTTTTCATCACACTAAATTCTGATATATAAACCGAGCCTTACCTAAATCTCTATTACTGTCCTTTGCAAGTACTCCATGGGAATATATTACATTCTATAAAAGAGATTACTCCCTATCTGATGAGAGGCCTACATTTCTTAAGAGATTGTTTTAACAATCTAGAGAAGATAAAGATATAACAGTGAAAACAACTGAAACATTGCTAATGAATTTATATAAACCATGCAGTTGATTTTAAAAAGAAAGATGCACTGCTTACCTGAAGGGGTCGAAGGTAAGTTAAAGACTTCTTCCACCACTGCCCATCACTGACGGCCTGCAGCACCGCTTTGGTGGTGGTTGTGGTGTTGGAAAGGACTTTCATGGTGGTAGCAGTGGTCCAGCGCAATAGGTCAGCTGAATTGCTACCTGGAACACCTACTTCATCCTGTATTAAAGAAACAAAATAGCAAGGGCAAAAATGCATTACCATAAGAACAGAGAAGACAGTGATAATGTGACTGCTTAAAATGATCAGATATTAAACTTGAAGACAGACACATTTAAAAATCCATCCAACTTTGCTTGTAACAAAATAAATGTTAAAAGAGCACTATCAACATATTGTTCCTCTCTCAATCATTTGCCAAAAAATAAAAATAGAATTGGGAAAAGAGAAAAACCCCATAGTGTATTAAATAATCCCTCAGAAGTACTTATAAAGCAAATAATTGGTATTTTATTTTTTACCAATCTAATATCCTAACCATGAGATACTCATATTTGTTTCCTTGACAATACATTTTGAAGTATTTATTATTTAATTAAGAAATAAATTATTCATCTGAATAATGCCACTGTGACCCAGAAAGAAGTAGAACATTCAGACAATCAACCTTTAACTATTAAAAGGCATGTTTCCCATCTAAACAAGTAGGTAATTAATAGTGTTTGATGGGTTTATAATGTGTACGGTACCTCCTGCCAATCTTGAAGCAATCAGCTGAAATTCTCACTCTCCATTTACTAATCTGAGAGATTCCACGAGGAGAAAATGTCAATACATTAATTACAGTCTTTTAAACAGAAAGGATGAAGACCATATCTGCATTTAGTCAAAGAAAAATATTATTTGTTCTATAACTTCCTAGTTTAGTGTCTATCCACTTCCACTTACTATTTTTTTCTTAAGAATCTCAGTTAAACAGAAGAAAACCTTAAGGCTTAGTTTATCAATACCAATAGCTTGTTGTGATCACAGAAGGATAACGTAATAGCTTAGTTTGGCTACTTAGATCTATATCATGTTATTCATTAAGACACAATGTAAGTAATAATAAAGTAATAAATCATGTAATCAATTAATTACCCGGGCATCATCACATAACAAATACTTAAAACTCACTCTTTTAGATCAAGCTGACAGTTGCCATATATGGTAAGTAGAATTATGGGCCCCCAATGATAGCCATATCCTAATCCCTAGAACCTGTGACTATGTAACATGCCATGGCAAAGAAAATTTGTAGGTGTGATTAACAGTACAGACCTCGAAGTGAGGAGATTATCCTGAATTATCTGAGTAGGACCAAGCTAATCACAAGAGCCCTTAAAGCAGAGGATATTTCTCAATAAGGATCAGGGAGAGTGAGTGTCAGAGATAAGCCATGAAGGAAGAGGCAGGAGAGATTTGAAGCAGGAGGGAACTCAACCCACAGTTGTTGGCTTTGAAGAGGAAGAAAGGGAACCACAGGCCAAAGAATGTAGGCAGCCTGTAGACACTGAGAACAGCCATCAGGCGACATCCAGCAAGATAATGCAGACCTCAGTCCTACAATCATGAGGAATTAAATCTACCAACACCATGAATGAGCACAGAAACAAGATCTTCTCCAGAGCCTCTGGAAAAGAACACAGCCTTGTCGGCACCTTGATTTTGGCCTTGTGTGGCTCTAAGAAGAGATTCAACCAAGTCTGTCAAATTTCTGTCACATGGGAATGGTAAAATAATCAACTGTATTGTTCTAAAGCTGCAAAGTTTGTGGTAATATACAACAGCAGCAACAGAAAACAAATATATTATGTTAGGACACAAATAAATGCATTTATTCTTACTTCTAAAGGGAAAACATATGTAAGCTATATTAACCAATGCTTACAATTTACCCAACTGGCTGTTGTTTAGGGTTGCCCATACGTATTCTAAACCGGTTTGGTCATGCAAAAAAAAAATAAAATTGTTTCTTGTTGGTTTCTCGGGCATTAGAAAGTGCAAAAACCATCAACTCAATACAATATTATATACTATAATTTAATTATGAAAAAAACAACATATAAAAATGAATGACATATAAATAAAGAAAAAAACATATAAAAAGCCTGTATACTATCAGGGCAACAATGCAAAAAATAATTGCTTGAGGTTTGAGTACCAATAAAATACAGTGCCTCCTCCTGGGTTCCAGATTGTGGCATATACTACAGTTTAGTTCACTCAGCTCCACTCAGACCCCCTTACAGATTGTCTTACTGTTGCTAGAAGTTGAGAAGCTAAAAACTACATTTCCTCAATTCCCTTATAGCTGGTGTTCCACACATGAACTCATTTTCTCTCTCAGTTTACATATCTCCTACTAGGCAATGGGGTGACAAAAAGGAGTAAGACACAGGCTCTGCCCTCAAGGAGCTCAGAAAATAGGAAGGAAAGCAGAGATATAGAGAAATAATTACAAAATAATAACAACTTTTATACGAGAGGTATTAACACATATAGAGTATTACCAGAACACGAAGAGAGATCATTATATCCTCTGCCTGGAGGCACGATCACAGAAGGCTTCGCAGAGAAGGTAATCTTTCAGTGGGAAAAAATTGAGAGTTTCCAGAGAACTGGTGAAAATGATTTCAGGAAGAAAATACAACTTAAGAGGATGCAACTTCTGAAACACGGCAAAATAGAGGAATCTTAAGTGACTCAGCAAAGCCACAGAACGCAGCACAGAAAGAGAAATAGCAGGACATGAGGATGAAAGAAGGTAGAGGTAAGCCCAGCAAGAGACCTATAAACCACGCCAAAGAACCTCCATTGTCAACTAGAGGGAAGGGAAAGCCACTGGAAGGCTTTAAACAAAGGGAGTAACAATCAGATTTGTGTTTCAGTAACATTATTCCAGGAGCAAGAATCCAGTTTGGAGACTGCTGCCTCAGTCCCAGCTTAAAATAATTAGCGACTGAATTGAGGTAGTGACACTGGAAACATAATGAAGTTATCACAAGGTATTTTCCAATTAAATGTATATATTACATTTAAATGTTTTTATCCTAATTCATATAAATGTAAAAAGGGCCCAAGATAAATCAGACAAGTAGAGAAATTCCATCCAATCAGCTAACAAAGAAAGTTCAAGATCACCAAGCTGGAACTTAGTGGAGATCTGGGAGAAAGAAAAAAAAAAAATGGAAGGAAAGTCAGTAACAGATAAACTATAATTGTTTGTGAAGCAAGGTTAGATACAGTGGAGGTAAAAAAAAAAAAAAAAAGAAGAGCCGCGCAAGTTGTTGAGGAATACAGAGGACCAGGTTCGTACAGAGAGGAAACAAAGACCTAGATACATTATTTACCAGCAGTAAAGTCCAGCATCTTATTTATAATATATAAGAAACATAATGGCTACCATTTATTAAACACCTACTATATGTCCAGGACTGAGCTAAGTGTTTCATACAAGCATCCCTAAATTTTACAGTAACACTATAAAAGTGTTAAAAATTATAATACTACTTGACACAAAAGTAAACTGAGGAACAAATAAGTTAAATAAGCTGCCTACAGACAACTGGCCTAGAGGTGTCTCCTCCTCTCTTCTCCTTTTTCTTTTCTTTTTTTTTTTGAGACAGAGTCTCGCTCTGTCACCCAGGTTGGAGTGCAGTGGCACAATCTCGGCTCACTGCAATCTCCGCCTCCCAGGTTCATGCCATTCTCCTGCCTCAGCCTCCCAAGTAGCTGGGACTACAGGTGCCCACCACCACGCCCAGCTAATTTTTGTATTTTTCGTAGAGATGGAGTTTCACCGTGTTAGCCAGGATGGTCTTGATCTCCTGACCTCATGATCCGCCCGCCTCGGCCTCCCAAAGTGCTGGGATTACAGGTGTCAGCCACCACGCCTCTCTTCTCCTTAAGCCAATTTGGCATCAAAGTGTTCACTTGTTCTTTACAGGATTTTGACACGCTGGCAATATTACATGCACATTTATATTTGTATTTATTTAAGCTCATTTATTTTTCTGTGTTATAAAACTAATACAAATTCACTAAAGATGGTTTGCAAATTCAGAAAAAGTATGCAAAAGAAAAAGAATACTATTTATTCACAGCCCCATGATGCAAAGACAATTACAGCCAGCATATATTCTCCTTTCCTGTGTTTAATCCATGGTATCCTCTTTAAACAACTTTTCATTGATGTGTAAGCCACATCAAATGACTGTATGGTTTAACATATTTTAACACGCTTATGTAACAAGCCCTTAGGCAAAGAAACATAACACCACCAGAATCCTAGAAGCTCCTCTTGAGCTCACTTGCAGTCACTAACCCTGCCAAAACAAACACTATCCTGACTTGCAGCAGCATAAATTAATTTTGTCTATTTTTATACTTTATATGAATGAAATCATGTACTCTTTTGTTCTGATTTCTTTCACTCAACAAACATTCATTCAGATTTTAAGAGTAGTTAAAGACTGTTCAACTCCACGCCTGTAATCCCCGCACTTCGGGAGGTCAAAGTGGGAGGACGGCTTGAGGCCAGAAGATTGAGACCAGCCTGGGCAATGCAATGGGACCTCATCTCTCTTAAAAAAAAAAAAAAAAAAAAAAAATTGTTCAAGTCATTACTATGTCATATCATGTTGTAATAAACATGCCAGAACTTATTTATATTTTCTTCTATTAATGTGCATTTGGGTAGTCCCCAGATTGAAGATAATACCAATAGTGCTGCCCTGACATGCTGGTAATTATATTTTGGGTATATACTTAGCAGTGGAATTGCTAAGGCATAGAATATACATATGTCCAGATTTAGTAAATAGTGCCAAATATTTTCTAAAGTGGTTATTACACTAGCCAGCAATTGTAAGAGTTCTGGTTGCTCCACATCCACGCCAACAAATGGTATTTCATGTCTTTTTCATTTGAGCAATTCTGGTAATTATGTAATGGTATCTCTTTGTGGTTTTAACGTGCACCTCGCCAGGACTAATGAAGTTGGACACCTTTCTGCATATTTTGGGCCATTTGAACACGTTCTTTTGTCAAGTGTCTGTTTGAGTCTTTTGCCATTCTTCTAATGGTTATCCATCTGTTTTATTCACTTATACAAGCTCTTTATATATTCTGGATACACATCCCTTATTAGATACATGAATTGTGAATACTTGCTATTACTCTGTATATTACATTTTCATTCTCTTAATGATGTCTTGTGATTAACAGATGTTCTTAATTTTAAATTAGTCCAATTCGTCAGTTTTTAACTATGATTAGTACTTTTTGTATCATATTTAAGAGATCTCCAGCCTGGCAACAAAGCAAGACTCCCATCTCCACAAAATAAAAAATAAAAAATTACGCAGGCATTGTGGCACGTGCCTCTAGTCCTAGCTATATGGGAGGCTGAGGTAGTAGAATTGCTTGAGCCCTGGAGGTTAAGGCTACTGTGAGCTGTGATCATGCCACTGCCTTCCAGTCTGGATGACAGGGATCCTCATTTCAAAAAAAAAAAAAAAGAAATCTTTGCCTGTTCCAAGATCAAAAAGATGTTCTAAGTTTTCCTTGACATGTAATATTTTTGCTGTAAGTAAAATCTTAAGACAGTATCACACTTCTACCCACTCAAATATTACATGCATACTATTAATGCACTTACCATAATATATTGATATTTACTTTTTTGTTGTTCTTTCCAACTAGACAGTGAGCTATTCAAGATCAGAGACACTATTTATTCATTGCTATAGCCTCAGAGTATGTGAAAAATCTCTATTGCTTGGATCTATATATAGGTGTAAGAAGTCTGCTTTTACTGTGCTGATTAAATGTTTGAAGATATATTTTCACAGGTCTCATTTGTGGTCAGGTGCGGTGGCTCACGCCTGTAATCCCAGCACTTTGGGAGGCTGAGGTGGGCAGATCACGAGGTCAGGAGTTCAAGACCAGCCTGCTCAACTGGTGAAACCCCGTCTCTACTAAAAACACAAAATTAGCCGGGTGTGGTGGCACACACCACTAATCCCAGCTACTCCGGAGCCTGAAGCAGGAGAATTGCTTGAACCCAGGAGGCAAAGGCTACAGTGAGCTGAGGTCACGCCAATGCACTCGAGTCTGGGCGACAGAACAAGACTCCATATAGGAAAAAAAAAAAGTCTCATATGTTGTATTCAGAGTGGGTAAATGTTATTTAAAAAAGATTTCATGTCACATTTTCAATTCCTGTTCATCTGTAGAATCTTCTAAATTGAGAGGATGTATTGAATGATTTGAAAGTCATCAACTAATCCAAGTATAGAACTGAAAATATAAATATGGTAAGAATTATGGCACTTAAGCAGACTACAACTACATTTAGAGGTAAATGAAACCAATTGAAAAATATCAATAAAAAATGCAGGCTAAGCCAGCACAGTGGCTCATACCTGTAATCCTACTAGTTTGGGAGCCTGAGGCAGGAGGATCACTTCAGGCCAGGAGTTCGAGACTGGCCTGGGCAATATGGCAAGATCTCATCTCTACAAACAATTAAAAAATCCATTTAATTGTTTAAATCTTATATTTAATATTTTAAAAATTAAGTAATTTTTTTTGTGGTGGCATGTGCCTATAGTCTTAGCTACTCCAGAGGCTGATGAGGGAGGACCACTTAAGCACAGGAGTTTGAAGCTGCAGTTAGCTATAATCGTGCACTCCAGCCTGGAGGACTCAGGGGGAAAGGGTGGGAAGGAGGTGAGGGATAAAAGACCACAAATTGGGTTCAGTATATGCTGCTCGGGAGATGAGTGCACCAAAATCTCACAAATCACCACTAAAGAACTTACTCATGTAACCAAATACCACCTGTTCCCCAAAAACCTATGGAAATAAAAAGTTAAAAAATAAAAATAAAAAAAAGAAAAGAAAAATGTAGGCCACAAAACAATGATTCTATTTCATAAAATGGACCTAAACTGTGCTTCTGTCCAAATGGATGGGCTAGCTCAAGATAGGAGACTTAAAATGTATGAAACCTAAAAGTTTGTTTCAGAAGATAAATGAAATTCACATGCTCAGAAATGAATGTGATAAAAGGATTTTCTGTAAGAGCTTCTCCTAATGAGAATCATGAAAGAGAAAGTAAAATGAAAGGCTCATTTGGACCACAGAAGCAACATTTAATTTGGGGGGCAGTCTACCAAGATCATAGTTTAACCAGAAACATTAATGAAGAAAATAGATTTCTTTTAACTTCATATAATGGAGAAAGAAAAAAGAGGTTAGGCAAAACTTACCCCCGAAATGATTACTACTGCCACTTTTTATATTCATAGTGGCACACTGCTAATTAATTTAGAGTGTATAACAGCAGAAATAGATTAAACCTCAAAACCACGTCATTGGTTCCCAGCATAAAATTTAACATGAAATCTCATTAATGTAAAGTGTGTTACACAGCTCAAAGGTTAGCTTATTAAGCACTAATAATATTTTTCAAATCCTGTAACAACAGACACCATCACCAAACAAGTTCACAAGAACATGGATAGTGCCATGTGTCAAGTGTGACTCACAGGAAGAATTATTGTTGGTCAACGACTATGACAAATTATCTACCTGGGAGTAACTTTCTCCCATGTCTGGCAATAAGGGTTAATTTCTGAGAAATCTATTGGCCTACTGTAAACTGAGCTGTTGGCACATATAAACTAGGCAAGGATTACAAATAGTTTAGGTTGAGCTCAACAGCTACCACTCTCCTCCAACATAGCCTTAAATAACCCAAAGTACTTCCCTCCACCTAACCCTTACTTATAGCAAATTTCATCTGAACTCAAAATACTAAGCATGCAATCCTTATTACTGGTTATACTACTTTTAGAAATACCTGTCAGAACAAGCAATAGAAAAATACTCTATGGAGTAAATCACTCTAAAGTCTGACTCTGCTTCATCTCATCTGCCAATTAGCAGGCAAGGCTACAGCTTAGCTGCTCTCATGTTTAGGGACCATGGACTCCTGTACATGTCTCATGGAAGCTGAGCCCTTTCCCCAGAAAATTTAACAAACATGCATGTGCACTCACATGAATACAAACACACACATACACACACACACACACACACACACACACACACACACATCAAATTAGGTATACTGGCCAGGTGCAGTGGCTCACGCCTGTAATCCCAACACTTTGGGAGGCTGAAGCAGGAGGGTCACTTGAGGCCAGGAGTTCGAGACCAGCCTGGGTAAAATATTGAGACCCCGTATCTAAAATAAATAAAATAAAAATTACCCAGGGATAGTGGCATGCGCCTGTAGTCCTAGCTACTTGGGGGGCTGAGGCAGAAGGATCACTTAAGCCCCGGAGTTCAATGATGCAGTGAGTTGTAACTGCACCACACTGCACTCCAGCATTGGTGACACAGCCAAACCCTGTCTCTAAAAAATTTTTTAAAAATCAATATTAAGCATACTATTTCAGGGGATTTAGAGGCCAAACCCTTCTTGGATGTCCTAGAATTCTTAGATCCAGATTATGAAACCTACATTCTGGAAAAAATAGAGGTGTATAAGGTATATTTTTTTTTCCATGCCCAATTTTTAAAATTACTTTTGATAAATGACTTTGGGTTCTAGATGAACCCACAAAGTAAGTTTACTGAACACATAATTTGGCATGCCTACTATGTTTAAGACCCAGCGCTAGGCAACAGGATTACTATGACAATTAAGGTATGACCCCTATTCCTAAGAAACTCATGGTACAGTAGGGAAGAAGGGAAAATAAGGCAATTTGCCTTATTTCACCAATGAACTGAGAAATTATCAAATAGGGTCCCATTCAACTATTCCTCCCCATTTCACAGCAGAACTTACCCCACTCATCACATCCATATCTTACTTTCCTCATTTACTCATTCATTCTTCCACAAATATTTATGACACCAACTTGTGACAGGCATTGTTGTAAATTCCGGAAATACAAAACTGACCAAAATATGAATAGTCTCTGCTACAAAGAACTTACAATCCAGTAAAAGACAAGCAAAAATAAATACAAAGCATGTCAGAAAAGCATGTCAGAAAAGCATATCAGATAAGTTTTATACATATTGATATGGGCTAGAAAGAAAAATAAAGCGGTGTGGCTGGGTGAGAACACCATAATAACACAGAGAAAGAGCAGGGAAGATCTCCATGAAGTGACATTTGAGCAGACACCTGATGGAAGTGAGAGGATAAGTCATATGGATACAGATATTTGGGAAGAACATTCCAGGTAAAATACAGCAAGTAGAAGGATCCAGAGGCAACAGCTTGCTGGGAATGCTTAAAGAATGGCAAAAAGGAAAAAAAAAAAAGCCAATATGACTAGAGTCAGCTAAGCAAAATGAATGTGTATATTGGGGGCAGGGAAGAGGTGGAAGGAAAATAAAGTCCAACATTAAAGCTTAACAGTGGAGAAAAGAGACCATGGGTGTCCTTGTAGATGACTATAAAGCCTTAGTTTCTACTCTGAGTGAAAGGTTTTGAGAAATGTGTCATGATCTGATGTATTCTGAAAGAATCACTCTGGCTATATTGTTGACCATTGACTATAGCAAAAGCAGAAGCACGGAGACAAACAGGACACTACTTTATGACTCTAGGGGAGATATGATGATAATCTGACCTGGGTGGTAGCAGTGGTGATAGTAAAATGGAGCCCAATTCTGAGTCCACTGTGAAAGGTGGGTCAGCACGATGTCCCAAAGAGGAGGAGAAGAATCAAGGATGACAGCAAAAGATTTATGGTACGAACACCTACAAAGAGTTCTATTTCGTGACATGGGAAAAACTGCAGAAAGAAGGTCATTGTTTGGCAAGATGTGGTAGGTGGGGAGAGGAAGAGGGCTGAAATCAGTAGTTCAATTTTAACATATTGAGATTGGGTTGTCTATAAGAAATTAACTATAGATGTTAGGTTGGCAGCTGTACATTCAAGTCCGGAACTCAGAAGAGAGGTCAGGGCTAGAGCTATTAAGCAGGGAATCATCAGCACAAAGTCGATTATTTCAAGTCAGGATAATGTATGAATGCATCTAAGGAATGAGTGTAGACAGAGATGATGTTTAAAGACTATGACCTAGGGTATCTAACATTTAGCTGGGGAGATGAGGACAAACCAGCAAAGACAGTGAGATGCAGTGGCCAGTGAGGTCTGAGAAAAACAAGACGACCGAGATGTCCCTGAAACAAGTATGTCAAATGTTACTTATAGGTCAAATAAAACAAAGACTGAGATTTGACCCACGAACTTCGCAACAAGAGGTCACTGGTGGTGACCGAGGCACAAGCTGTTCTGGTAAAATGGTGACGAAAGAAGGCCCCATGGAGAGTAGATGAAAGATAATGAGAGAAAACAAAAAGATGTTACCAATACTAAGTATAAACTAAAGAAATGTAGGGAACATCTATCAGAGTGGTACATTTTAGACCCTACAGGGCTAAATAATATTATGGTATTTCCTTAAAAGTAAAAGGAGACTGGCCAGGCACAGTGGCTCACACCTGTAATTCCAGTGCTTTAGGAGGCCGAAGTGGGCAGATCACTTGAGGCCAAGAGTTCAAGACTAATCTGGCCAACATGGCAAAACCCTGTCTCTATTAAAAATATAAAAATTAACCGGGTATGGTGGCACACACCTTTAATCCCAGCTACTAAGAGAGCTGATGCTTGAGAATTGCTTGAACCCAGGAGGCGGAGGTTGCAGTAAGCCAAGATAGTGCCAATGAACTCCTGCCTGGGCAACAGAGCGAGACACTATCTCTAATAAATAAATAAATGAATAAATAAATAAATAAATAAATAAAGTAAAAGAAAACTGTTAACACCCATAGATTACACTGTAACTAAGATAGAAAACTTGAATGTCTTATTTTTTGGAAAATGTCTTTTGCAAATGAATTTAAATAGCAATTAATAACTCAATAACAATAGATAAAAAACAAAAATGTATTGCTTATTACAAACACAGTTATTTTAAAATATAAAAAATATATCAGAAATGCACGGGCCTTATGAAGAAACAGCGGGATAGAAGAAAGAATAAAATTCTAACAGTGGTGCTAAAAGAGGAAGCGACTAGTATAAACCTTTGTGAAGAATGGAAATCTATGATGTAGATTTGCCAATCTAATCAATATCATGATTCACACTCCTGCATATCAAGCTATCAAATAAGTAAAGATATTATCCCAGAAGCATGACAATGAGCAAAGTATTTCCTTCTTTGGTCAGACCTATATGCTCACTAAAATGCAGAAATGGATGTTCTGAATTGTGTTGGCACTGTGTTACCATCCAGATCACTGATGTCATGATCACTGTAAACTGAATCTTCCACAGAGAACACTTATCAGGCAATACTGTCCAAAAAACAACTGAACAAAAATTAATGAGGACATACCATGCTTCCAGTGATGTGCTGGTATCAACAGTAAACAAAACAAAGTGAGCATTTACACAAAGTTATAAAAATAAACCACAAGAAAATAGGAAATTACCTATCCCAGGAGCCCATTTCTACCATTTTATTGCAGAGCAACACTAGCATGAATATACAAAGATGTGTACGTAGAATGCACAGTGCAGTTTAGTCTAAAATAGAGAAAAGTTGGACACAATCTAAATGTACAAAAGCAAAGGAAACAATACATAAATCACACAATAAATAAATAAAATAAATAAATCAAAAAAATAAATAAATCAAACAATAAATCATGGTACATGCATCCAATGAATACCATGATGCCATTATGTAAATGGTCTATATGGAATCACAAGGGCAGATTCAATGACACATACCAGTATTACATGAAACAGTAAGCTGCAAAATAATATATGCAGTATGAATTCATTTTAGTTTACAAAACAAAATAATAAACCTCCAGGAGACAGAGGAGAAGCTATACAGAAAATCTGTCTGTACTTAGGAATATGGAAGGAAACATATGAAGTTAGAAATGTTTATATCTAAGCAGTGGGATTCATGGGGCTCAGAAAGATCAGAGAATAGAAAGATCAGAGGGAGGAAAAAGAGAGAACTTTGTCTTTCACATATATTAATGTATTGTTTATTAAATTATTTTTATATTTTAAAAAAGCAGAAAGTATAAAGTTATACATATATCCATGTATCTATTTTATCATAGATGTTTCACATCTAATTTCTTTTACTTTCAAGAAATATAGTGTGCCGGATAATGTCAATATCCCTTATTTCCCTATAAATGAATTATTAAAATTAAAGCTTGCATTATTTCTGTAACTAAAGAAAACATTATAAACTCCAGTCAACATGGGATGGTAAACTCCTGTTTGAGTACACTAACTGTGCTCTAAATACTGAGCACAGAAAAAAAAAAAATCAAAGGACACCCAAGTTCAATAGAGTTCAACATTTTGGGGCTCAGAATTCAGATATCAAGAGTGGCTATCAGGTTCTCCTTTCCAGAGAAGAACCATGAATCAAAAGCATACCCTGCAAAGAAAAAACTTCATCCAGATTTACTGTCCAGGCTATGCATTTACACAAGATGTGGGCCTAAGGAGGAAGAGCACATGAACAAGGCTGAAAGGAACTAGGACAATCCCTTCACTGGCTCCATGTATGCATTCTCATATTCTCAACCTTACAAAGGGGAAACAACGTCATATGAAAAACTATCAGTGGACATATTCTGGAGTGAAGTGCCACAGGACTGAGCAGAGAGAAACCACAATACTACAGAATCATTAGATGAGGAAGGTGGGACAGAATGATGTTTCATCACTCAAAATTAGCTTGCAAACCAAAATTCCAGAGCACATGGGGAAAAATTAATAAAGCAATAATTGTAACAAAAATTCAGCCCAAATAAAATTATTTCATTTAAAACTTCAAAATAATTCATTTGCCATCTTTGTGTGTACTAAATGTGAAATTTAAAATCTACTAAGAAAGAATAAGTATCATAAGATAAAGAAAACAAAACAAACATTATTCTATTAATTTTTATTGTGATATGAGGTAAAGTTCTAATTTCACCTTTTTACAGATGGATATACCTCAAGTCTATACTTATTTCAAAAAAGGGACAACTTATTCTTACTTAAATAAGTAAATAAATAAATGTAAGCACTAAAAACTATAAAACTTTCAGAAAAAAAGCACAGGAGTAAATTTTTGCAATCTTGGGTTAGGCACAGATTTCTTAGATATAACAACAAAAGTATAATACATAAAAGAAAATATTAATAAACAAAACTTCAGGAACATTAAACATTTTTTGTACCTCAAAAGCCAGCATTAAGAAAACAAAAAGTCAAATATACACTGAGAGAAAAAATACTTTAAAATCATAAATCTGAAAAAAAAAAAAAACACTTGACTGCAAGATGTTAAAAAACAAAACAAAATAAAAAACCTCTTACAGCTCAATAAGACAAATAACCAAGTTAAAACATGGGTAAAATATTTGAATACCATTACATTAAGAAAGTATAAGAATAGCCAGCCAATAAGCACATGAAAAAAAAAGAGTTCATCATCATTAGTTACTTGGGATATAAATATCAAACAAATATCATAATGAGATAGCACATATATAGGAATGGCTTTAATAAAAAAAATTCTATCAAAAAGCCAGTTAAAAATAGACTGCTAGCTGAAAGAATAAGAAAAAGAGAGAAGAATCAAATAGACACAATAAAAAATGATAAAGGGGATATCACCACTAACCCCACAGAAATACAAACTACTATCAGAGAATACTATAAACACCTCTCACAAATAAACAAGAAAATCTAGAAGAAATGGATAATTTCCTGGACACATACATACATAATCCCAAAACTAAACCAAGAAAAAGGTGAATCCCGGAAATAGACCAATAATGAGTTCTGAAATTGAGGCAGTAATTAATAGGCTACCAACCAAAAAAAGCCCAGGACCAGATGGATTCACAGCCAAATTCTACCACAGGCACAAAGAGGAGCTGGGACCATTACGTCTGAAACTATTCCAAACAACTGAAAAGGAGGGACTCCTCCCTAACTCATTTTATGAAGCCAGCAGCATCCTGATACTAAAACTGTGCAGAGACACAACAAACAAAGAAAACTTCAGGCCAATATCGCTGATGAACATCAACGCGAAAATCCTCAATAAAACACTGGCAAACCGAATCCAGTACCACATCAAAAAACTTACCCACCACGATCAAGTTGGCTTCATCCCTGGGATGCAAGGCTGGTTCAAAATACAAAATCAATAAATGTAATCCATCACATAAACAGAACCAATGACAAAAACCACATGATTATCTCAACAGATGCAGAAAAGGCCTTTGATAAAATTCAACATCCCTTCATGTTAAAAATTTTCAATAAATTATTAATGGAACATATCTCAAAATCATAAGAGCTATTAATGACAAACCCAAAGCCAATATCACATTAAATGGGCAAAAACTGGAAGCATTCTCTTTGAAAACTGGTACAAGACAAGGATGCCCTCTCTCACCGCTCCTATTCAACATAGTACTGGCAGTTCTGACCAGGGCAACCAGGCAAGAGAAAGAAATAAAGGGTATTCAAATAGGAAGACAGGAAGTCAAATTGTCTCTGTTTGCAGACGACCTGATTTTGTATTTAGAAAACCCCATTATCTCAGCCCCAAAACTCCTTAAGCTGATAAGCAACTTCAGCGAAGACTCAGGATACAAAATCAATATGTAAAAACCACAAGCATTCCTTTATGCCTACAACAGATAGAGAGCCAAATCATGAATAAACTTCCATTCATAATTGCTACAAAGAGAATAAAATACCTAGGATACAGTTAACAAGGGATGTGAAGGACCTCTCAAGGAGAACTACAAACCACTGCTCAAGGAAATAAGAGAGGACACAAACAAATGGAAAACTATTTCCATGCTCATGGATAGGAAGAATCAATGTATCGTGAAAGTGGCCATAGTGCCCAAAGTAATTTATAGATTTAATGCTATTCCCATCAAACTACCACTGACATTCTTCACAGAATTAGAAAAAACTACTTTAAATTTCATATGGAATCAAAGGAGACCCCATCTAGCCAACACAATCCTAAGCAAAAAGAATCAAGCTAGAGGCATCATGCTACCTGACTTCAAACTATACTACAAGGCTACAGTGACCAAAACAGCATGGTCCTGGTACCAAAACAGACATATAGACCAAAGGAACAGAACAGAGACCTCACAAATACCACCATGCATCTACAACCATCTGATCTTTGACAAACCTGACAGAAAGAAGAAATGGGGAAAGGATTTCCTATTCAATAAATGGTGGCGGGAGAACTGGCTAGCCATATGAGGAAAACTGAAACTGAACCCCTTCCTTACACTTTATACAAAAAATTAAGTCAAGATGGATTAAAGACTTAAATGTAAAACCCAAAACCATAAAAACCCTAGAAGAAAACCTAGGCAATACCATTCAGGACATCGGCAAGGGCAAAGACTTCATGACAAAAACGCCAAAGCAATTGCAACAAAAGCCAAAATTGACAAATTGGATCTAATTAAACTAAAGAGCTTCTGCACAGCAAAAGAAACTAGCATTAGAGTGAACAGGCAACCTACAGAATGGGAGAAAATTTTTGTAATCTACCCATCTGACAAAGATCCAATATCCAGAATTTACAAGAAACTTAAACAAATTTACAACAAAAAAAACAACCCCATCAAAAAGTGGGCAAAGGGTATGAACAAACACTTCTCAAAAGACATTTACACCTCCAAGAAACACATGAAAAAAAGCTTAACATCACTGGTCATTAGAGAAATGCAAATCAAAACCATAATGAGATACCATCTCACGCCAGTTAGAATAGCGATTATTTTAAAAGTCAAGAAACAATAGATGCTGGCAAGGCTGTGAAGAAATAGGAATGCTTTTACACTGTTGGTGGGAATGTAAATTAGTTCGATGATTGTGGAAGACAGTATGGCAATTTCTCAAGGATCTAGAACCAGAAATGCCATTTGACCTAGTAATCTCATTACTCAGTATATACTCAAAGGAATGTAAATCATTCTTCTATAAGGACACATACACACATATGCTTATTGCAGCACTATTTACAAAAGCAAAGCCATGGAACCAACCCAATGTCCATCAAGGACAGACTGGATAAAGAAAATGTGGTACATATATACCATGGAATACTATGCAGCCATAAAAAGGTATGCAATCATGACCTTTGCAGGGACATAGATGAAGCTAGAAGCCATTATCCTCAGCAAACTAACACATGAACAGAAAACAAAACACCACATGTTCTCACTCATAAGTGAGAGATGAACTATGAGAACACATGGACCCAGGGAGGGGAACAACACATACCAGGGCCTGTTGAGGGGTTGCGGGAGAGGAGAGGAAACTTAGATGACAGGTCAATAGGTGCAGCAAGCCACCATGGCACACATATACCTATGTAACAAACCTGCACATTCTGCACATGTATCCCAGGACTTAAAGTAAAATAAATTTTTAAAAAAGTCAGTTAATAACACACATTAGCAAGGATGTAGAAAACCTGGAACCTTAACATATTCCTTGTGGAAATGTAAAACATGTGCAGACACTTTGGAAAACAAAAAGTTTGGCAGTTTCTTCAGATGTTAGACATAATATAACAAACAATGCAGAAATTCTACATCTAGAGAAATCAAAACATATTTCCATACAAAGACTTTTACATCAATGTTCAGAGCAGCATTATTCAAAATAGCTAAGAAATGGAAACAACCCAAATGTCCACCAACTGGTGAATGGAAGAAGTAAATGCTGGCCAAGATACTGTAATATAACTGACATTCTGCTCACTTTTATTTAAATATTTCTAAACAATAATTTTACAAATTCAAACTAGCTCTATACTTAGCCCATGCTCAAGTTTTAAACATTAATCAGTCCAGTCGTATAAATCTGTAGCCACTTAAAATGCTCATAACAAGCTTTCCCACAGTGCAAATGATTTTTTAATGGGAACCTTGTATACAATCCATTTCTAACTCTAATTAGATTTATCTAGAGAAAACACCATTGGTTAAGTGATATACCTAATACTAGCTAAACAAAATGTTAATATACTCTAAGTGGTAGAATACTGTTCCATCTAAAAAGCATAATGACCAACATTAATAAGAAATTGGAAATCTGTAATTTTGGTAGTTATTCACAAATTATGCATTTTGTTCTATTTATAGACAAACATCCTGTTCACAGGGACAACAGCAATATCTTCAAACTTGTCGGCTCCATTTGTACTAACATAAATGCTACTGCATAACAATTACATCTTTATTTTGCTTGGATATATAAATAAAAATCATTATTTTCACAAGTGAAGTAATGAAAGTCTTAAGTATTAAAGTAGATTACACATAAAGTCATCTCTCATTTATGAGCTATAATTTAATGTGGTTATTATATCTACTGTTAATGTGTAACACACGGCATCTTATAGCTAAGCACTATATTTTAACCTAATGATAGTAGCTATAACATTCTGAAATGTGCCTCATAAATCAAAGCCGTAATGCGTGCATTGCAGGTTTGGACTAGCACTTCATGAGATCTAGATCTATTACAATTTGCTGAAAGGGGACAAAGGCAGACAGGAAAGCTTTTAAGAGGCTTAAAAAGAAAAGCAAAAGACAATCATTTTGGAAGAACTCCTTTTCCTTGCTAAGTGGAACTTGTAGAGGACTACCAGTGGTCTCCTTCATTTACTGACGGGATTTAATAGAGTAACATGTGCCCACTTGCAGTAACACAGCATGGCCCACTGCAAAGAAGCCACCAAGAGGCCAGGCTGACATTTTATAATTCACTGTAGAAGCAGAAAATAGAAGTCCCCAAAGTCACAAAAGGCTTTTCACAGATTTTGGAAAGAACAAGCGGGTTCCAAATAATTCATAAAGCTGAGCTTAGCAAACACATTGCAATTCCATGCTCAACAGAAAAATGATACACTCCTCACACTGGCCAAAACATCACAGCACCTCAGTAGCACCACATGATGACTGAAAATCCACTTCCTAATTCATTTTAGGAAAAAAAAAAAAAATCCACTTCCTAATTTATTTTTACCACTGACTGATCATTATGCAGTTGGTGTTTCCAACTGAGCTTTATGAAAAGTTAACTAGGCATTCACTAATTGAGAAGCACAATAAGAGCACACAGAGATGGCATACCTCCAGTGACCGGACAATACCACGTCACACCGTAAAGTGCTAAAACGGAACAGTGAGAGAGAATGCTTAGGGAATATAGAGAACGGGGCAATTAAAGGACTCAAGGAAAACTTCACAAAGAAAATACTTCATATGGAAGGGATAAGAGCACAAGACAAGCACAAGAGCACAAGATAAGAAGTGTCCTCCAAACAGAGAGAAAACTCTATAAAATAACACTAAAGGCACCAAAGTGCCTGCACAGAAAATGGTGATATGTTCCCCACCACTGGAACATAACAGATGTTTGAAAGGCATGAAAAGGGATGATGCTGGAGGCAGGCAGAGTAGGAGATGTGACTGGACAAGTTGTGGAGGGATCAGAGGTTCAAAAGGAACAAAACTTCAGATAAAGATCTCATGAAAACTAGGTCTTCAATTGGACCTTGAAAGACAACTCCTCCTAATACATGGAACATTTAGTGACCCATTAGCTAGTATAAGAACTGTTCTGAATCCCACAGAGAGAACAGCAAAGAAATGTAATGTGTTTTCACATCCAATGAGGGAAAACAATAGTTGCTAGTCAGTACAACTACAAATCAAAACATGCCAAAGGACAAAGTGTATCCATATCACTCTAGGACCCTAGAAAATGCTATGGCTGCCATCTGAAGGGAGTGAGTGCAACAACAACAAAAGAAGTCTACTGCCTGCAGTGCTGGTGGCTGAATGCCATCCTCCACTGAATGGTGCATCTTCTAGACCTCTGATGTCCAATCTGGTAGACAGTAGCCTCATGTGGTTATTTAAATTTAAATTAAATAAAATTAAATACAATTTAAGGTTGGATGCAGTGGTTCACGCCTGTATTCCCAGCACTTTGGGAGGCCAAAGCTGGTGGATCACTTGAGGCCAGGAGTTCAAGACCGGCCTGGCCAACAGAGTGAAACCTCATCTCAAAAATAAATAAATTAATTAAATACATTTAATTTAAAATGTGATCCCTTAAGTGCACTAGTGATATTTCAAGTGCTCAATAGCTCTGTGTGATCAGTGGCTACAATGATGAACAGTGCAGGTATGACATATTTCCTTCACTGAAGAAAGTTCTATTGGCAGTGCTGTCCTAGAGTCATCACTGCAGGAGGAAGAGGCGAAAATTCCATAGGGGCAAAAAGTAACATTACAACCCTCTTTGAGATAATCAGATTACTTAGTATTGAACTGGGAATACACACGCATATTAGATCCATGTTCACCAAATTAAATTTTAATATTAAAAAAAGAGTTGTGAGAATGGGGTAGTTGCATATATTCTACTCTGGGCAAAAGCTAAGTATCTTTGCCCTAATTCCACCAATAGACTCCACAACTGAAGCTTTGTACCAGAGTTCTAAAAGTAACAGTAGAGTACACAAATACTAATGACTTTGTCAAGATGGATACAGCAAAAAAAAAAGTTAGTGCAGTTCACTTACCACAATAGGTGTCTCCCAAAATAGTCACAAGAAAAATAAAGGATATTTTACACTGTGAAAGTGAAGCTTACCATTTGATGGAATCTCATGAAAAACCAATCTATATAGAGAATCATCACGTCTTAATTTGTCTAGCTGGGATGTCAGAAACCGGGCCACTGTCTTTGATCTAAAAAATGCTAATTCTACGTTTCTAGAAACAGTCATGAAAAGTTAAATTCCCTGGAGCAAACACTGACCAAAAGAAGACAGGTTTCAGGGAGCATACTCTTCCTCCTTTGTCTCCCAGGATGGAAGATTCTGAAACACATATAGACTTAATTGGTTCGGACAATTTTATTCATAAGAATCTCAATGAGGAAAAGGAACACAACAAAAATCCAACACAAAATAAGCAAGAGAATCGAACAAGTACCTCAAAAAGAGGATCTCTCCTGAGCTATCTCCATCTCATTAGTAATCAGAAAAATATAAATCAATTAATTAGGTATCATTAAACACTTAGGATAACAGGCAAAGTTTAGGAAACCAACAATAGCAATGTCCTGGATTGGAGTAACTAGCAATCCTGTACACTACTGTTCAAAGTCTCATTGGTAAAACAAAACAAAAGCATTTGGCATTATCTATTTAGGTTGAATTATATACATATCTCACAATGCACATTTCCAGTGCTACATATATGCCTGAGAGAACTGTTTGCCCATGTACACTAGAGACATGTACAAACGATGACAGTCACATTATTTTTAGTCACCAAAATTGAAAACAAACCAAGGTCAATCAGTGTTCATATGAATAAACTGTACTATGCACACCGAAATTGATTTCTACATGGCAATAAAAATGAATAAACTACAGCTACATATAACAGCATGAATGGATCTCACAAACATAACACTAAGTATAACTATTTCTATAAAATACAAAAACAGGTAAAACTAAACTATCATATTGAGGGTATGTATGGTACGTATCGACATTATTTAAAACAAAAACAAAAGTCACAAAGATCTGGTTATCAGGATTAGTCAGGACAGTGGTGATCTCTGGAAAGGGAGAGAAAAGTTAGGAATGAAATACGGAAGGCCAGGCATGGTGGCTCACACCTGTAATCCACGCACTTTGGAAGGCTGAAGAGGGTGGATCACTTAAGGTCAGGAGTTCGAGACGAGCCTGGCCAACATGGTGAGACCCCATCTCAACCAAAAATTCAAAAAATTAGCCTGGTGTGGTGGCGCTCACCTGTAATCCCAGCTACTTGGGAAGCTGAGGCAGGGGAATTGCTTGAACCTGGGAGGTGGAGGTTGCAGTGAGTGGAGATCACACCACTGCACTCTAGCCTGGCAAAAGAGTGAGACTCCATAGAAAAAAAAGGAAGTTTAATAAGGAGAGGGTCTGGGGGATTTGGAAGGTGGTTAGGTACTGCTTCTTTACCTGTAGTTTCATGGGTGTTGTCTTTATGATAATTTATTGAGCTGGACATTTTTTGGTATACTTATCTATATGAATGTTATATTTCACACACACACACAAAAGCTGAAAAGAAAAGTGGTCTGCATGCACACACACACACACACACACACACACACACACAAAACCCCTCTCATCCACAAGGTTAGGTAATCCCACTTTATTCCACTCTCAGCCACCTTTCAAACTCCGCTCCCTCATTTTAACTTACCTCTTGTACTGCTTTACTAGTTAATGGTGAAGCACTGATATTTTCCCCTCCTTCATGATGGATCTGGAAATTCACTCTTTGATAAAGAATCTAAAACAAGAATAGGCTATATTGTAAAGGAGTTACGTTTTTAAATTTGCTTCTCATCACAATATAGGCTTGAAATTTAAAAAGTACTTTTAAAAAGAAAATTACCTTTTCATAATGATTAGTTTTGGTAACAGGCTTACTTCAGGACTTCACAAACAGTTTCAAAAGGATGCAATGGTTTCAGAAGTGGGGATCAAGTGTGAAAAAAATGATATACAATGTAATGAATTGTTACAGGCAGTGTATGTGTTCAGGTCTGGAACAGCCTCAATTCTTGCCTCCAAAGAAGAAAAAATTTGACTGGGGGGCATATGCAGAAAAAGAGACCGAGGCGAGTTTTAGAGCAAGAGTGAAAGTTTATTAAAAAGCTTTAGAGCAGGAATGAAAGGAAGGAAGATACACCTGGAAGAGGCCCAAGGGAGGGATTTGAAGGACAAGTGCGGGTTTTGACCTTTGGCTTAGAGCTTTACATCCTGGCACGTTGCCAGGTTCTTGTGCCCCTTCTCTCCTGATTCTTCCCTTGGGGTGGGTTGTGCACACGTGCAATGGCCTGCTGGTGATGGGAGGGGAGCGTGCGCAGTGTGTTTACAGGAGTCGTATGCATGTTCAGCTGCAGCGTTCTTCCCTTTTCCGGTGGAATGCCCTCACAGGTCATACGCCAGTGAAACTCCACCATTTTGCCTCTTAGTGAACATGCTTGAGCTCACTGGCCAACACCTGAGATCTTATCAGGAAGCTGCTGATCACCAGTTTCAGGGGTTTTTTTCTATCTATAGGGAAACTGTCTTTCCCTGGTGCTGGCTGCAACCAATTATTATCTTAGAGAGGCAGTGTGACAACTGCCTGACCCATCTGATGGTCGCCTGACTTTCCTGGTGGGGTGTGGGGGCCCTCTCCCGTCTTGCTCATGTCTGCCTGACTAGCTACCAACTGTAAGAGAATGACTATGGGATGAAAATGTGAATTCTAGACTCTCCTCATACATTTAACAGTGTTTCTCCACAGGGGCACTATCCTCTCCTATGCAGATCTATTCTGTGAATTTTAGGAAATTTAGCATCCCCCCCAACCAAAGCCCACCTCAATCCCCAATTTCCAAAGGATCCCTAAGGGAATGGTTGCTCCACTGGCTTTAACCCATATGATTTCAGACATATTTTACATGACCATTTAGCATATGTTTAATTCACAACACTAACTTTCCCCATTATTTTCAATAATTTCTTTCCAAATATTACTTTCTTTCTTTCTCAAGGCTGTCTTGTATCCTTTCTTCCTTGCTGTTATAAAGCCAGCAACATTATGTTATATCCTAATATTTTCATGTCCCTTTTCCATAAGTGACAATCTAGTTTTCTTCCATAAATTAAAATTCTCATACTACTTTTTTAAGTGACCACATACCTCAGATACACACACCCAACAACATGGACGTCATACAGGTTAGGATTTCCTTTATCGAAGGACTTACTTCTGTCTGCAGAGAGCTGCTAGCTGCCAAAAGAAGTTCAATGCTGCTAGGAGGGCAATGTGTCAAAGCAAAAGCCATGAGCTCTTGACGAGTGGCCAAGTCCTGGTAACCTTCTGATTGTCCTAACTGGCTACAAACATCCCAACTTTTAGGATAACCTGCAAAATTGGCAAGGAAAAAAATGATTCCCAAAAGAAGAAGAATATTCAATCTAAGATGACAAATGCAATGGCTTCCTGCTCAGGTCTTGTGGTACCAAAGCAAAATCATAGTCATTAGTGACACATTATTTTATAAGCAGAAACAGATAAGAATCTAAGCTAGGAAAGATTAGGGTGGTTTATTATCCAGAAAGTTCAATGCTACTCTAAACAAGTGTTTCTGACAAACTCTGTTAAATTTTAGATTAACTGACAATAAATGCAAATGATCTACTGAGATTTGGTGTTCTGTGAAAAGGCAGCCATCTGAATTCCGAAGATCTGAGGGCCTGCTGCAACCCTGCTACTTAGCACTCCTGTGAGAGCTTTAAGAAAGAGCCAAAAGTCTCACAATTCTTTTCCTACAAGGACAATAATAACACCTTCCTCTTGGGTTGTTGAAGGAATTAAGTAACATTTGTATTTAAAAGCACATGTAAACTGCAAAGTGCTAGAAAAAGAGATATTATGATAGATCTCCATACAGAATCACTCACTTTATAGATAAGACAGACATCTAAGGACAGTGACCGAATCACCCCCCAACTCCCAGCAGGGATCTTTTTCCTATACATTATACTCTGAATTCTTAAAATACATTTTTATTCTTATTTGAAGGAATTCCAGCCTTAGGCCTATTTGTCTAAGTACAAAACTTGTAGTACAGAATAATTTTTTTCTAAATATGTGAAGTAAAAATTAATTCAGCTATTACCCTTACCAGAATAAAATCATTATAAAGCTCTCCATATGAACAATTTAGATCAGTACATTTTCACAGACAGCCATAGTTATTCTAAATTTAATGTTGCAAAATCACTCGGTTAATATTATGGAACACAGCTCATTTATGAAAACAATTTGCTAATGCTGAAGTTGTAATATATTGAATCATTTTTGAAGAGTTTTAAATGTTTTCACAGATGTAAAGCCAAAGATCCTCTCTGTGACCAAAGTTAAATCAGACAACCCTGAGCCCTCTTCTCAGCTAGGCCTTAACCTTGGCCCCCAGCCTTGCTAGGCTGCATACTCCAGTTTTAGCAAAAATCCTACTAAGTCAGTTTAGCCAGAATCCTCAAATTCTCAAGGACTGATCAAATTACTTATCCCTCAGCGGTGATATCTGATCATCCTGGCCAGCCTTCAGCAAGGTCCTATTAAATCATTTTAGCAAGGATCCCCTGCCCTTGATGTCTCTTAATTTTCCACCCACTGACCCTTCAGTTAGCCTGCTGGCTACAAATGTCCAGCTATCCTTGCTGTATTCAGAGTTGAGTCCAATCTCTCTCCCCTATTGCAGTGGTCTTCATACACATCACAATAGTCCTTGTTGTTATTAACAAGTGTCAGAATAATGTTTTCTTTAACAGTACACATGTGAAAGTTGCACAAATCATTAGTGCAGAGCTCCATGAGTCACCATGAAGTGAAGCCCTGCATTTTAACCACTCCCTAATTAATGCTTTGATAGTGGGTAGAAAGATGTGTTTGGACCTTCACATATTCTTCACATATTCAAGCATAGCCATGGAAAGCTGACAATTTAGTACAGAGCCCATGATAAGAAAACAACAACAACAACAACAACAACAAAACTCCCTATCACACTGAAGAATGTGTTCTTTACGTGAGAAATTATTCTACAATAAAATCTGATTATCCTGCAGAGACTTGAATTTGAATTTCAATATGAAGAATTTTGGAGTTGCAAACCACTTCCCAATTTCTCAACATCGGTTTGAAAAGCACTATGCTATCTGATACGGTTTGGATCTGTGTCCCCATCCAAACCTCATGTTGAAATGTAATCCCCAGTGCTGGAGGTGGGGCCTTGGGGGAGGTGATTAGATCATGGGTGCAATTTCTCATGGTTTAACATCATATCCACTTGGTGCTGTCGTTGTGATAGTGAGTTGAGATCTGGTTGTTTAAAAGTGTGTAGTCCCTCCCCCATCTCTCTCTTCCTTCTAATCCAGCCAGTTAAGCCTCCTGCTCCCACTCTGCCTTCTGCTGTGAGTGAAAGCTCCCTGAAGACTTCCCGGAGGCAGATGCTGCCCTACTTCCTGTACAGCTTGCAGAACTGTGAGCCGATTAAACCTCTTTCCTTTATAAATTACCCAGTCTCAGGTATTTCTTTATAGCAGTGTGAGAACGAAATAATACACTATCTTTAAAAAAAATTAAAGAATGGAAATATTGACTATATAGACACAAACTAATATAAAAATTTAAATTTTCTCTTAGATAACAAATACAGGAAATGGCATTGAAATATTTTGCATAAAATTATTTTTAAATTACGAGCATGTTTTGAATAGGGACTAGAAAGCAACCAAAATCTCAAATAAAATTTAATGTCTGAATCTGTTAAAATGTTTACATTAACATATAAGTACACAGCCTATATACTTACCAGTGCTCATAAAATGTATCTCAAGCCTCAATGTGGCTGGCTTACCAATCAGGTCAATTGATTTCAGAACAGACCTTTTCCATTATCCATCACATAAAGAGGACATAAGCAAAGTGTTAAATAAGCTGTCTACTCACCTGTGGCCATCAGCTCCTGACAATGCATACTGGCTGCTTTGTAGTCATGGAAGCGAAGTGCCTGCTCCACTAAAAGGATTAGAACCTGTCCCCGCCTTTCTTCTGGGTTCTCACCTGTAAGTCCAAGCAAAGGACTTAATGATTATGACAAGCAACGTCAATTGATAGAAGAGCTTGTTAACACTGTCTTTCAAATTACTTAAAAAATAAAACAGAGAGATTACAGGGATTTTAAATGATGAGAGGAAAAAGTTGCTTTGACCTTTCAATCCACTTATGAAGCATGGAATTAGCCATCAGTCTCCTAAGAGATCAATGATTAATATTAGTTCCCAATTAAAATACCCAAACCAGGAAGTCCAAAATCATGGTAGTTTGGAACCCTACAAAAAAGTCTTGGTATTACCAGGGTAAGGGAAAGAGAAGAAAATTTATGTTTCCAAAAGAAACCAGGTTATAAAAAGGGCTTGAAAAATAATGACCAGCAGATTAAGTGAACGGATGAAGATGATGCAGCAATAAACTTCTCATCATAAAAATTCAACTACTATTTAGAAATTGGAATGCAAATGCTGTCCAGAGCACTGGCAAAGATTGTTCCTTAACAAATTCTCGTTGGGCTCCTCTGAGCCTTACTGGGCCCTGTCCTTGGACATATCCTTGAGAGCCCAATTTTAGCACAACTTCTGCTATCAGTTGTAGCCAGAATCCTCCACTCTGGATATCTGGTCATCCCTGGTAATCTGATCAAATCCCTCATCCCCACCACCAACCCCCAGATGTTATCTGGCACCCTAGCCAGCCCTCAGGCAAGAATTTGTACCCTGTTAGGTGGTTTAACCAGAATGCCTCCTTACCACAGTGATTCTTCTTTGTAATTTTCCATCTGCCCCAACTGAGGTTCCAACATAAGTAAAACCCAACTCAATGGAAACAGTAAAATCAGAAACAACCAACTACAACTAGAGACTACCCACATTAACTAATCAAGTATTTTCTTTGTCCACAAACACCTTATACAATTTTCCCATCACACTCACTCAGAAGAGCCCTGAACTACTGTGAGTTTGGTGCTGCCTGATTCATGAATTGCTGTCTGCTGAAAATAAACCCTTAAAATTTTAATGAGCATAAGTTTACTTTTAACAAGCCCAATTTCTCTCTCTTACTGCAAAATTCCATTGCAGTAGTCCCTGTACCTATAGTGCAGAGTCTCGCTTACAATTTTTTGTTTATTCATTTGAAGAGACAGGTCAAAACCTATGTTGCCCAGGCTGGTCTTAAACTCCTGGGCTCAAGTGATCCCCATGCCTCAGCCTCTCATTTAAACATGCATCAGGGATAATTTTTTCATTAACAGCACCCATGGATCTCAATCACACAGATGAATATATATATAAATGAGGATGAAAAATACAATTTACAATATCTTTAAAGCAAGTCTTACATTATTAACTTTACCCTGTGTAAACAGGATCACTATGAGATACATAGGAATGGGATATGGCTCCCCCTTCAAGCATTTTTTCTTTTGTCTTCTCTTGTCCGACTGATCACAAAACCCACACCACTATCTTGCTGGCAATATAACCACTAACCCTGGGGCTTTAGTCATACCAAGAGAATGGCCATTCTTCTGTGCTCTCATGATGTTTGACCATGCCTTTTACTTAAAGAATTCTGGGAAATGGACTTAAGAAAATCTAAATATCAAACTAAGGTTGTGGAGTGTCTCTCCTGGGGAACAAAGGCTGGAAATGGATCTGCGGCCTGTTGCTACCAGCCAGACCACCAAGTGACCCATTATTTAAGGTAACTATGGCAACCAAATAACACCGACCTGCATACCCTACCACTCACTTGCACACCCTACCACTCACCTGCGCTGCCCAGCCCAGCCGGCATACTTTACCACAGATATCAATTCCTGCTCTTTGCCTAAAAACAAAATCAAAAACAACAACAAAAAATCCCTACCGTTTTTTTCAGGGAGTCTACAGAGTCCTTGTGCCTCTGCTGTCTCCCATGTGCTTGAGCCCAAACCCTAAAATAAAAGCCTTGACTGGGAAAGCTGCTTGGCCGTGTGTGTGTGTATGTGTGTGTGTGCGCACACATGTGTGCATGTGCGCGTGTGCCCGTGTGCATGTATTTATTTATTTAGAGATGTGGTTTCTCTCCGTTGCCCAAGCTGGAGTGCAGTGGCACTATCACTGCTCACTGCAACCTCGACCTCCCAGGTTCAAGCAATCCTCCCACATCAGCCTCCAGAGTCACTGGGCCTACAGGGACATACCACTAAACCTGGCTAACTTTTTTATTTTTTGTACAAACAGGGTCTTGCTATATGACCCAGGCCAGTCTTGAACTCCTGGACTGAAGCAATCCTCCTGCCTCAGCCTCCCAAAATGTTGGGATTAGAGGCATGAACCAACACACCTGGCTTGTGTTCATTTTTATTAGGTGAGGAGCCAACCGGCCTGTGATCTGCAAAAGCCACAAAATTACTATGCTAGCCAACACACTATCTACATTAAATTTTTGACTTTTTTTCCTTCTAAAGGCTAACAGAATGAAAATAATTTGGGGCTCAAGGGATCACAGTTCTGGCATGCGGGTTATTTCAAAGTGAAAACATTTGAGCTACAGAAGATGCAGAAAGAAATCCTAACTGAATTTATCTTATCTGAATAAAGCACTGTCCTCCTAAAATAAAACTGCAATTAAACCTCCTCCACAGGAGTTTCCTGAGAACTCAGTTGGAACAGAGACTGTCAGTTCGCATCAAAAAGCCCAACAGAACCTTCTATACTTTCCCACTGAAGCCCTAGCCCCTCCCACCCCATCCCCCTTTTTGTTAAGTTGGTATATAAACCTTACTTCTTGCTATTCAAGAGTTATTAATCACTAAGTGACTTCTGCATGCATCTGTAAAAAAAATCTTGTTTTTCTCCTGTCTATTGTCAATTAATTCACAGGCACCTGACCAACCATTTGAAACAAAGTAGATGAAGAAAAAGTTTTTGTCCCAACAGGGACTTTAAACATTTTTGCCAGGTCTTTTAAAAGTATTTTCCCCTTTGAGTGTTCTTAAATGACAAATATAAAGGGGGAAAACCTTAAACACAAAATAAGTTTATAGTTTCACTGACAGTACTAATCTTTTATTTATCAGAGTAAGTTTCTAGAGTCTAAAAATATACAAGAAAAATTCAGCTCATGTTAAAAGATCTAAAATTATTTTCCCAAAAGTTTTAGAAAATATTTCTTAAAATATTTTACATAAAATATTTTATTTCTTTACATAAAATATAGGTTTTCGTTGCCCTTTCAACATATTCCTTTACTTTTCACTCTCTTTAAAACAATTTATTTGAATGGTAGGCTATCCGGACAAAAAAAATTGTGATTATCTTTTTAATAATCTTTATTATCTATTAAAATGTAAGCTTTTGACGGACAGGGGTTGGTTCATAGTTGGATGCTCAATACCCAGCATCAAGTTATGCACATAATAGAAAGGCTCAAAAAAATACAGTCATGAGTTGCTTAACAAGAGGAATACATTCTATGACATGTGTCATTAGGCATTTCCGTCTTGAGCAAATATCACAGAGTGCACTCACACAAACCTAGATGGTATAGCCTACTACATACCTAGGCTATATATATGGTATAGCTCCTAGGCTACAAACCTGTACAGTATATTTCTGTACTGAATACTATGGGCAACTGGAATGCAATGGTAAGAATTATGTGTATCTAAACATAGAAAAGGTACAGTAAAAATATTGTACAAAAGATAAAAAATGGTAACTCTGTATAGGACATTTACCATGGATGGAGTTTACAGGGCTGGAAGTTGCTCTGGGTGAGTCAGTTTGTTGGGTGGTGAGTGAATGTGAAGGCCGAGGATATGACTGTACACTACTGCAGACATTATAAACACTCTACACTGAGGCTACATGAAATTTAGTAAAAAAATATTTTTCTTTCTTCAGTAATAAGTTAACTATAGGTTACCATAACTTAAAAAAAAAAAAAAAACAAAACAAAACAGAATCTCACTGTGTCGCCTAGGCTGGAGTGTAATGGCATGATCAATATTTACATAACTCACTGTAACCTCGTGAACTCCTTGGTTCAAGGCAGCCTCCTGTCTCAGCACCCTAAGTAGTTAGGCCTACAAGCATGCATCACCACACCCAGGAAATTTTTATTTTTATTTTTTGTAGAGACAGGATTTCACTATGTTTCTCAGGATGGTGTGGAACTCCTGGCCTCAAGTGATTCACTTGCCTCAACCTTCCAAAGTGTTGGGATTAGAAGTCTGAGCCGCCATGACCAGCCTTTTTTTTTTTTTTTTTTTTAACTTTCTAAAACTTTTCTTGTTAAATACTAAGACACAAACACACATATTAGTCTAGCCCAAACACTGGGTCAGGACATCAATATCACTTTCTTCCACCTCCACCTATTGTCCCACTGGAAGGCCTTCGGGCCATAACACATGGAGCTATCATCTCCTATGATATCAATGCCTTCTGGAATCCCTCCTGAAGGACCTGCCTGAGGCTATTTTAAAGTTAACTTTTTTCTTTTATAAACAGGAGGCGCATCTTTGAAAATAACATAGTATAGTAAACACTTAAGCCAGTAACATAGTCATTTAGTAACTTTACCAAGAATTATGTACCAACATAACTATATGTGGCAAACTTACACAACTGGCTGTATAGGAGGTTTACATCTCCATCACCATAAAAAAGTGAATAACGTGTTATAACGGCTGATGTCACTAGGCGATAGGAATTTTCAGCTCTATTTTAATTTTATGGAACCACCATTGCATATGAGATCGTTGTTGACCAAAATTTCATGTACCATTGCTGTGCAGTACGACTGTAAATTCTCAATTAAACAGGCACAGAGGCCAGGCACAGTGGCTCACACCTGTAATCCTAGCATTTTGGGAGGCCGAGGTGGGTGGATCACTTGAGGTGAGGAATTCAAGACCAGCCTGGCCAACATGGTGAAATCCCATCTCTACTAAAAATACAAAAATTAGCTAGGCATGGTGGAGGATGCCTGTAATCCCAGCTACTCGGGAGGCTGAGGCATGAGAATAATTTGAACCCGGGAGGCAGAGGTGGCAGTGAGCTGAGATCGCACCACCGCACTCCAGCCTGGGTGACACAGTGAGACTCTGGCTCAAAAAAACAAAAACAAAAAAATGGCACAGATTAAATTCGGAATGTTATTTTCAATTATGAGACAAATAATTCAGCTACAAAACAAATACAATGTAATTTGGATATGTAGGCTAAAAAGGACAAAAATCTAATATATTTCATATTTTAAAGAGCCTTAAAATTATTTTTAATATTTCCAGGAAATGGCTGGGCACGGTGGCTCACGCCTGTAATCCCAGCACTTTGGGAGGCTGAGGCAGGCGGATCACCTGAGGTCAGGAGTTCAAGACCAGCCTGACCAACATGGAGAAACCCCATCTCTACTAAAAATACAAAAAATTAGCCAGGTGTGGTGGCACATGCCTGTAATCCCAGCTACTTGGGAAGCTGAGGCAGGAGAATCACTTGAACCCAGGAGGCGGAGGTTGCAGTAAGCTGAGATCGTGCCATTGTACTCTAGCCCGAGAAACAGGAGTGAAACTCCATCTCAAAAAAAAAAAAAATTCCAGGAAAAAATAGAAAATATGTTTAGGGCCCTTGATTTTCTAAGCTATAATATGGTTTGGAGGAAAAAGCAAACATGTTACAGGAAGGGTTGAATAAAACTTTTAAAATATGTCCCTATCGATCTTCTTTATGTACTTCATAAGTTTAAATAAAATCCAAGGCAAGTATTGGCCCAATCTATTCTGAGAAGATTCTAGGGCCAGGCACGGTGGCTCACGCCTGTAATCTTAGCACTTTGGGAGGCTGAGGTAGGAGGATCGTTTGTGGGAAGGAGTTCAATACCAACCTGGAAAACAGAGCGAGACCTCATCTCTACCAAAAAAAAAAAAAAGAAAGAAAAGAAAAGAAAAATGTTTCTAATTAGCTGGGCATGGTGGTACATGCCTGTAGTCCCAGCTAGTCAGGAGGCTGAGGCAGGAGGATCCCCTGAGCCCAGGAGTTCAAGATTACAGTGAGATATGATCATCCCACTGCACTTCAGCCTGGGCAACAGAGCAAGAGTCTGTCTCTAAATAAATAAATTCTTAAAAAGGGATGATGTTGCACTGAGATTCATAAACCTATTATTAGAATAACACACTCATGATTTAGTAACAGTAACATATATTGGAAACGGAATATGTAATGTTTCTCTATAATAAATGCACCTATAACACAATATAAAACCTATTTCCTACATAACATTGAAATGTTTGCATTTCTTCAGAATACATTAAATTAAAAATGAAAGGTCCAGATTATAATTTTTTTATGTCAACCTAGCTAGGCTACAAGCTCTAATCTGGGTGGTATTGTGAAGGTTATTTTGCAGATATAATTAAATACGGTACTCTGTTGACTTTACGTAAAGAAGTTTATCCTAGATAATCCTGGTGGGTCTGACTGAACTTCAGGGAAGGCTTTAAAGAGGTTGAGGTTTTCCAGAAAGAAAGAAAGAGATGGGGCCAGGCGCAGTGGTTCACACCTGCAATCCCAACACTTTGGGAGGCTGCGACAGGTGAATTGCTTGAGCCCAGGAGTTCAAAACCAGCATGGGCAACATAGTGAGACCCCGTCTCTGTAAACAAAAACCCAAAAAACAGTCAGAAAAAAAAGAAAGAGCTGGTGGTTGGGGAGAGATTCCCACCTGTGAATGACAGCTTCAGGCCATATCCACAGAGTTCCCTCCTGCTCCTGATCTTCTCTTCCTGACTGACTGCCTATGGATTTCAGACTTGCTTAGCCAATCCCCATAGTAGTAAAAGCCCATTCCTGGTAATGAAGTCTTTAACATGTACCTCTCCTACAGTTTCTGCTCCTCTGGTTGAGTCATGACTAACAGACCAGGTATCTAAACTACTCAGTCTCTTTCATAACCTCATTTGGATGCATTCCTTTCTCTTATGTTATCAGATCAATTAATTTTTGATTTGAGATGTGGTAAAATCTGCTGAATGTCTGTGAAAATAGCCAGATGCAAAGGTCTTGTGAATGAAATGAAGGACAATAAAGTCCACTGATTATTATTATATAGTGTCAAAAAAGGTGGAAACAGAATATGAGTAAAGGATTTAACTTAAAACCTCTTAACTATAAAATCCTCAGTAATTATTTAACTTTTCTCTATTCCTGTCTCCTCATTTTCAAAATGAGATTCCTATTTCTGCCTATAAAGGACAAAGAAGGAACTGAGATAAGTATTAAAGCATAAAATGAGTATTATTATTGTTGTTAATGGAAACTTTTTATAAAGATGTGCCAAACAGTTATCTTAAAGTTCAAAGTTATTTAACTGTTTTTAATTCAAGACAATTCCAATCTGAGCAGGTGGATTAAATGAAAAAATATAACCAAAGGGCTGATCTTAGTGATTTACTTCTACACATAAAGTGGAAGTGATGGTGTGTGACTTCCAAGACCATATCATAAAAGGCATTACAGCTTCCTCTTTGCTTTCTTGTGAATCAGATCGCTCTAGGAGAAACCAGCTGCCGTGCTGAGAGAACACACTCAAGCAGCCCAATGGAGAGTTCCATGTAGCAGGAAACTGAGGCCTCTTACCAATAGCCATAAAGGACTGAGGCCCCCTGCCAAGAGCCATGTGAATGAGCCCTCTTAGAAGCAGAACCTTCAGCCCCATTAGAGCCTTCGGGTGAGGTCTGTAAATATTCCCCTTGAAGTTGGCAAGGTCTGTCTAACTGAGTCCAAGAATAAAATACACTGGAAATGAAGCTGCCCAAATATCAAAGCTAGATTTGAAAATGCCTTGAAGCAGCCGGGCACAGTGGTCACGCCTGTAATCCCAGCACTTTGGGAGGCCGAGGCAGGTGGATCACCTGAAGTTAGGAGTTCCAGACCAGCCTGACCAGCATGGGGAAACCCCGTTTCTACTAAAAATACAAAATTAGCTGGGTGTGGTGGCGCATGCCTGTAATCCCAGCTACTCGGGAGGCTAAGGCAGGAGACTCGCTTGAATCTGGGAGGCACAGGTTGTAGTGAGCCAAGATGGCGCCATTGCACTCCAGCCTGGGCAACAAGAGCGAAACTCTGTCTCAAGAAAAAAAAGAAAATGCCTTGAAGATTTTGCTGGTTTCTCCTGGAGCACTGACTCCAGGAGACTTCAGCCAACAAGAAGGAAGTCTGGGTACTCTGAGACCATCAAATGGAAAAAGTACAAGGAGAAATCACAGAGAGCAGAGACACCTGTAAAGCCCTATATCAGCCCCCAGCTATTTAAGTCTTCCCAGCCCAAGTACCCAGACATGTGAGTAATGCAGCCTTTGACAGAGTCCAACCCTAGCCACGATCTGATGAAATTTCATAAAAGATGATGACCTGCTTAGCTGAGCCCAATCTCCAGAAGAGATTGGGAAAATCTCTTTTCTCTTTTTCTGGAGAGAGAAAAATAAATGGTTGTTTTTTAAGCCACCAGGTTTTGGATGGTTCGTAAAGCAGTAACAGATAACCAAAACACTCTATAAGGTAAAGGCCACCTATGATACCTTTCTTAATTCCCCAGGCAAAAATTAGCACGGCCTTTCTTCGAGTCTTCTATTATTTGTTTACAGAAGCCATGCACTATGATCACATCCTATGTTGGCAGCATAATTACTTGTTTCCCTAGCTTTCTAAGAGTCTAAATTCTCAGAGGGCAGCAGCTATGTGTAACAGAACTTTGTATCCACAGTACGTAGCAGAAAAATATTACTTTCTCTCTTCCCATTAAAAACTCATATAGATTACCAAGACCACAGGTATTCCTGTTACTATGTTAACACATCACAAAGACAAAAGAGGAAACAAATCCTAGTAGGAACATAAAAATGCAGATGGCACCTCTGAGCTGCTTTGTTAGCTTCTGTGGCCTGGATCCTTATGGAATATTCCCTGATGATCAGAGTGCATCAGAGTTTACAGAGCACTTTCACATGCATTAACTCATTTGGGCCTCTCCTAACTTCACAGGTGAAGAAAGGGGGTATCATTCCTATTTTCCAGATGCAGAAAATGGAACTAAAGTAATTTAGCAAATGTGTGGCACAGAGTTAGAACTTGAACCAGTGTTCTGACTCCACATGAACTGTTCTCCCCATTCATTCCAGATGTCTCACAACGGATGACTGGCCCCAGTCACACTGCCATCACATTGGCAGTCTGCTGCAAGTCCAAATATAAAGATGCTGATGCTATACCTTCACACAGACTAGAAAAGGATAAATGACACACACGATTACTAAAACTAGAGACCTTAAGACTCCTACATAATACAATTTTAAAATATTTAGTCCATTAAATATGTTACATATATATATGGCTTAGATGAATACAATTTCCAACCACTGCTTATACAACCAAATGACCAACAACTCTTCTTGCAGAGATCAGCATAAGACAAAACTACAAAAAAAAAAGTATTAAAAAGACTGGTGAGCAGAAGGATGTAGTTAAGGAAATATGAAATGTAGAGTCAAAAAGACTTTCCTTAAAAGCCAAAGCCTGCTATTTAACCCTGCTGGGCAAAATATTTAACTTCTCTCATCTCCAACTTCCCTTGCAAAATGAGAAGAATACCAAAATCAACATCATTTATGAGATGATTAAATGAGATAAAATACATGAAAACCCCACCAAATAGTAAATGCATAAAGTTTTCTAACAAATTGTTCAGGTTCAAACACAAAACCAAATTTAGACACTGAAGGTGAACTGGTAAGGTTGGTTTGTTTTATATGTAACTTTTCTGGTTATAAATGGTAACACTGACTTCTGCTCCTGACTACACAACCATTTTGAGGCACCCTGAATAAGCTTGTCTTCGTTTAAGTAATAGATAGTTCCAGAAGCTCAATATTGGCACATTTTTATAACACGTCAATTTTTCTAGAAAATACTAATCCTTGCCCAAAGATGTTCTTCTTAGCTAACTGAGAGGCTGAGGCAGGAAGATTTCACTGCACTCCAGCCTGAGCAACAGAGCGAGACCCTGTCTAATAAAAAAGCTGTTCTTCTGACGCTGTAAGCACATATTCTGCTATTGTCCTGCAATGATGTCAAGAATAACATAGAAAGCTTATTCTGCAGTTTAGTACTCAAAAGACTTACCTGCAACCCTCAGCAGCTCAGCAAGGCCCAGAAGCTTGGTGGATTGTTTATAGCATGTGGGGGACTGGGAAATACACTCCTTGATGAGACTGATCCGATCAGGGCACAATCGCACTACAAAAGAAAGACGTATTAAAGACTTGGACCAGGGACATCACAAAAGGGTGTTAATGGCCTTCCTAATGCAAGGCATCCAAAGAAAATGAAAACTGGGTAAGGCATCAGATGAAGGAGAATTAAGTAAAAGTAAAAGGCACGTTTAACAAACAGCAAAATTATTATTGCTTCTGAGTAAATAATGTACAACCTTGATCTTTTCTTCATAACCAAACTTCTGAAGCACAGGAAATGAAGTGTTAATCTGAAACTAGAAAAAACTGTTTCACTGTTTTATGTACCATGTCAGGACTTAGGGAAAAATTTAAACGAGACAGTATTTGTCTCTAAAAACTTCATATACTTAGTATTATACCAGCCCCCTCAAACCTCACCCTCTAAGCCCCATTCCTTGCTCTAAATATACATTTGCTATCTCCACTCATTACCCCAGTTTGGAAGGCAGGAGTCTTCAAAGTGCTCACTGTTGCAATTTATTAACCTTCCTCCAAACATAAGCCCAATTTTCTCACATAAACTGGATATTAGGAAAATAAAACACATCTGATCAAACCAATTCAAACTATAAAGAAATGAAAATCACATTAAAAAAACCCTAGACAAAGGGTACTACGTATATTCTAGGAACAAATGGTACTTATTTACAGCAGAGATGGCAACCTTTAAGAAACACAGCACTGCCAGGGAGGCTGGCCCCCAATAATTATAATAACAACAACTACGATAATAGCAACTGATGTGAAAGGAATACGAGCTATGTCTCAGGCACTGTTGGAGGTGCTTTATGTATATTAACCCTACACAGCAAACTCTTATTAATAGAAGGCAGGTACTATTATCCTCAAGAGAAGAAACTGAGGTGCAGAAAGGTTAAATACTTTGGCAAAGGTCACTGAAAAAGTGATGGGACCAAAATTCAACCCAGCTCGCTAAATGTTTTCACACCTTGAATCCTTTATCCTTTCCTAAACCCATGGCTGTTCTCCATATATCTTGTGTTCTCTCAAAACTTCTACATAGGTGAGAGGGGCCAGGGACGGGGGAGATAAAGAAGAGAGGTGGTATTTTTCCTCTGGAATGGGCTTTTTTGGGGAAGGTAAGGATTTACTACAATTTAATGTTGAACTCAAAAAAGGTTGCAAGGAAAGTACAAAGAAATCCTCTATACTCTTTGCTGAGGTTAACAGATGATTAATAATTTGCGCCTTCACACATGTCCATGTGCAATCATGCATGCATACAGTCCCTGCTTCCTTCCTCTGTATATTCACACAGGAATATGTATATACACACACAAATACTTATACATGTACAAATACATACACATATTTATAATACACATATATACAAGTGCATATATACACAAATAGTTACACATATATACACACAAATATACATACACATTTATTTTTTTCTGAACCATTTGAGAATAAGTTGCAAATAACATTTCTCTTTATTGCTAAATACTTCAGTGTGTGTTTCCTAATGTTTTGACTTTTTTTTTTTTTTTTTTTTTTTTTTGAGATAGAATCTCCCTCTGTTGCCCAGGCTGGAGTGCAGTGGCGTAATCTCGGCTTACTGCAACCTCCACCTCCCAGGTTCAAGCGATTCTTCTGCCTCAGCCTCCCGAGTAGCTGGGACTACAGGCACGTGCCACCACGCCTGGCTAACTTTTGTATTCTTAGTAGCGACGGGGTTTCACCACATTGGCCAGGCTAGTCTAGAACTCCTGACCTTGTGATCCGCCCTCCTCGACCTCCCAAACTGCTAGGATTACAGGCGTGAGCCAATGCACCTGGCCTAGACTCTCTTAAAATGAATATTTATACATCTACAACAATAATCCTGTTGTGTGTGGCCTTTACTATAAAATATAAAGTAAATATACTTACTCTTCAGTTACTTCCTTCAAAATCACCATTGCTAATACCTACATCTGAGTATAGCTTCTGTAGACTGTATTACTCTTCCCAATTATCCACTGCAACTATTCATATCCCAAATTCCTGCTTCAGTAACATGAGGCTTGGCCCTGTGACATCTACAGGCAATTAATGTGAGTGGAAATGACATATGCCACTTCTGAGTGAAAGCTGTTAAGAGTCATCGTGGAATTCCACTACAGATCTTTCCCTTCTACTGTGACAAGACCGTGTCTCAAGGGGTGGTGCTGCGGCTAACCAAAGTGGACACGATTGTGAGCAAGGAATAAGCCTGTTATCACATATTATGGAGATTCTGAGTTTTTCACAACAGCACAATCGTAAAAACTCACCGATACAGTATACTTCAAGCCTTTCCATACCTTATCACAATAAAAACACTATGGGTTTTTTCCTCAATATCCGCTACTATTTTATGGGGCTTTTTCCAGATTCAGTAACATATGATAATTGTGAGATAGGTACTTTTAACACATTTCTAATTTTATTTTCAAAACAAAATTTGTTGCAGATATTATCTGCATTCCACATATGTAAAAATCTGGAGTTTTCATAGCTGCTTTTATGGCTTTGTTGATGAATTATTGTATTCTTCTTAGAGAAGCTCTAGCTTTAGTAATTCTACTAAACTGACTTCCTTACTTTTACCACTCTTTTTCCACCTCAATAAACTCAAGGTAGAGAACTGAAACCACACATAGCAATGGATCATGATTTTCTCTAAACTTCCATTTAATGGAACACTCAAGTTTGATTATTTGTCTCCTGTTGCCCTAAGCGATGCACACTACTAATATTTGAAGTACATTAAATAAATTTGGAGAGCAGAAGTCTAATAGACTGCAATTACCCTGTTCAAATGACTTTTTACTTTATTTACTTACGTATTTTCTGATCCTCTGGACAATCACTATACCAGTTCCCTTTTTCTGCTGATTTAGGGCCTGCTTAATTATATTTCAAAATGTGAATTCTCAGTTAAATAAATTCAAGCCCTATCTTTCCAAGAAGGAAGAAGTGTTCAACTCCTAAAATTCCTTTCCAAATTGAATGAATGAACATGAAAAAGATAGGCATGTACGTACCTTTTAATAATTAAAGATAATCTAATTTTCCTGCAGAAATCATGAATATATCTCAAATGATTTTTCAAAAACCTATTATAAAACACACGTATACACACACACACACATACACGTGCATGCACGTCTCAGATGTAAAAAGCATTTTCTAACCAGCCACCTATATTCCAAATGCCCCTCAAAAGATAGCTGTGCAATATCAATTGCAGTCACTTGGGAATGGCAACAGAGGCCCACAACATATGAAGTTGCTAGTGATGCTGTGGAAGTATTATACAAATCTGAACCGTGTGGGCAAGGAAGGTGTAACACGCAGGAGTCAAACACTTAGCTGACCAGTAGGAGGACAAGTAAGAGTTTCCTTCTTGAAGAATCTTTTGCTCTCACATCTTTTCCTCAGTAGAGTATTCTCCACTGTTACAAATGCAGGTTCTTGAGCCAGACTACCTAGGTTTGAATCCTGGCTCCACCTCTAACTAGCTGGATGACCCTAGGCAACCTAGGCAAGTTACTTAACCTCCCTGGGCCTTGATTTCATCATCTGAACATTGGAAACAATACCACCACCTCATAGGGTATGGTTTTAATTTGAGACAGGGTCTCGCTCTATTGCCCAGGCTCGGGTGCGGTGGCACAATCTCAACTCACTGCAGACTCAACCTCCTAGGACAAGTGATCCTCCTGCCTCAGCACTCCAAGTAGCTGGGACTACAGGCATGCACCACCAAGCCTGGCTAATTTTTTAATTTTTTAAAAAATAGAGACGGGTTTTGCCATGTTGCCAAGGCTGGTCTCAAACTCCTGAGCTCAAGCAAACCACCCACCTCAGCCTCCCAAAGTCCTGGGATTAGAGGAGTGAGCCACCATGCTGCCTAAGGCCATGAGAGCCCACCCTTTGCATCAGTGTGCCCTGGATGTGAGACATGGAGTCAAAGGAGATTATTTTGGAGCTTTAAGATTTAATGACTGCCCTGCTGGGTTTCAGACTTGCAGGGGCCTGTGGCCCCTTTGCTTTGGCCAATTTCTCCCATTTGGAATGGAGGCATTTATCCAATGCCTGTACCCCTATTGTATCTTGGAAGTAACTAACTTTTGATTTTACAGGCTCCTAGGTGGAAGGGACTTGTCCTGTCACAGATGAGATTTTGGACTTGAACTTTTGAGTTAATGCTGAAATGAGTTAAGACTTTGGGGGACTGCAGGGAAGGCACGATTGGTTTTGAAATGTGAGGACATGAGATCTAGAAGGGGCCGGGGTGAAATGATATGGTTAGGCTCTGTGTCCCCACTCAAATTTCATCTTCAATTGCAATCCCCAGGTGTTGAGGGAATGACCTGGTGGAAGGTGACTGGATCATGGGGGCAGTTTCCCCCATGCTGTTCTCATGATGGTGAGTTCTCACTAGGACTGATGGTTTAAAAGCGCGGCACTTCCTCGTTCTCAAATATACTCTTCTCTTTCCCGCCAACAGATGAAGAAGATCCTTGCTTCCCCTTTGCCTTCTGCCATGACTGTAAGTTTCCTAAGGCCTCCCCAGTCATGTGGAACTGTGAGTCAATTAAACCTCTTACCTTTATAAATTACCCAGTCTTGGGTATTTCTTTATAGCAGTGTGAAAACAGGCTAATACAATGCCCAAAGGGCATTTTGAGAATTAGTGAATACATATAAAGCATATTTGGAACATAAAAATCACTCAATAAATATTAGCTATATTATTACCTACCGCCATATTCACAGAAACACTTATAAAGAATAGAATCTTCTAATACAAGGTTTCTCCAGATATAACTTACAGGACTGTGTCAGGAATATTTTATTATTATCCCAATCTGAGAAATGTGAAGCTCAAAGATACTGTTGCCACAGGTTACACAGCTCAAAGTGGCTACATCAGAATGTAAACTCACACATGACACTCTGGGGTAATCCTGTCTCCTTATCAGTGTGGTAGCCCTGTAAAGTCATAGAATGTGCCTTGTCCCCATCATTATTTCAGTTCCCAGAGTAGGGTAAGTGCCTAAATTTATGTTTATTAAATGAAAGCAAAGGGGGGATGGAAAGAGGGCAATGAACAGAGGCTGAGGAGGGAGGGGAAGAATCTGAGGAAGAAAAGAAAATGAATGAAGAGAAAGGATGTGGGGAGAATGAGAAGACAGGTAAGACTACACTAATTCTATGATTATTTAAAAAATACCTTTAAGTATAAAAATAATCATTGATATTGTACAGTCCTTACTATATCTTAGGCACTATAAATGAACAGACATTCCTTATAAGCAATTCTGTAAGATTCTTATTAGTACCCCCATTTGGTAAATGAGGAAACTTAAAGAAAGGTTAAAACTTGCCCCCAGTTACCCAGTAATAAGTGGCAGAAGTAGCTCCAGGCTGAGTGTAACTATAATGCTGTAAGTCAGAAAAGCTGACTTACCCTATTATAGAAATAACATGTGGACCAAATGAAATATTCAAAGGCTGTTCATTTAAATATTAAGAAAAATTTACATAAACACCCAAAATAAAGAGAAAAGCATATACATATACACACACAAAAATATTTCACAGAAGACTCACACATAGGGAGTCATTTTTACATGCGACTTCTGTTCCTGTTTTCAATTGGCTCATTGATTATAATTTAGTTAGAACTGCTAGCCTTTACTTGATGAGAAACAGCAACTCCTGGAGTGTAGGCAAAGAAGGCTTCAAAACAAAGCAAAGTGACAAAATGAACTACGTACACTGACTACAATAAAAATACCTAAACCATAAATTTCTAAATATCTAGTTGTTTTCTTTCTCCAATATTACTGATGAATACAAAAGAAGCTAAAACCTAAATGGCATCTGTAAGATAAACACAACAAAAAGTATACAAAGGCAATATTCCATCTTCACATCCAGAAGGTTTTCTGACAGTCATTCTAATAGGAAACTCCAAATCAATATATCAAGCTGGAAAGCTGTCAAGACATGAAAGCAAATGTCTTTCTTAAAATACTCCTCAGTCAGAAAATTCTCAGAAGCCACAGCAGGGCAGCGGTTTTGGTTGCAGGTATTCAAACCCAGCAGCTGATATACACATATTACCAGCAAAAAATCCTGCTAATTGATCAGCACAGAAAATCAGGGCTTAATGTAACATTTCAAAATCCAGTAGCACTTGGGTGGACTGTAAGAAAATGTTTTGTATTATACCAATCTGCTTGAATTAAATAAGGAGGTAAAACACAGACACACAGGCACACACACACAGAGTCAAATCCGTAACAGCATGGCCTAACAAGAGATACAAACAGAGCAAAGGTTTCATAGTGCTCTGGATTCTTCCTTGACTAAAATTGCAATTAAATAAATATTTGAGGGAGACGTAGTTAATGACTTCAGACATTTAAGAATTGAAAAAAGTAAACCTGATCAATCTTCACAATTTTAAGAAGTTTTGAGCTCAAAAGTCACATGAATTGTACAAATGAATAAAATTTTCCAGTGATTTAGCAATCACATTAGATAAAATTGCTTAAGATACCACAAGATAGTTATAATCACGTACAAATTGTTTCCAAACAATGATATTCAAAGTAATAATAATATTACCTCTTTTGAGTCTAATAAGTTATTTTGAGACAGGTTCTAGGTCTGTTGCCTAGGCCGGAATGCAACAGCGTGATCATGGCTTACTGCAGCCTCAACTTCCTGGGCTCAAGCGGTCCTCCCACCTCAGCCTCCTGAGTAGCTGGGACTACATACGCATGCCATTACACTCGGCTAACTTCTTTAATTTTTGTAGAGACAGGGTATCACTATGTTGCCCAGGCTGGTCTCAAGCTTTTGGACTAAAGTGAACCTCCTACATCAGCATCCCAAAATGCTGGGACTACAGGTGTGAGCCACTGTGCCCAGCCTAATGAATTTGTCTGAGATGCAAAACTTTAACTTTTAGTCAAGCCACGTTGGAAACCCACTGAAAACATGAGAATGCCTCTACTGGCTCATATCTCTAAAATCCATCCAGCTCTAAACACTACACAGGACAAAGACACCAAGGAACTTGTAAGAGATCTAAACCTCTACCACCATCAGTCTCAAATATTTCCAGACTTAAGAACAGAGATAACAGATTACAAGGAAGCCAGCCAAGCACACTGCTAATAATACCAAGCCACTCTGTTCATTTAGGGCACAGAGGTCCAGGATTTAATGCAACAGAAAATCTACCTTCCTCAACAGGGAAGGTCAGGTTTAAGGTCCAGTACACCATGAGATGTAAACAGTCCTCACAGCATAAATAGATGAGACAAGTGATTCTGTAGCAGGATGCTTGTTTGGGATGATACCAAGTTGACTTTTATATTCAAATAAAAGAAGTTGAGTAATATTAAGATATCTCTAGTAATTAAATTCTAAACAAAAATTTCTTATCGTTCCCTCTTTTAAAAAAATAGATGGACGTAATATACTGAGTCAAGCATAAAAAGAAAAAAACTATTTTTATTTATAGCTAGTTATTAATCTATGCAATGGAAACAAAATACAGAAATTGTAGATCAAAACTGATATAAATCTGATATATTCTCATCCATAATCCCCAATATCTTTTTTTGTTTTTACTCTATACCCTCACTGCTCTGTTACCGATGTTATTTCTTTAAATGTTATACACGTGAAATTTAAAAAATAAATTTATGGTAAAATGTTGGCTTTATTTTTTCTTTTGGGTTTCCACTTGAGATTTCATTTAAAATAATGGGTCAAGGGCAGGATCTATTGCTAATGGATTACATGACCAAAGCTACTCTTTAGTTTTAAAAACTAAAAAAGAATACTAGTAAATTGCTGCAATATAAGTTAGTAACAATGCAACAGTAAGTAGAAAACTCACCTTGCAAAGGCAGGATCTTTACCCCAAATTCTTCAAGACATCCAACGGCTTGGATAAGATCTAGCTCCTCTTGAATGGCAGGGGGTCTGTCTGTTATCAGTTGTAAGCAGCACCTAGAAGAAATTAGATAAATTTTTAAAAAGAAGCAACATATGTTCACCTTTCTATACTCAACACCATGAGATCTAACACATATTTATCAAAAATCTACCACATCCCAGGAATTCATTCCGCTGGATGCCTTCTGTTATCTTAATCCTCATAGCAAGCCTCTGAGGTAGGCAAACATCATCATCTATCTGCCTTTTCAGGGAGCTAAAACTGAAACTCACAGAAGTGAAGTAATTGCCCACAGTTACATCCACAGTACATAATGGCATCATGGTAGGAAGCATCATAACTCTGTGTTCAGTGCCGTTTTTACTGTTGAATGCAAACATTATGATTCTATTACAAAAAAAAATTTTAAAGGATGAAGTTCAGATAATTTCCAGTTTCCCTTCTACGAAAAACAGAAATGTCTTGATTTGGTCACAATGTGATGTCTCAAAAGAAACAAGAAATGACTTAGGGAAATGCAGAGAACATCTTTCTGATCAAAAAAGAGAAATCTGTTGGTAATACACAGTTCTGAGATGAACCATAGGAGAAAGTGATTTGCTAAGCTAAGAATGTGGGATTCCCATGGAATATTTTAAGTAAATTTTTGTTTAAATTCAAAGAAACTGCATTTAATAAATGTTTCACTTGATGAATAAACTCATTCTCTAAAGGTGTTTAGAGGAACATTGGAATGTAAGATTAGAAAGACAGATCAGGCGGTAACGGGCTCATGAATGCTAGAATCACAGATCACGAGATGCAGGTATCTAAGCCCCAGTATGGCATCCATATGACTGAGTGACAGATACAGGCCAAGCCTGCTCTCGTAAAACTGGAGGATTTAAATCAGTTGTGCACTCACATCTACTGTTGATTCAAGTGTGAAAGGTCTATAACCTCTTTGTGGTTTCTATCAAAATTGTAAATGTACTTTTTTACATTTTTTACTCTAGACCCAGGAATTACAAATAAATTCTAAATTACAAATAAATTCTAAAAATTTACATTACAGATAGGCTCGCACATGCTCAAAGACATATAATTGTGGGTGCTCACTACCAAATTGTTTTTAAAAATGAAAGAAAGCATACCAAATCAGGAACAAATTAAATAAATTATATAATGGAATGTTCTACAACCATCAAAAAGGAATAAAATAGAACTGTCTGTACTCACATGAAAAAACCTTCAATATAGAATATGAGTGAAAAAAAAACAGGGCATAGAAAGGTATGCATAATAGTAAGAATTTATTCATGATTTAAGAAAGAAGAGGTAACATTTAATCAAATGTTTTGGAAGGATACATAAGAAACCGATATTTAAAAATGATGGAAGGATAAAGTTAGGGGAACTAGAATGAGGAGGGAGATTTATTGTCAATACATATATCCTTTTTGTATTGTTTGGATATCTATTGCTTCCTCAACAATTTATTTATAAAGAGTTTATAAATAACTCTTTAATCAGTAAAAATGTAAGCGCTATTTCCTGCATTCAATATAACTGTGAACACTGAAATACATCCAGGCTCACAGGTCACAATCAGTTTGGTACCACATTATACACACAGGGCATGTTTGTGAAATGAAGGTGATGAAGGTGTGTCCTTGCAAGAGAGAAAGAGATGCAATGAAGGGGAAATATAGAAGGACCGGCTTTTTAAATGATCTCTGGGAAACACCTGCCAAAAAGATTGAGGTGAAATACAATTCCCAGTTTCAAAGGCTATTTGGTATTTTCAAAGACTATTTGGTATTTTCATCATTTGAAATAAAAATAGAATCGCTTAGGAGAAAAGAAAGAGCTAACTGCTTTAAACAACTTTGTCAAGTTCAATAACATGGTTTGTGAAACATAATTCCTTCTGAGATAAGATATCACCTGTGTGGGGGGAATGGGGGGACTTGGTGCAGGAGTTACTTTTAAGCGTTGCTAGGTCTGAAATAAATATTAGTCATCTGGGGGAAAATGAATCTCTCCAATATATCCTTTTTGTATTGTTTAAATATTTATTGCTTCCTAAATAAAATGCTAATTAATAAATAATACTTTAATCATTAAGAATGTATGGGTTATTCTCTACATTCAACATAACTGTAAACACTAAAATACACCCAGGCTCACAGGTTGCAATCAGTGAGGTGCCAGGTTACACACATACAGCATGTTTGTAAAATGAAGGTGCTCCAATTGCTACCATAATCAAAATATCAAAATAAATTCCAAATAAAGATAAAACTGAAATGTAAAAAATAAAACTATCAAAGCACTAAAAAATATGAAAACCTGTCATAATAGTCTTGGGATTTAAAGGTCTTTCAAAGGATGACAGAAAAGACAGAAATTGTAAAAGAACCACAATTTTAAAAAAATTCTGAATAGCAATTGGAAAGATAAATCATATATAATGAAAACTTGGCAATGTAGTAAAATATTTGAGATAGGCATAGGGTAAATATTCCTTATGCCTCAAAATAAGCTCCTAAGAATCAATAGTAAAAAGATGAACACCCCAAAAGAAAAATAAGTAAAGGCTAGAAACAAGTTTCAAATGAAAAAGTGCAAATGAAGCTGTTCAACAGACAAACACTGGAAAGACTGAAAATTAATTTAGAGAAGGGGCCCTTTAGTGCCTTAGGGAATGGAAAATAAACTGGTGCCACATGATAACAAAGACCAAAATTTTGCATGTGCTTACCCTTTGATTCAGCAATTCCACTTTGCATTATCCATCTACAACAGGCACAGTTCTAACTATTTTACATACTCAGTTAATATTACAATAGCCCTATGATATAAGCCTACTATTATCCACATTTTACAGGTGAAGAACCTGAGGCCCTGATGACTGGCCCAAGGTCACATACCTGTTAGCTGGAAAAAAGTGGATTTGCACATAGCCATCTGGCCCTAGAAACTGCTGTGTTCTTAACCTCTACACTCTGCTGCTTCTTGGACAATGAAAAGGTGTACTAAATGCAGTCAGAAAAGAACTAAACAAATCTAGCACAACCACTCAACACAATGCTGTAAAGCATATGAAAATGCTGCAGATCTGTATACACTAGCTCAATAAACAACTGAAAAAACTGTGTAATAAAAAGAAATGTATAGTATTATCTCATTTTTGTAAAACTATATACAGGTATAACATGCAAAATAGTGGGCAAACGATTGGGCTCAAAAATCTCATTACTTTATTTAAATACTGAGTGGATAATTCCTATCAAATAAAATGTATAATCTCTTATAGACTGTTAACCAGAAAATCTGAGAAAACAGGATAAGCTTAGGATGCACAGTGTTAGAAAAATCAGACACAGTAAGAATAACAAATAAGTAAATAATTTGCTAGAGACCATAGCCACCTTATTACTGAAGAGATTCTACCTTTCTTCAGTTTATTTGATCAAGAAACAAAAACTGAGAGATTACATGACAAACTCAGGGCCTCAGAAAAATTGTCAGTTGCCTTGAGGCGGAAAAAATAAATTAAAAAGTATGTCTCTAGAAATGAATGAGGATCAACACAACTCTGAGTAAGAAAAGTAGAGCAGGGTCTAGAAAGGGGATCTCAGACAAAGAGAAACAAAACAGACTCAGATGTCCAGGGTACAAATGGAAGGAGAAATACGTATTAGAGGAACTAGACACTGCAAACGAGAGTTGGAAAATGGCTAGTGGAAGAACAGCAGCGTATCAGTCAGCAGGCAGGGGACAGAGGACATAATACAATTGAAGATGTGCCTTGACTTACAATGTGATTACATCCCAATAAACCCATTGCAAGTTGAAAATATCATAAATTCAAAATGCATTTAATACACCTAACCTAACAAACATCATAGCTTAGTTTAGCCTACCTTAAAAGTGCTAAGAACACTTCCATTAGCCTACAGTTTGGCTAGGCTTTTAATCATCTAACACAAAGACTATTTTATAGGAAAGTGTTGAATTTCTCATGTAATTTACTGAAAACGGAACTGAAAGTGAAAAACACAATGGTTGCATGAGTACTCAAAGTACTGTTTCTACTGAAAGCATATCACTTTTACATTATCATAAAGTTGAAAAATTGGAAGTTGAACCGTCTTAAGTTGGGGACTGTCTGTAAACCACTTTTCTGAAATGTTGAACAAGGAAGATAATCTTTTTTAAGCTTTTAAGATTCATTAATACAGAGGTGATACATGTTTTATTCCTTGATCTAGATTTATTATGCTCTTTTAATTTTATAAAAAATTAACTTTAAAAAAGCAACCTTAAATCCTGAATGAATTATTCTTAAAAAATCGCTGCAATTGGGTATACCTAATTACGAGAACTCAGGTCATGAACACACCTTTCTAGTGTTAAATAAGAGGGGTGAGCTAAAATAGGAGTACAATGGGGACAAGAGAGGAATTGAACTCATAGTCTAGAAATTTCAGCCAGGAAGTGACTTCGGAGGTTTATCATCTAATCAGGTCCCTTGTCTCTCTCTCTTTTTTTTTTTCAAAAGACTTATGCCCTGGCATTTAGGTCCCTTGTCTCTAAACAAAGTGAAAGCTACATGAACGAGACAGGCATTACCTACGCATGCTGAAAATTTTCAGAACTTGAATTTATAGGCTATCACATGAATCTCTTCCAACAGAAGAGAAATACACAGCCTTATAATCAGCAAAAATGACCATGGGAAAGCGCGCTGGAGAAAAATGTTTAAGAAGCTGATGGACATTCATAACATAGTTTTTCTTTTTATATTCAAGCAAAAAATAACTGTGCCCCATATAGTGTAGTCAATCTGTACCTGTGATAATATATTTGGTAAAGAAAAGAATAACAATGCAGTTTGTACATTCTGACTTTCCCCCTCCATCTTAGGGAAGAATATAGAGTTATTCTACCTGGCTAGATCCATGCAGCTATCAGTGAGGTTGGTAGAAGAATTGAAGTACTCTCTGCTGGCAGCCAAAACCAAGTCAATACTCTTTTCGTAGCTGACCCTGTAGTGGGGTTTCCCTTTATGGGCTATACCAGCTGGAGGATTTTCTGAACAAGCACTGCAGTGCATCATCTGTCCAGCCAGGTGGATGTTTTCAAGGCGACTAGAGCACAGAAGGCTTTCTGTAAATATCTGGAAAAAAGGAGAAACTGGAATTAGTTATAGAGAGGGAAGATTCAGTTCTCAGTGAAATGAAGGCTCTGAAATCCAAATGAAAGAAATTAAAAACACATCCACCCTAGAGGTGGTGGCTGCACAGCACTGTAAATGTACTAAATGACAATGAACTGTATACTTTGAAATGGTTAATTTTACATTATGTGACTTTCTCCTCAATTAAAAAAAGTCAATCTTTTAGAAAGAATAATTTCATTGACTAAACCAAAATTAAGCATAATATTTTAATTTATTACAATAAATACTTGGGTCAAGTATCCAAAGTTGATATTCATTAAAAACAGGATTACACATACTGTCCCACTCTCAACAGGGCCCATTTTGCTTAAAACTATTTTTAACCATTTCTGTTTTTTTCTTTTTCCTAATTTTAATTTTCATTTTTAATATGGGTTCTTGCTATGTTGTCCATAGGCTGGTCTCAAACTCTTGGGCTCAAGCAATCCTCTCACCTTGGCTTCCCAAAGTGTTGGGATTAAAGGCATGAGCCACTGCATGCAGCCCCATTTTAATTTCTTAAAAGAAAAATCTTTGAATACAATACATATAATTCATAACTGCTTGAAGCATCTGAATTCAGTCTTATGAACTAAATAGCCACTCCACAAATGCTATACTTACAACCAGTCATTAAAATTACAATATATTATAATGTAGAGTTTTTTAATAACATACATATTAAAAATTATTTAAATAAAACAAGAGACACTGAAGGTATTCATACAAATATCATTGTACTCTACTAGACAACTAACAACATCAATTAACATAAAATTACTTCTATAATTGAGATTTATATAAACAAAGCAATCCTTTTAAACGTACATTAACAATGTTACATATAATTAGTCTAAGAACTTCCCCAAAAATGCACTTCCCTGTCACTCTACGGTTGGATAAGGATAGCACAGAAATAAGAGATTTTTAAAAAGTAACATTTAATGGAGAAGCAAGAGTTTCAATATAATTAAGAAGACCATCCAATCTTCATAGGATGCTCTTATTTTCACTTCTTTGTGTCTAGGCTTCCTGCAGAAGGCATTTTTAGACAAGTCTTGGTAAGATATCTGATAAGGATAAAAACACTATATCTAAGAGGGATCCGCTATAAAATAGATACTGTGACAGAAAGCAAACTATTAAAGAGCAACCCTAATCACTTATATCTGACAGATAAAAATGGCTTACAATACGTCTAATCCAAATGACTTATATGTCATAGTTTCTCCATATTTCTCTGGTCTACTCAAGTAAGCTGTAAGGAGTCAATGTCCAATACTGAAAAATACATTCACCCTCAAACTTGGAACAGTTTGCTAAAATGAACAACATAGATTTCTGTTCTACAGGCTATATATAAATCTTTATCTAACATTTTCAAAATTATGCCACTGAACTTATTTTCCAAGGACAGCAAAATCTAACAACCAAGTCACTAAGACAACATAGTATATTTTAAATTATATTTAAATTTTAAGTTTGTCAAATCTATATTACTGTCTCCTACAGCCTTTTCAAAACTGTTATAATATGCTTTCAAATGTTTTCTCAACAAGGGAGACCCGTGGACAGAAGTCATTAAAATATCAAAGCCTAATAAAAACGTGTTAAAATATTTTTAAAATGTAATATAATAAGTTGTTTTGATGGATTACTCCACACAGAAACTAACTCAAATGTAATATACTTACTGCCAATTTTGCAATCAGAATCAGAAACAGGAATGTATCAAAATAATGTCACTCCAATGCACAAACACTACCTCAAACACACTAGTGACAGTTGGGTTTTAGATCTCATGTGCATACAAATTATGTTCTAATGAAGTTGGTTTCAGGTTTTGCTTTAGATGCAAAAGGGGAAGACAATGGCAGTTGTATGTGGTCAGAGACTGCAATCATCAATAAAAACATTAGTTATTCATGCATTTAAAAACTTGAAATTCAAATATAAAACCATTCATTTCTCAACAGTCTACATTAGCACACTTTTGTTAAAATCGCCCTGAATTCAAAAACTAAACAATTTCACAAAGCAGAGACCTATTTTTACAATTCTGATTTCATCAATGGGTTATGCTTTGTGGTATAAGAGCAAAGCGACACAAGAAATACTCTTTATGATTTTGTGTCTGGCTTATTTAACAAGAAAATTCTAATTAAAAAAACTTGTTTTAGACTGCATGTTATTAAAAATGAGTTAGGTCATTTTTTCCACACAAACGGAAATATATATATATTGGTAAACTGCCTTTGACTTGGAGATTTTACACACAGAAAATGGAAATATATATACTGATACTCTGCCTCTGACTTGGCAATTGGACACACGCGTGCACGCACACACCCACACACAGGTGTACATATCTATTCCAAATTAATGAGTAAATCCCCCTGGATTATACTCCCAGTCAACTGACAACTATTTCTTACGTATCCTTTATATTCCATATGTTATAATATGCACTAGGGGATATGAGAGTTCACATGATATAATAATGCCTGTCTAGGAGCTGAGGACCAAATGGAAGCAATGCACAAATAAACAAATAACTACATTTTAAAGAAAGACCATAGTAGAGGCAACTTATGAGGAAGGACAAAGATAATTAGTGAGCTGAGTTCTGAACTTTTATTAGGAGTTTTCTAAGTAAAGGAAAGAGGAATATATTCCAGGCCAAGGGAACAACGTGTGCAAAGTGAGGGAAACATGAAACAGCACGGTGGATGGAGGAAATGATGACAGGCTTGATGGTGCTACTGCAACATAGGGTACATGGTGGACAGTGACAAAAGTGGAAGAGGTGAGGGAGCTGGCATCTTCTATAGCTTTCTATGTCATGCTAAGGAGTAGAGCTACTTTTTGATTATTGATATGGAACAACAACAAATTTTTAGAAGGGGTGTGTCATGAAAAGATTTGTTTTAGAAAAATACTCTTTATCAGTGTAAACCAGAGAGTTGGAAGTAGGGAAACAAGTAGGGGGATTGCTGCAGTTCAGCAGAGATGAAGACAGGACAGATTTGAAGGTCTTTCTCAGATGCATTAGACAAGTGTTAGTGACCACCAAAACTATGGAAGTGAGAAAAGTCAAGTACGATTCACATTTTCTAGCTGATGATTAACCTACTAAACAGATAGTGTTGCAATGAAAAAAGACAAGGGAGACAGGAGGTTAAGGAATAAAGTGCTCAACCTATAAAGCACTAGTCAGTTATTAGCTATTATTAAATAATATTACTTCCAGGGTAGCTTATGGTCATCAATCTTGTATCCAATAAACCATAACAATTAAAATTGTTAAATTAAAAAAAAATCGTATATGGTTCTAGAGTTACCTCATAGCAGGCATCAGAATCTAGACATGTGTATACATTCTGCTGCATAGTTAACATGTCTTGCAGCAACGTTCTCCAATGAGACTCACTGACAGGAGGCTGCCTGGAAAAACACATAAAAAAGACAAGGAAGAGGGAAAGAAAACAATTAAAATCTCTTTCTTCAAATGATCTAAAGTTAAAAAAACAAAAACTGGTACCACCACTCTATATCCACATCAGCTCTCAAATGATCAAAAAGAATATATCTCCTTTAAATAGACAGGAAAACACTTGGATTAAAGATAGAGGGGAAAGTTGGGCAGCTATGCATCACTGCTAGAGATGGTGACAAAGTGGTCTGTCATAGCCTGAGCAGACACAGGCTGGAATGGAATTGAATGGTAATTACAGTAAAGGTAAAGAAGCTGTGAGTTTCTAAGGTAAAATGAACCACTGCAAGATAAAGCAGCTATGATATAGCTTGATGACAGAGGTTGGTTTCAAATTCCATCTTCATCACTCAGCAATCCCTGTCAAGGAGTCTTCTTGACTTCAACTGAACATTCACATCCATAGGACAACCGCAGGCCACATTTGCCATCAGTCTGGGGGACAAGAATCGCGGCTCACCAGCAGGGCAGCATCAGTTGCTTCTTACAGTGAGACTACTGGCAGCAGTCCACAAAGCAACTCACAGAGCACTCCAGGAGTTATCTTCTCAAGTGACCGCCCCAGTACAAGAAGCCAGAGCCTCAGAGAGTAGTCGCTGGCATTGCTGTGTCCGGCGTAGGAAGAAGCTTCATGTCCTAAAACAGTCAACATCTCTTGCAACACACTCAGGAAAGCCCAAAGCATAAAGCCCCTATCAGGTATTTCCAGTTCATTTACAGTTCCTCCAGGCCAGAGGCAATTTACCAATCAGGGATCTGTTTTATCTAAGTAGTGAGGCCTCTATAATCTGGTTGATTAAAAACCACTTTATATTGATTTACAGAGTTACAGAGCTAGGAAATTAATGGTCAGATTCTCCCATAGCAGGGGAAAGGGTTTTGTTCCCAAATTCACCCATAGTCACAAATTGGTTGTGTGATTGTGAGCAAGTCATTTAATATTCTTGACTTTCACTTTCCTCTCTGGAAGCTCACTTCAGTGATAAACAATAAATGAGATTAATTTTGACAAAACACAGGCATTGAAGCAAGATGCTCCTAAATATAAGAATAAGCTAAATTACCCATGGATTTGAATAAATTTTCTAATCTCTCTGAACTTTAGATTCCCTTTTTGTATAGCATAAAGATTAACTTATACTAAAATATATGAAAAGACCCCCCCCCCATTTTTCTGGTAAACATTCAACAAATGTGAATGAATGAATCTGAAATTACAAATACATCTTGTTTTTTTATTTTTTAAGTCACGTATATGATTCTAATATTGTTTCTAGTAGGAGAGACAATATACTGTAATTCTCTCTGCCTCTCTCCAAAGTTCATCTTAGTTAAATACACATGAGTTTGGAATCACCATTTATGTTTACTTTCTAGTCTTGACATTCTACATAATCATGAATATCATTATTCAAGAAGAGCAGGTTTTTGTTTTAAATTGGTCAAATACCAACTAGACGATGTTTCTTTTTCATGCATCTTTTTATTTTTTATCTTTTACAATGCCTTTAAAAATCATCACTATTTCCAAACACTATGCATTAAAAACAGGGCAGATAGATTGTATGTGTTTAATAGTTATTGCTATAGAGAAAGTATATATTTGGGATCATTACAGCAAAAAATATAGTCTTTAAAATTTTTTTCTCCTAAAATTTTTAATAAGCACATGCTTCATTTGCCTATGCATTTAATATTTATTATACAAAAGAACAATTACTCTTGTTCCACATGCAATTAGGCATAAGAGAACACTTTTTTTCTTCCAGCACACAAATACACAAAACAAACTGATATATTTCAAGTATTTCAGGACAATCCATATACTGTTTCCATTTGTTTGACCTGGGTACATTAACTCTTTAGCCTTCAAAAAACTGGAGGGCTCTTTCAGATTGCTTACAGGCAGAGAAGTAGCAGAATGTTTGCTGAAGTGAGTGTCCATCTTGCACACACTTGATAAAATCAGATCTAGGCACTGTCTAGCTGAATTCAATTTCTTACAGCCCAGCTGTTCTTCTGGAAGCCATCAACACTGGGGCAGATGGTACTAATGTTTTCTCGCACATGGCTAGCTGTAAGTACAGGTTCTAATAAAAATAAACTACTATGCATTACTTACAATGGCCTTTTTAAGAATATATTCAGTAAATAAGAATCAAGAGCAGAACTTGAAGAAACCAAGAGGTTTGCAAATTAACAGACAGATCCTGAACACGAATGTATTAGTTGCAGCTTTGGAATAGATGTGGATTTCCCAGGGAGAAATAGTAGTGTACTCAAGTTCGTAAAACTTGCATTTGTGAAGATTTGCTGACATCTGCCACCCTTTAGAATATGTATAAGAATATTCTATGGGTAGTGAAGGTCAAGCCATGGAAATACGCATAAAATAATTAAGATTAATTTCAGGTCAACTACTGTGAAAACAGGCATCACATTCTCTTACATATTCACAGTAAATAGATTACCATGAGTAGAAATTAACTTCAGGGACTCCGTAAGTATTTAGGGAACTAATTTGGGGGGTTGGGGGAGATGGGGTGGTAGGTAATCTAGCAGCAATTGCAATGCTTTCCTGCTGAAAAGTAGATTTTAGAGTAAAATCAGCATGATCTTGGAAATACTGGCCATCCATTTTAGCTATAAAGAAATCTTAAGGCATTTAAATAGTCAAAGCTATCTAAATTACCAGAGAGGGCCACTGATATGTAAGTTCCTAACTGAGGTGTATGGTGGCTATAACACTTGCACTGGAGAAATTATGATCTAGAAGGGAACTTAAGGCACATGTGTTAATGACTGTAGTATAGTTGCAGTGTAACACCGTATAGCTGCAAGAGACAGTCAGAGAGGTAGATACAAAACGCTTAGGAATTTCTAGGAAGGAGAATTCAATTAAGCTTGGAGGAGTCAAACAAGGTTTCCTGGAAGATGTGTTGGAGCCAGCTCTTAAAAGATAGGAAGGAATATACAATAGTGTGTTTTTACTGCTGGATTTTATTTTTACTTTGATAGTTGGGTTAAACTGAATCTCTAAATCCTAAAATTTAGGTAAACAAAATATGTTTTAAAAGTTCTTGAAAAGTTGCCCTTGCTTAATTCTACTCCTTCAGGATTAGTGCTTGGGGTGGCTTTTTTTCCCAGCCTTCTTTACATTTTTACGTAGTCTCCCTACAGATCTGGAATTTAACTGTCCCATACACACATGGGGATCACTCTCAAATCCATAACTCCAGTTCGGACTTCTCTGCTGATCTTCATGTCCACCTTCATAGCAGCATCTCCACCTACTGTCCGGCAAGCACCTCCAAGTCATAGTTACCCTTTATTTTATGCATAAACTAAATGACTACTAGGTCAAAAAGTTGTTAGTTTCTTTATTGACCATTTGGATATCATCTAACTGAAATGTCTTTCAACTCTGTTGCCAATTTTTCTTTTCTTTTTTTAAATATATATTGGATGTACTATGTTGCCAATTTTTCTACAGAGTAATCTGTTAGTTCTCTCATGGCCTTCATAGCCTTTATAAATATTCTCTTCATATTAATTGAGTGTGTCCCCCTCTGGACCAGGGAGGTACGACATCTTTTTCTTTGTAAGCCAGACATCAAGCATAATACTGACACAAAGTATGTCAAAATCCATAATAAAATATTCATTAAATAATGTAAATAACAATTCGTAAATAAATGCACAATTATAAAGTATTAATTTTTTTTTTTTCTGAAGGAGTCGCCCAGGCTGGAGAGCAGTGGTGCAATCTCAGCTCATTGCAAGCTCTGCCTCCCGGGTTCACGCCATTCTCCTGCCTCAGCCTCCCAAGTAGCTGGGACTATAGGCACCTGCTACCATGCCTGGCTAATTTTTTGTATTTTTAGTAGAGACAAGGTTTCACCATGTTAGCCAGAATGGTCTCCATCTCCTGACCTTGTGATCCGCCCGCCTCGGCCTCCCAAAGTGCTGGGATTACAGGCGTAATGAATGTATGAATATTAATTGTTCAGTTTTCCTGTCTCTATTGTAACTGGCTCTAAATGAACTTCCAAAGAACTTAGCAAAATTTCTAATTTCATTAGATGTTCTACTTTAAATGATGACAATATAGAAAGAGACAAAATGAAACAAAGTTTTTCCAGATTTTTAAAATCTGTCATTATCTTTTCACTCACTTATTCTCACTTATTCCTTTGAAATGAGTAGCTAAAAATTATCAGTGTTTTAAGCAACACATATTAAAAAATGAATAAGTCATTCATCTGGAAATTATTTTTTTTTTTAAGACAGTGTCTTACTCTGTTGCCCAGGCTGGAGTGCAGTGGCAAGATCTCGGCTCAATGCAACCTCCACTTCCTGGGCTCAAGCGATTCTCCAGCCTCAGCCTCCCTAGTAGCTGGGACTACAAGCCTAAGCAACCACACCCAGCTAATATTTGTTTGTTTTTTGTAAAAACAGGGTTTTGCCATGTTGCCTGGGCTGGTCTTGAACTGCTAAACTCAAAGCGGTCTGCCCGCCTCCGCCTCCCAAAGTGCTGGGATTACAGGCATGAGCCACTGTGCCTGGCCCATTCACCAAATCTTTATTAAGCAACACAGTAAATATTTTCTGAGCATCAACTATGTACCTGTCATAATGTTTTTATCAAAGATTCTATACTTGTGCAACTCTCAAATGAATATATACATTTGCTGGAATTTTTATGGGGAATGCAGGAAAAAAACAGATGAGTGAGAAGAATTGACACCTTTCCACTATTGATTCTTCCAATCTATAAACATGAGGTATTCCTCCATTTCTTCAGATCTTTAATGGATCTCAACAATGTTTCATAATTTTCATATATATACTTTTGCATATCTCATGTTAGATTTATTCTTAGGTATTTAATGTTTTGATACTATTATAAAGTTTTCCACTTCATTAGTCCTGCACATCTCATGTTAGATTTATTCTTAGGTATTTAATGTGTTGATACCCTTATAATGTTTTCCACTTCACTAGTCATGTAAGAAATGCATATTAAAAAAAAAAAGAAATGCATATTTTAAAAAGACAATGAAATGCTACTATATACCCATCTAAATGGTTAAAATGGGAGAAAAGAAAATCAGTATCAGGTATTTGTGACATAGAGGAGTGACATAACTCTTACACATTGCTGACAGAAATATACACAGTACAACCATTTTGAAAAACTGTTTGGCAGAATCTTCTAAAGTTGAACTCAGGTACATCCTATGACTCAGCAGTTCCACTCCTAGGTAGATATTCAAGTGAAGGACAGAAATATGTACACCAGAAGACAGATAAGTACAAATGTATTCATAGCAGTAGTATTAATTACAGGAGAAACTAAGAAACAATTCAAATGTCCATCAACAGAGAATGTATAAATAATGAGTTACGTTCACAAAATGGAATACTTCCCAACATTGAGAATGAACAAACTAATGTTATACCAACAATACAGAGGAATCTCACAAACATAACGTCGAGAGAAAGAAGCTACATACAAATGTATATACTATATAATTCCATTTATATAAAGTAAAAAAAAGAGGCAAAGTTAATCTATAGTGTTTTAGTGTTTTGAAGGGGGGTAACTTATAGCACAAACAATCCATATATATATACACTCAGTTCTCACTGCTGTGAGCTTTTTATACACATGGATAGCATCCTACTTTAGCAACCAGACTTCTGTCTGAGGACTTCCACTGCCAAATGGCATCCTTAGTTATGCTGGAAGTGTAAGGGAGTTAACACTCGTCAGACAGGCTCTCAAACAATGATAGCCACGAGAGGGTAGATGAGTAGTTCTCCAACTCCCAGATGACCCCAGCAATACTGAGCCCTAGTCCACAGTGGAAAACCAGCTTATGTAATACAACCAGTATTGGCTCCCTTTTCTTTCCTTTATCAGTTTCCCATTCTCCTACTGATGTGAGGCTAGAATTACCTTCCAAACAAACAACTTACACTCTAATCTTAGCCTCAGGGAAGCCCATATTGACAGAAGAATAATGCACTATTTCTTCATTTAATTGCTGGCTACATGGGTATGGTATGATCATTTTATAAAAATGTATGAAGCAGTAAACATCTTTTTTATAAAAAAGAGTTGATGGTATACTGTGGAGTTAGAACCAGAACCCAAGTCATCTGATTCCCGAGTCAAGATAATTTCCTAATATGACTTCCTTACAGGAATTTAGAAGACATGAAAAGACATGGATCAAGGGGGAACTTCCAAAGGGATGTTCACATTCAGAAAAGATTAAGCAAAAGGAAATGAATTAAATCTCCAGGCTAAAACAAGTAAAAATATGCAAAAATACTGGACATCAGGCAATGAAAGACAGTGATCCCTGAGAGATAAAAACAAGTCTTTTTTGTTGTTGTTGTTTGAGACAAGGTCTCACTCTGTCACCCAGACTGGAGTGCAGTGGCACGATCATGGCTCACTGCTGAGATGACTCTTAAGACTACCCCAGTTTACTGTCTTGAGAAAGATTCCAGGCCACAGCACAAGAAAGGATCAATCTAAGCAGAGACTTCTGGAGTCCCTGCATTGAGAAGACAGAACTGAAATTCCAGAGAAACCAAAGCAGATAAAGCACATGCAGGATGAAGCACCAGGGAAGACATAGCAGAACTGGAAGAAATTCCCAAGATCTACGAAGGGTCCCCACGAATATTCAGACAAGTAGAAGCCATAAACGCCTACAATAAAACTGCCTGAGGCTAGGAAAAGAAAAGGGGAAAAAGAAAACATGTCAAGCTCACACATGCTGGAAAACCTCAAGACACACAGGCATTAAGCAGAGTCTTAGCTCAGTTATGGGGAATAATTAGCCCTAGAAGGAGCTCTTCCTCCATCCCAACTGCAAAAAGCAAAAAGATTAAACTGTTTGCAAGTAAATTAACCATGTCCCAGAAAAAAGTACAAGAATATTTATGCTAAGTGAAATAAATCAGACATAGAAAAATATTGCATGTTTTCACTTACATGTAAAATTTTTAAAAATCAAGTATAAAGAAATAGACACCAAAACAGTGGTTACTATAAAGGGTTGGAGGGGACAAATAAGGAGATGCAGATTAGAGGATACAAAGTAGCAGATATGTACATGAACAAGCCTAGAGGTCTACTGTACACCATGAGAACTATACGTAATAAAATTGTCCTGTATATGGGATCACGCTAAAAGAGTAGATTTTAGCTGCTCCTGCCACACAAACAAAATAAAATAGATAACTATGTGAGATGATGAATGTTAATTTGTTTCACCATAGTAACCTTTTTACTATTTATATGTATCCCATCACTTGGTGTTGTATACTTTAAATATATAAAATAAGACTTAATTTTTTAAAAAAGAAAATTTATAAAAATACAAAAATATGATAGCATACAAGAAGGAAAAATTCATAATGTCTAGTATTCAATAAAATTATTTTGCGGCCAGGCGTGGTGGCTCATGCCTGTAATCCCAGCACTTTGGAAGGCCGAGGCAGGTGGATCACCAGGTCAGGAGTTTGAGACCAGTCTGACCAACATGGTGAAACCCCGTCTCTACTAAGAATACAAAAATTAGCTGGGCATGCAGCGTGCCTGTAATCCTAGCTACTCGGGAGGCTGAGACAGGAGAATCACTTGAACCCTGGAGGTGGGGGTTGCAGTGAGCCGAGATCGCACCACTGCACTCTAGCCTGGGCGACAGAGCAAGATTCCATCTCAAAAAAAAAAAATTATTTTGCATTGAAAGACATGAAAAATATGACAGATAATGAAGAAAAAATTATTCAAAACCTATCCAGATATTAGATGGGTATCACAGATGTTAGAAATATGCTTTTAAAAAGAAGAAATGTTAGAAAAAGCAAACGATGGTGTTAGAAAAACAGACAAGAGTGGTTTAAAATGTATTATCACTGTTTAACATACGTTCAAAAAGTTAATGAGGCATGAAAGTTTAATAAAAACCAAAATTGAACTCTTAGAGATTAAAAAAAAAACTCTTAATGAAAAATATAATGAATGTACAAATTGATGAGACATGAGAGAAAAAAAGATTTAGTGGACTTTAAAAAACAGCGATAGAAATTATCCAAAATGAAACAAAAATACCGAAGAATATTAAAAACAAATAAACAAGTAACACAGTATTGATGAGCCATGAGGCAACCTGAAAGGTCCTAATAGATGTATAATTGGAGTCCTGAAAGGAGAGGAGCAGAAGATAAAGGAGAAGAAATACGCAAAAATTTTCCAAGTTGGATGGAAACTATAAACCCAAAGACCCAAGATCCAAGATCCAAGATGCTTTATAAAGAAAACTACACCATGAAATTAAATTTGAAACTGATGTCAAAAAGAGACATTCACAATAGCAATTTAAAAAATATGAGAAACACATCAGAAATAGATTAACTCTGACAGCAGATTTCTCTGTGGAAAAAAATGCATGCTAGGAGACAGTGGAGCAATTTCTGTACCGTAGCATACTAAAAAAAAAAAAAAACTGTCACATTGGAAGTGAATATATCCTTATATACCAAGTGAATATATCCTTCAGAGAAAAATGTGAAATAAAGACTTTTTTAAACAAACAAAGATGTACAAATGAATCACTGGCATCCTAGCACTACCAAAAAAAAAATTAAAAGAAGCCTTCCAGACAAAAAGAAAATGCAACCAGATGGAAACATAAGTCTACATAAACAATAAAAAGTGCCAGAAATGGTAACTACATGCATAAACATGCAACACATTTTTCACATTATTTACATCACTTTAAAAAATAGTTTACTGCTTGCAAATAATAATACAATGCAAAGTGGGGTTTTTAACATACATAAAAGTAAATTATATGACAACAAAAAAAAAAGCTTGGAGAGGAGAAAGTATCTTGCTAGAAACTCACATTGTAGAGGTAAAGAAACACTATCACAGGAAGATCTACCTTCCTGTGATAGTGTAATCTTTTATATAGGAAATCCCATGAAGTCTGCAAAGAAAAACTATTAGAGCTAATAAGTAAGCCCAGAAAAGGTAGAGGACATAAGACCAATAAACTGAAGAATCAACTGTATTTCTACGCATTAGGAAGGAACAATCTGAAGATGAAATTAAGAAAGAAATTCCCTTTACAATAGGACCAAACAAGAATAAAATACTTAAGAATAATTTAACAAAATAAATGCAAGAATAGTACACTGAAAACTACAAGATTATTTAAAGAAATTAAAGAAGAACTAAGTAAACGGAAAGACATCAGTGTTCATGGATTGGAAGACTTAATATTGATTTAGGATAGCAACACTCTCCAAATTGACCTACAGATTTGATGCAATCCTTATCAAAATTCCAAATGAAGAAATTGGTAAGCTTATTCTAAAATGCATATGGAACTGCAAAGGCCCTATAATAAACAAAACAACTTTGGGGGAAAAAAAACAAAGCTGGGAGACTAATGTTACCTAATTTCAATATTTAATAGAAATCTGCATAATTAACACAGCATGGTATGGGAAGAAAGATAAATAAATGGATCAATGGAACAAAATAATCAAAAACTAGGCCCCCATTTACACAGACAACAGATTTCAAGAAAACTGCAAAGGTAATTCAGTAGAGAAAGGATGGCTTTTTTAACAAATGGTGAGGAATAATTAGATACAAAAAGTTTTTTGACCCATACTTTGAACAATAAACAAAAATGGATTCTTAGAATGGTTCATGGGTCTAAATGTAAAATGTAAAACCAAAACTTTGTTAACAAAGGGGGGAGAAAAACATTGTGGCAAAGCAATAAAAAAGTACAAATTGATTAAAAGGCAAATTTTTAAAAAGCATACTCTTCAAAACACAAAGGTAAAATAATGAAAAGACAGGGCACAAATGGGAGAAAATCTTCGCAAAGCATATATCTAATAAAAGGACTTATATCTAGAATATATAAGAAAACTCCCAAAACTCAATAAAAAGAAAAATTACTCAGTTTTAAAGACAGGTAAAGAAAACATACAGATAGCAAATAAGCACTGACCACACCAAATGTTGATGAGGATATAGAAGAGCAATCAATGTAGGATGCAGCAACTGTAACTCTCCTACAAGAGTGGTAGGAAAGTAAAACAGTACAAATCCTTTAAAAAACAGTTTGGCAGTTTTTGAAAGTTAACTATTCACTTACCAAATGATCCTGCCATTTCATCCTTAGGTATTTGTCTGAGAGAAATGAAAGCGTATGTCTACACAAACACTTGCATATGAAAAGTCGTAGCAACTTTATTTGTAAAAGCCAAAACTCAAAATAACCCAAATGTCCACGGACAGAGAAGTGGTAAACAGGCTGTGAAAAATCCATACAATGAAATACCATTCCGCAAACAAAAAGAAATAAACTACTGATTCATGACACAACATGGATGAATCACAAAATAATTATACTGAGTGAAAGCCAAACAAACACACAAACAAAAAAGTTACACTGTGTGACTGATTTCTATAAAATTCTAGGAAATGCAAAGTAATATACAGAAGTAAAGAAAATAGATTAGTGGTAGCCCTGATGAGGAGAAGGGAGCACGATAAAGAAAAGCAAGAGAGAAAGGATTCTAAAGGAGTAATCAAAAAACTTTCAGGGGTACTGGATGTGTTTATTATCTTAATCATAATGATGGTTTCCCATGGCTATACACACATATCAAAACTTATCAAATTATACTTACACTTTAAATATGTGCAGTTTATTATTAGTTATAACACAATGAGGTTGTCAGAAAAAGAGAAATACTTTTAAAAATATTTAAAATTAATTGACCCAAGTATCAATTAATTTTATTACTCACTTCCGGCCAGTGTGCCTCGTCAATCTAACCATCAGCTTGCGTGCCTCTTCTGAGCTAGATTGAGTGTTTTTAACAAATGAAATTGGTTTCTCGAGTCCATGTTTTTCCAAAAGCTCTGACACACTATAAGTGAAAAAAGAATTATTTAATGTCTTGCTACCAAACAAAAAGAGTCTAAGAATCTTAGGCATAGAGGTAGCCCTTCAGTGTTTAGTATTAAAAAAAAATTATCCCATAGTGTAATCCAATTTTACATATAACGTTGATTCTCAGCAAAAAAGAAAAAAAATCGAATAATTAAACAAATCTTACCTTTCTCATTGACTTTTATTAGAATGTAGTTGGGCTAAGTAGCATACTAAAAGAAAGCATAACCTATCTTTATCTCAAAAATCTTTTTGCTACAGCACCTGTCAGTAAAATAAGCCAAATCTATACTTTCAGTACAGTTTTAACTCTTATTAATCCTATTGAGTATTCTGTTATAGGCTGTTATAGGCAAGACTACTAGAAAAGCAATAAACCAAGAATGTTAGAGTTAGACGACTGGAAATCATCAGGCTCATTCTCTGTCAAGAATCCATTTTATAAATATACAAGATATGTCAAAAATTCTCTCTGTCTCATAAGAATCTTCTTGAGATATCCCATTCCATAATCATCAACATCATATAAATACTTGATCTGACTCACAAAATCTCACATTTATGAACTGACTACTACAGGACTGAATAGAGTTACTGGATCGAATCCAGTAACTCTTCAGAATATAGGTTTCATCAGTAAAGTCGCCTGGCATTATGTATACTAAAACATTTATCAAGTGTCTGGGGCTATCAGGTGGAACAGGATACAAAGCTCTTAGTTTGAAAGCACAGTAAATTAAGCTAAATAGTGAAACCTAAACATCATCCAGAAACCTGTAGGGTGTTAAGTGTTTCCTTGAGGTACTGATGGCATATTAAAACTACCAGGACCACCCATGGTTACAACCAGACATGTGATGAAATAAATTACGTTTATTTCACTGTATCTCTTTGAGCTATCTCTTCTCAATTTTACTAGAGAAATAAAGGTAACTATGCAGATTTGTAGAGAATGAATTTACATTGACTCAACCCAACAAACCTTAGTCAAACTAAACTGAATGTGTTAGGAAGGTAGTGGGGATGGCAGGCACAAGCCAACCTATAATAGGAAAAGCTGATTTTGTAAACATTTTTCAAGAAATACAACTGTATAACTTTCAGAACACAGAATAACAGGAATCAAGCTAGGTAATAATAAACACAGGTCTTCAGGAAACTGAAGAGTTAATTCTCTATTAAACTCACATATTACGGTGCACAAAAACATTCTGTTCCCTTAAAGGCAACTTGAAATATTTTTACACTAAAGTCCATTAATTTGAATACGATTTCTAATCAGTGGACTCCAAATTATCATACATACTACTATTAGTAAAGTAATGTTATTAGCTATAAATTTCTACAATTATATATTGGAAGACCACAGTTTATTATTCTTAAAATTTTACTTTTAATACAATACTTAAAGTTAAATGTGCATATTTATATAAACATAAAAATAAATATTAGTAAAAATATCAGACTTTCTACATGGGAAATTAAGATGATTTCAATCTCCAGAAGAGATAGTTTAACATTTTATTACAACAGTAGAGAATATTCCTCCAGTGTTGCATGAGGGTTCTAATGCAGTTTGACATAATACAAATAGTCAATTCAATGTATTATGCCCTAAAAAGGGAAGTTAGCGTAATAAACATTGTCTGCTGATAAAGATGCAATAATTGCTGCAGGAACTAACATTTCTTATGTGCCTACTATGTAGGAGGCACTTTAAATGCTTAATCTAATATTGATTCCACAATTTTGTGAGTTAGATATTATACATAAGAAAACCCTAGGCCCAAAGATCACACGACTAGTAAGTGGCAAGGCCTAAATTTGAACGTAGGTTTTCAAAGACCATGTTATTATTCTATTACTCCACTACAATAGGGGTGCAGTGTATTTGTTGTTGAGAAAATTCACTCCCAAGACAATCAAACAAAAATGAGGTTAAAGTAGAAACGATGACTCACAGGCAGACTTAATGTGACATTTCTTGGACAAATTCCCTTAATAAGCATGGAGAAAAAAAAAAACTGTCATTTTTCTCACCTGAGAATTTGTTCCAGTTGGTCTACCATGTCATGAAGCTTTGTGGTTGCCTCTGTCTTATCACTAATAAATTAAAAGAAGAAAAAAAAAAGCCCTTAAGTTTAGTATTAGCTTTTTAAATAAAATACAAAACTTAATGAAGTGAAAAAAAGATGTTTCTTTTATATGTAATGTATAACAATATTATCTAAATTCATTCAGCATTATTAATGATTCAAGAGAATTATATAAGAAATGCTAGAGTAGAACAATATTCTCTGTTACAGATTAGTCAGATATGAACAACTATTTTCTAGGGTACTTTTGGTTCAGTTGTGCTTAAAGGTAAAAAAATATATAAATCGATTGTTTATTTAAGATGAGGTAAAAGGTAAAATCACTCTTTACTACTGTTCTTTTAAACCAATAAAACAGATTAAGAAGAAGCATAGCCATGTTGGCTTTCTCCTAGGCCTATCTACACAACTTAGGACCCCTCCTCTCCAGGAAGTTTCCATTAGGATTCCATATACTCAGAAAAGTTCTTCCACATAATCATCCCTTGTGCTTTAAGGGAAGGAAATCCCATCCACTTCAACGTTAAGGAATCAGTGAGAAGTATATCCATCACATAGATAATCCCTAGTAGGGAGTGAAGGTGAAAAGCAAATGCTTTCTGAGGAAGCCAGTAAGCAGGGACTAGGAGAAACACCGTCATGAAAAAGATCACAAACTAATAAAAATGTGCCTGGTAGGGAAGATTAAGTATGGCACAACATATGTGCAAGTGAATACAGGGATATGGTGAAAAAGATTATAACTGCTATAAAAGTCCTCTTTCATCCTAGACAACTCTGTGTCCCAAACACTCTCAACTGAGAAACACTGCTGCTGCCACTCTCAGGTGCCTTCTGTGCAATGCTCCACCTAAACTCCAGCAAGATCTTATGGTTTTATTTATTTTTTATTTTTTTTTCAGTACAATTTCCATTGTATTTTTCTCCAGAGAATAATCTGTCTGCATTATTTAAGGACTTAGCTCCTTACATGGGCTTTGGTGGGGGTTGTGGGGCAGCACCCGCAGGTCAAAATTGGCGTGGGGGTGTTCGGTCCTTGCAGGCTTCATGATATCAATTCCTGACTATTTTGCTGTGAATTGCACAACCCACACAGTAACGTAGCTTCACATACAGCTTGGGAAGCACATAGGTTTCAAAGACGCTCGCTTCAGAAATGTTCCTGACTGCTGTGGCCTCCACTATGTTTCAAATGACGAATTTCTTAATGCCCTTGTACTCGGGCACACATTGGGCACAGTTCATGCAGTGAACAGGCTGCATGTGGCTGTGGCCCTTTTTGGCATGACCGTTGTTCCTTCTTTTCTTTGTCATCTTGGAGGCCCGCACCAGAGAAAAGAATGACTTTATTAACAATAAGCCCAAACAAAAAATCTTTGCCTGGACTTGGAAAATTAAAAATGTCCTGCTTTGGACAAAAAACCCTCATTATTTTTAAAACTATCTATCTGCCTGGTCTAAATGTATTTAACAATTAATCAGTGCAACTTACAAAGATTACACTATCTGTTTAAACTAAGTTTCAGGCTTTGGACAGGAGTGATGAGTGGGATATAGTCTACTTAAAGTCCTTCAGAAAATTATTCATCAGAGCTAACTTCCCTTAACATACTCAGTCAGCCGTGTGTGTGTGTGTGTGTTTGTGTATGTTTTTTTGTTTGTTTGTTTTGTTTTGTTTGGTTTGGTTTTGTTTGAGACAGGGTTTTGCTCTGTCACCTAGGCTGGAATGCAGTGGCAGGATCATGGCTCACTGCAACCTCTGTGTCCTGGGCTCAAGCGATCCTCCTGGCTCAGCCTTCCAAGTAGCTAGAACTAAAGCTGTACGCTACCAAACCCAGCTAATTTTTAAATTTTTTTGTAGAGATGGGGTCTTCCTATGTTCCCCAGACTGGTCTCAACTGATTCTCCCGCCTTGGCCTTCCAAAGTGCTGGGATTACAGGCATGAGTAACTGCACCTGGCCTTATTCAGCAATATTTTTGAAATTATCATTTTACAGCTCTATTATAATCATTTATCATAGATATTAGAGATACAATATTCTTCCTTTGTGAGCTGACATTCACGAACACAATGAGTAAAGTTTTTTTAGCCAGATTAAATAATCTGCCTAGGTAAGATGCACAAAAATTTAATTAGATTAAATGAGTGATTGCTCATTTCTCAAATAGCAAATGGATGTATTCATAGTTTACCACTTGATAAATAACAACTACCACTAAAAATAAACAAATAATCACTGAGAGAATATAAATTGACAAACTTGGCATGAAGAACAAAGAGAACCACAGAAAATATTTTGAGCCCTATATTTTAATACAAGGCTAATTTGTAATTATAATTTACTTAGAAAATTAGAAACATGAAATGCAATCATTAAGAAATAAATGGAGTAACAAGAAAATATCAAGTCATTTTTTGTGTTTACATTAAAAAATGTTACATCAGAAATCATTAATCTGAAGCCAAGAAAAGCTTTTGGCTATGTATACATGAGAGGCATTTCTTAGCCTATACATTCTTCAAAAACAAATATGGTAATCCCCTAACTGTAACATCTACATAAAAAAAGTTTTTAATATCATCAGCCTATTGATACTATGACAATCTCCTCGAAGTAGACAAATTACTATTTAATAATTAATAGATAAGCTCTGATTGATATTTATGCTATTTGACCTTAGTGGAAAACAAAGCCTAATATATTTACTTTTAAGAGTTATGCACACGAGTTGGAAGTCAGTGATTTTGCCTGGTCGACTTAGGAACAAGAAATGAGATATGAAGCTGACAGAGGAATCATAAGGTTCCCACAGAGCCCAGCAAGGAAGAAACTCCCTGCCACTCCAGCTCTCGGAGGAACCAGGGGCTTCTGCATCTCTTGTCACCCTCCAGGGAAAAGCAATTTGACTACTGCCACACTGATAGCCTTTGGGTTGAGGTTTTTAAATGATGGGAACAACAGTTTGCTACAAAAATCTATTAAGACTATCTAGTTTACCTGCCTTTGGCTGCCTATGGAAGGCCTACAGTTCTCAGAGACACACTTGCTACACTCTGCTGCTCTCTACTAGGGATGTGAGGTAGCCTGTGTTCAGGTACAGGTCTGAATAACAAACAGATGCTGAGTCCACTCTGATTTACCTTTCCCTACATGAAGAAGGAAGGAAGAAAAAAGAGGAGTACAAATAAACTTATCAAGGAAAAAATATAAGAACATACCCTAAAGGTCTGAAGGTTATGAATTTCCAGAATGGATTAGACCATTCAGTGAACACCACAATGAATTTACATATGAAACAGAAACACAAAAAATGAAGATATTGAAATCTTCTTTAAAAAAAATCCATATTTAAATAGGGATTATTCAGAATGCCATTGAACTTCTCAACAATACTAGAAAGAAAAGACAAGAGTCATACCTTCAAAATTCACAAGATAAGGATTCTAAGTCTATGATTCCATGTACAATTAAACCTTCTACCAAGTAAAAGTGTGCAATTGTGGCATTTTCCTAATATGTGACAGTCTTTTAAAAAATACCTCCCAGGCAATCTTTGACAGGAAGCTATTTGACAGTATGCTCCACCAAAATGAGGAAAAAGTGAAGAAAGAAGAAAGGAAAACCAAGAAATGCAATATGCAACACGAGAGAGAGGCAAACGAAGTCCCGGGATAATAGATGGACAACAGACACAGAGAACAATTCATTCATACCAATTCCAAGAAGGATGTTTCAAAAGGAAGAGAGCGAGAAAAGAAGAGACAGAGAAAAAAAAAAACATGAAAGGAATAGAGAGATCATTAAATAGTTTTCACGACTGCAAGTAGTTCATGAGGGTGATGGAAAAAAAGAAAACAACAGAAAAGGAAATTATTCAATCCAGGAAAAACAGAGAGTTGTATTAAAAGGAAAATAAATCACACCTAGTTCCGCAGTATAAACAATATTTACGTAATCATAATGATGAAAACACTGGAGAATGGTAGGAGAAGTGGATATGGGAGAAGGGAAAGGACTTCCATAAAAGGAAGTCAAAAATGATCTAAAATTGCAAAATCAAAAAATAACAACACGAGCATAACATTTTAAAGGAGGTAGGCAAAGACAAGGAAAAACCTACCAGTGAAAGTATTTGCTTTTTGAAGATAGGAATCCAAGGATGGGAAAAGTGGGCAGCAAACAGCTGCTTATCAGCTGATATTACTAATACCAGTCTTAGAATTCCCTGACTTTATGTTCATACATTATTTATATTTAAAAATCAGAGGAAGATCATGTCCCTTTAGGCTCCTTTATTTTAGAAAAGTGCCTCCCCACGGCCCCACATTTTGTCTTCCTAAATGACACTAACTGTTTAAAGTAAAAAGACCAGTTAATGCATAGAATATCCCACATTCAGTAGTTGTCTTACTGCTTTCTTCATGGTGTTATTTACCTTGTCTCTCTATTTCCCGTATTAACTGCAAATTAGAAGTTCAACCTAAAAGACTGATTAGACTCAGGGTAAACAACTTTAGCAAAAATATTTCTTAAGGGATGCTGTAAGACCAGGTACTTCATATTGGATCACATCAGGAGGCACGTAAGGTCAGGCTGTCTGACTGTAAGTTATGCCACCCTTCACGACTTGGTTAAGATCATGGCAGTTAGAGCCCAACTTTGAAACTTAAAAAAAAAAAGTCACTAGGGTAATACTTTGGTATCATGCAAATAACCTTTTATCATCAATCTTTCACCTGATTTCAGTACCACTAATGACTGCATGAATAACTCTTTCATGGTAGATTGCAAAATTGGTGACTGCTATCATTTGCTTCATAAGAAATAAAAATTTCCTTTAGTCAGATATGAGCCCCCCCTCCCAAAATAAAAAGAAGAAATAAAAATGTCCTTAAAAGAAAAAGGAAAAGAGAGAAAAGAGGGAGAAGATAAAAAGAGAGCAAAGAGAAAGAGAAAACAGAGAATGAGGCTTTCTTGTCTAAATATCTGATTTTGTAAATCAGGAAACTAATGACCAAAGAAGTAAAGTGACTTGGTTAAAAGTCATAAAAGTTTAAAACAGGTCTGCTGGTATTCACCACTCTTTCATGTGTTGTTATTTATGTCTCCAGATGTGAAATTTATCATATGTGCTAAATTTAATAGAGGGATTAGATTGCTACCTGACTTCCAAAGAAAACATACAAATTTGACTTGCATACAACTAAATAATCCAAAAGCATATTATATACGTTTCCATTTAAACATAAAAGCAGTTAAAAATTAGGTACATTCACTACTTAAAAGAAGTACTATAGGCAAAGGCCAAGAAGAAATAATTCATAGAATAAATATAATTAGCCAATAAATATGAAAAATGCTTCATTAAAAACACAATTACTACCTACTGACTTATAAAAAGTAGTTTTTGTGGAGATCGTGGTGGTATTTTTGTTTTTCAATAGGAAATTATCATGTTTGACAAAATTCAGAATTTAATTATAATTACAGTTGAACAAAATATAGAACTTCCCATATATTGGTAGGACAAGAAATGTTTATCCTAGGCAATAGGATTGCAGATAATTTTATTTTCTTCCTTATGTTTTTTTCACATTCCCAAAATTCTCTAAGGTAAGCATTTGGGGAAGCAACGTTTTTGTTTTAACTGTTAGAATAAAAAAACACAATAAGACTGGCATACTGTGTATTCTTACCCATATCCTCTTTCTGGCAGACATTCTAGTAGGTCATAGCAAAGACAGAGTTGATCATTTCGTTCACAGGTATAGATGCACTCTAGTGCTATTGCCATCAGTTGGTCCTGATCAGGAATAATTTTTTGCTGCAGCTACAGAAAATAAAGTATGTTGTACTAAATGTCAACAGATTTATAGTCAATTTTTCCATATCCCAATACTACTGTCAACAGAATATTAAATAGCACAATTAATCAACTATAGAAACAAGTCTTGATTTTTCTTTATAGATTTCTGGGGTCTTTAATAATTCTAACTGAAATCACATTTTAATTACAGATCAACTATAAAAGATAATTTGTAACCCCATAAGCTATGTATCAGCTGAAAACAGATTCTTCAATTTATGACCCAGTCAATATAGAAAAAAGAAACACTGTGAATTAAAAAGGCAATTCATTAAGAACATTTCTAACCCTGAAGCCAAATTCTATGTGTTTCAGTTACAAAGTTATATAAAATTCCTTAACTAATATTCAAAGATGTTACAACCTATTACTTTTCAGTAGGCATTATATATTACTCATTTAACTACAGAGTGCTGACATTCTATTCAAAAGAAATCCAACTGTAATAGATCAATACACAAATCACAGAACACATTCCATATTTCTGATGAAGAAAGATGGCTACTTAGGGTGACTTTCTGTATAGAACAAAGCATTTCCCATGGCAAACCACAGATTCCCATTCTTGGAGTATTTTCCAGGATATGAAAATAACCAATTGATTTTTTTCTCATCTATAAAGCATGAATATTAACAATACCTTTCTAAGAAGACTATTTCAAGGATTAAATTAATAAATATAGAATGAAAAATAAATACAGCAAAAAATCATTTGCATGCTTATATTATTAGCACCACAGCAACCAAAATGAAAGTAATTTTCTTAGAGCTCTTTTGAACAATAAAATAAATCTAAGATAATTTCCATGATAATAGTCTACTGGTTTTCAATGTTTTAGTAGAAACTCATCAGTAAACACAAAAGAGATAGGAAAGTGATGGAGAGAAGCTACCAAACAAGGGCATTTTCTCAGTAGAAAAATCACATCAATGGACGTAAAAAAGAAACTTTCAAGGTTACCAGGAAAACAAAGTTTTCCAAAGCTGTTGAATTAAAGGATTTATATACATTTCTTCAAGGTAGAGTTGGCCCTCCATACCTGTGGGCTCCACTTCCCTGGATTCAACCAGCCATGTATCCAAAATATCTGGGGGAAAAAGTGTCTGTACTGAACATGTACAGACCATTTTTTCTTGTCATTATTCCCTAAACAATATAGTATAAAAACTATTTACATAACATTTACATTGTATTAGGTATTATATGTAATCTACAGAAGATTTAAAGTATACAAGAGGATGTGCAAAGGTTATCACAAATACTACACCATTGTGTATCAGGGACTTGAGCATCCATGGATTTTGGTAGCCTGGCGGCAGGAGGGCTTAAGAGGGGTACTAAAGCAATCCCCCCCAGATACTGAGGGATGAACGTATTCATCTGAAAAATGTCATCTGACAAAGAGTTAACCAAGGTTGCAAAGTGACTAACTGGTAAAATAGGAACAAGCTGACAGTAATAAAAATAAGTACTGTTGAAAATTAATAAAAACAGCTACCTTTTCCTGATTTATTTTTCCTTCCTTCGTGTGTGTGTGTGTGTGTGTGTGTGTGTGTGTGTGTCTATACACTTTTTTTTTTTTTCCAGATACAAGGTCTCACTATGTTGCTCAGGCTGGTCTCAAACCCCTGGCCTCAAGTGATCCTCCTGCCTCGACTTCCCAAAGTGCTGGGATTACAGGCATGAGCCACCACACACAGCCCTCTGATTTCTTATTGTGTGCCAGGTACCATTTCTAAGTGTTTTGTGTGCACTAATTCATAAATCGTCATAACAATCCTATAAAATTACTACTAGTACTATTCTCATTATACACAAATGAAAAACAAATACCCTAAGAGGTCAAATAATTTGCCTGAACCCACAGAGCTAATAAGTGGTAAAGCCAGGATTCAAACCAGGCAATTGGCTCCAGAGCCTAAACTAAGCAAGACAGGCTCTCATAATCCTGCATTCAGGAAGAATGAAAGAAATTGAGAGAAGATATGGCAATAAAACACTCATATATGGTAAGAAAACATCCCTGGAAGATAAAAACACTGAAACCAATTTCAGTCAAGGAACAATTTGGGAAACCATTTGAAATAAAAGCCAAAGTCCTTGATGTCTTACTTGTTCTCCCCACTTCCTATCTTTCCCTCTGTGAGACATTAAATAATCACTTTTTTTTTTAATTTTTTTTTTTTTATTTTGAGACAGAGTCTCGCTGTGTCGCCCAGGCTCAAGTGCAGTGGTGCAATCTCGGCTCACAGCAACCTCCACCTCCCAGGTCCAAGCGATTCTCCTGCCTCGGCGTCCTGAGTAGCTGGGATTACAGGTGCCCACAATCACATCTGGCTAATTTTTGTATTTTCAGTAGAGATGGACTTTCACCATGTTGGCCAGGCTGGTTTCCAACTCTTGACCTAAGGTGATTCACCCACCTCAGGCTCCCAAAATGCTGGGATTACAGGCATGAGCCACTGCGCCCGGCCCTAAAGAACCACTTTTACATTCAATGTCCTTGAGTCCATATTTGACCACATATGTTCAAACTTTACGTTGAGAATCCTTTAACAGTCCTTCAATATGAAAGGTAAAGAATAAATCTTTTGCCTTCCACTTAAACACCTCTATGGCCTGCTCCCATGAACCACTTACCCTTCTACATAAAGTTTTATTTCACTCAAATTAAATTACTTGCATTTACCTAAACATGATATTAACCAGATTATGTCTCCTTGTTTTAGTCTACTCCTACCTGGAATGTCTTCTCAAGAAGACATGTCTTGCCATGTCTAAAACCTACCCAATAATCCAGTGTTATCTCCGTTTGACTTTGACTTAAATTCAGCTTTCCCAGATGTCTACAGTCCTGGAGTATGCTCAACAGTTGCTAGTCCAGTGAATAAGTCCTTATACTACTCTCATACATAAGATACCCTTCTCTCTCTGTATTCCTATGGCACATTTCTTTTCTCTTCTTATGCCATTCTGCATATCTTTTAAAATATAATCTATCATGTACATGAAACATACTGTTCAAATTTATAAGACATTTTTCAATCTTTCCCTGTTAGAATCCCTATAAGATGCCTAACTTCATATAGTCTAAGACACACTTTTTTTTCATTATTCCTTCCCTATTATCTCAGTTGTCACTTTTATACTGTCATTTGCCCTTTCTCAAGCTAAAAGAGGACAGCCCATCTGGGACTTCCTAAGAAGTCAATGAAATGAGTCTTCCACACCATAGGCCGCAGATCATCACCCATACTGCATAGCAAGGTAAAATGCAAAAGAATAATAATTTCTAAAAACTCTTAAAATTATGCACTATATACAACTAGAAAAGAACACAGATGATAAGATAGGATACCTGGAATATCCCAAAGAATCAAGCAATCAAATCAGTGAAGTAGCAGAATACAAAACTAACATATAAATAGCTTTTATATACACAAACATTAAATAGTTAGAGGAAATGAAGGTAGATAGTATAAACAGAGAAAACTTAAAACTTAGGAATAAATTTAACAAAAAATGTGCAAAACATCTAAGAGGAATATTTTCAAGCAATTCTAAAAGAGATTTAAGAATACATAAACTAATAGAACAACATCCGCTATTATTGGATAAGATGACTGAACATTATACAAATATTGGTCTCCCTAAGTTAATGTACAAATTCAATGCAATCACAATAAAATACCAATAAGCAATTTTATGAAAGTAGACAAACTGTTACTAAAGTTCAGATAGAAAAACAAATATACAATAACATGTAAAAAAAAAAAACAAAACAAAAAAACATGAGGAAAAAAACCCACAGAGGAATACTACCTCCTCAGACATTAAAACACACTAAAATCTCTATAATTAAAATCATGAAGTACTAGTGCATGGACAGACAGACCAGTAGAATATAGAAACTCTAGAATTAAACCCATGTACAGATGGAAATTTAGGTATATGACAAAGGTGGCATTTCAAATCACTAGGGTAATGGTAAACTTTTTAATAAATGATGCTGGAACAACTGCGTGGTCATTTGGGAAAATAAAATCAGATCCATGTCTCACAATACAAAAGAATAAACTCCAAATAAATTGGGAAGAGAAAAATAAAACCATGCAAGTACTAGAAGAAAACGTGAGAGAATTCTTCCTTAACTCTGAGTATGAAAAGGCTTTCCAACTATTACTCAAAATACAGAGGCAGTAAAAGATCGAACAATTTGACTACACAAAAATTAAAAAGTGAAAACATTGTATGACACAATAAACAAAGTCAAAAGACAACTGACCAACTGGGAGAAATATTAATATATGCCACAGAGAAAGGGTTAGTTACACGAATATGTAAGAATTCCTAAAAATTAAGGTACAAAGGAACAAAAACCCTATCGAAGAATGGAGTAAGGACAGGAATAAATTCACAAGAGAGGTAATGCCTATCTAACATATCGGAAAATGTTAAAACTCTTAATTAGAAAAGCACAAATTGAAACAACACTGAAATACCATTTCTCACCTATCACATTGGCACAAATTTTAAAATATGACAACAAATTCTGTTGGCAAAATTGTGGAGAAACGGGCATACTCCTACTTGGCTGGTGGGAATGTAAATTAGAACAGTCCTACTAAAGAAAAATTTGGCTACATCAAGACAACTCTTGCCTTTTTAAACCCAGCAGTCTCCTTCCAGGAATATATGCTGAAAATACACCAATAATATAAAAATACATGTGGACAAGGTTATTCATTGAAGCACTGCTTGTAATTGCAAAAATATTGGGAATGGCATGTATCCCAACACATGGAAAGCTAGTGAGACTAAGTAAGTTTTTAAAATTTTATTAGATTTAGATTTATATCCATATGTGGCTAGTGACTACCATTTTGAATAGCATAGCTTGAGAGGTACTTTTCACTTCCTGAGGACCATAGACCAAGAGAAAGTGCACAGAAAATTGCAGCCAAAAGTTTAAGGGGTTAAGTATGCCCTCCGCAAACATATCTTGCTGGGACAGGAGTCCAGGACCTGCCAAGGAGAGGGGCCTAGTAATCACCCAATACTTCTGATACTTTCTGGAGGACTACACCCTAGGAATAGGGGAGAACTGGAAATAGGAGAGTCTTTTTGAAACTTGAAACCGCTCAATCCCTGATCAGATGACAGTGACTTCACTACTCAGAGAATAAAATGGCAAAGAGAGTGGAGATTATTTGCCACACGGGTAACTAGCAAAGGATAATTTCCATATCACAGTACTGCAAATTAAACCACAAGGAGATGTTGCTACGTACACAGCAGAATGAGCAAAATTTTAAAAAAGACCCTCAATGGCAATTACACAGGTGTTCTCTTTAGAAAAATGTCTAGCCTTATACATTATTTGTAGTTTTCTGTATTTATGCCATATTATTTTTCTATGCTGCCATAATAAATTACCACGAACTTGGTGACCTAACACAAATTTATCCTCTTACAGTTCTGTAGGTCAGAAACCAAAATGGACCTGACTGAGCTAAAATTCAGTTGTCAGCAAATAAATGTGTTCCTTCTGATGTTCTAGGAGAGAACCCACTTCCTTACCTTTTCCAGCTTCTAGAGGGTGCCCACACTACTTGTCTCAAGGCCCCTTTCTCTATCTTCAAAGACAGCAACAATCTGACAATTCTATAGCATCCTGACCACAGCCAGAAAGATCTGCTACCTTTAAGGACTGGACACACCTGGATAATTCAGGATAGCTTTGCCATCTAAAAGTCCTTAGTTTAATCAAACCTGCAAAGCCCCTTTTGCCAGGTAAGGTAACATCTTCATAGGTTCAGGAATTAGGACATGGACACTTTGGGAGGCCATTATTCTACCTACCACATGTGCTATACTTCAGAATAAAAATATAATAAAGTAATACGCATACTTGACTATTCAAAGTCTGGTTAAGATTATCCTCATCCAACACCTGAACAATTCAGATCCTCTGGTCATTTTAACTCTGATGCTAAAACTACCTTCTTACTATTGTTCACCTTGCTTTTAATACTTCCCATACTTTTTCATTATTATTAATTTATACACTGAATGCTTTATATTTTTCTCATATTTACTGTTTCCTAAGTATGATTATTTTTTCCCCACTCTTTATCATTCCCTCTTATATCTCACTACTTTCTTTTTGTATATAATTTCCTTCTTCATGAAGTACATCCTTGAATAATTCTTTCAGGATGGGTCTGTAAATGATAAACTCTCTGTTTTCACTTATCTTTAAAAAGTCTTTTTTACATTCACATTTGAATGATAGTGTCTCTAAGTAAAATATCCTGGGTTAGAAATGCAGTATACTATGTGGCTTAAAGATTTTGAAGTCATACTACTTAGGCTTAAATCCCTAATGCATCAGTAAATAAGAAACATATAATGTGAGCAAGCTAATTAACTACTCTGCTTTCTCTGAATCTATAAAATGCGAACAATGATAGCTATATAGTCATAAAAATTAAATGAGTTAATACATGTGAAATGTTTAAAACATAACTACCAAAGAAAAAGCATTAAGTAGCCAGGCGTGGTGGCTCATGCCTGTATTGCTAGTGCTTTGGGAGGCTGAGCTGGGAGGACTGCTTGAGGCCAGAAGTTCCAGAGACCAGCCTGGGCAACGTAGCAAGACACCATCCCTACAAAAAGTTATTTTAAAAGCATCAAGTAAATCCTGGCTATCATTAACTATTAGGTTGACTTAAATATCAAGGTTAATTTTCCTTGACATTTAACACATATATATTATTTCATTGTCTGCTGGTATCCATTGTTCTTAAGAAGTCTGCTTTCAGATTTACGGTTTTCCTTTGACTGTAACTTTTGTTTAATCCTAGGCCATTTTTAAGATTCTCTCTGTGCCCGTGGTATCCTTAAGTTCCATTAGAGTACATCTAAATATAGGCTGAACTGTATTTCACTTATCCTCCTCAAGATCTGAATGCACCTCGTATCTTTCATTGATTTTAGGAAAGTCCCACATTGAATACTGTCTGCTTATTGTCATCTCTAGTCTCTCTTCCTGGAATGCTTATTACTCTCATGACAGACCTGCTCTCTCTATCCTCAATGTCTTTTAACCCCATATATTTTTCATTTCTTCACCTTCATGTGTAACAATCCAGAAAATTTCTTAGATTATCTTCAAGATTTCAATTCTTTAATTGTAGCCAAAATTCTTTTGAATCCATCCATTTAATGTTTTGCTTTTATTATTACAGTTTCAAATCTAGAAGTTCTATGTGCTCTTTTTCAAATCTTACTCTTTTTTTCACAATTTCTCCTTCCTATCTCATGTCTTTATTTCTTTCCTCATATCCTAAATATTTAAAATATTCATTTTATAGCCTGCATCTGATCATCTATTACCAGAGGGGAAGTGGAGCAAGGCCTGCCACGGAGTTTTGCTCAAAGTTTAGTTTCCTTTTGTGTTTTATAAAGTTGGATTGTAAACTTATCCTCATCAAAGCTTTATCTATAAGAATCTTGTACAATCTAGATTAAAGTGAGTCCTTCAGAGAGGTTTTGCTTTTGCTGCTACCAAGCAAACTAGGTATCACCAGCCCATGTCCAGTTTTATCACAGGTCACAGAGGCGTATTAATTGAAAGCACAAATTCATGTTAGGCAAGCCTGTTGTTTGACTGCTCAGAAAGAAACTCCCTGCCCCCACATTCCCCACTCCCCTAGAATCCAGAATACATACCCAGGGAGTCATGCTCCTCTGCTACCTTCATGTGCCAATGATAAGCAGTTTCCTATTCTACATTATTGACAATGCATCTTTTAAAGAGCCATGGCATTATATAGAAGTCTTATTTCTTCTTTTTCTTTTATTTTCTGCATGACAAAGAATCTTTAATTTTAAATGAGTATCAGTATACCAAGTAATAACATGTAGAAAGTTTGTGAATTCTATCATCTGGTGATTTTGATTAAGAGAAACTAAATGTAGCCCAAACAATTCCCAAGTGTTCATTATTCTAACCGTTAGCAAGAATAAACTACTTTAAGGCTTGCTGCAACTTCTCACAGGTTCAAGTAACTATTTAATACTTTTTCATAAAGCCCATGACCTTCAAGAAAGTGTTAGGGCAAAAAAAAAATTATTTCATCCCTTTTTTTCTTCAAAGAAGTGGATTTCTTCTTACCAGATCTAAGAAAGAAAAAGTCAACACTGATACATGTGTATTTGACTAAAAGGCATAGGAAAACAGACAACAAGTGCTCATTAAATTTCTAAGAAATATGAGGGAAAAAGATAAAATCTTTGCATAAGTTCTAAGTCTGTACAAAGAAGCTAGATTTGCTACTCTCAAAAAATTAAAACACCTACTGTATAATATACAGAAATAATTTAATGCCTTTTCACAAGACCATAACTTGAGCTTTGCTAAAGCTTCATATTCCATGCGGGCATCTAAAATGCCAGTCCATGAAACAGGTGCTCCTTTCTTCTGGAAGTTTCCATGGATTTCTAGCCAATATAGCAAAGGTTGTCCAAGACTTCATCCCAGTTCTGCTAGAAGTAGGTCTGGAAGATGGGCATCTTCTCGTGGGTCTCCTGCAGTTCCGTGGGATCCCAGTGCTGCAGCTTCCAAGGCCTTGAACACGTTCTCCCTCTGCGGATGGTACTGTTCAATTTCAGCCTGAGCTAAGGCACTGGCCTGCTTCCTCCTCCTGTTCTTTTGCTTGGTACCCCTCCTCGGTGGATGGCTTCTCAGCCTACAGCAGCTGCTGGGGCCAACCGACTGGCCATGGCTGTGGTGACTCTGAAGCCGAGGCAAGCGCCCTAAATCGGCTCCAGGGTCAGCTGACCAGGTCACTCATGATCTACCAGAAGTCTGACTTCTGACTCATCATTTTAAAGACTTCACCTTCTATCTCAAGATAGGTATTAAAATTCACTCCCCTACAGGTTTCAAGACCACAATCCCCATCCCAAGTAGCCACTCCCTCCTTCTCATGAGTATTTCTCTAACTTCTACCCCTCTCTTCACTTTTGCCTGGTAGAAATTTCCCTTGTTCTCCTAAAAGTTCAACCACGCAGGTAAGCAGATTTTTTAAAATTAACATTTTAATGAGTACTTCTAAATATTTTAGTGGTAAGATTTTTAGAATTTCTAGTCAATGATATTGCCAGCTACAAAAATTTATATTCATCTTTATATTTTTTGAGTTTTCTAAATATTCTACAGTAAGCATTAAATTAGAAAAGGTCATGTTCAAACTAAAATTGCTCACTGACATATGTAATCAGAAGTGAAGAAAAAAGATGGCACCTAACAAAGCTATGATACCTAGTAAAGTCCTATTTGTTAAAAGAAGAGTGGACATTTAAAGCAGTTGTTCCCGGTTTTCCATCAAAATCACCGAATAAATTGTCAAACGCATACTCCAGGATGCTTCTGCTAATTTCTAATCCATTATATCTGGATTGAGCATAGAAAATGCTAAGAAAAAATGCACATGGTTCTGAGGCACAGATACACTCAAAGATTACTAGTTTAGAAGTCAGAGAACAATATGAGAAGGCGGAAGCTTTTGTCCCCCAGTTACCCCTATCTAGGACTAGCCCAAGTTTCTTCCCAAGTTTCACTTTCCAAGGAGGAATCCAAGCAAAGAACAATGGCTTAAAATCAGAAAGGAGTGCTTTAAGATACTATTTTTAAAAAGAGGAAGGTTTGAGGCATAAGAGATGGTTTCAAAGACAAATGTGGCAGTCAAGTGTAATGGTAGCACTAGTATAAGTCTAAAGATCCATTTCTTTATCATTATGACTCTGGTCAACTTCATTATCATTCCCAAGTATTTGCTCCTCTCTTCCTCTGAGAGGATTATTCTTCCCTGCCCCATTAACATCAAGCTTGCCCATGAGACGTTCTTTGACCTGTGAAATGTGAAGAAGTAACCTAAGCCACATTTGGACTGAAGTTTTGTGAGCCACTGTGTGGTTCTACTTTGTTCTCTTCCCTATGCCACAAGAGAGAAAAGGGGACTGTTCTTTCTTCCTGAGTCCCCAAATGAATAAGACATGGGACACAGCAGAGGCCAACCACAGCTGACGTTTGACACTTGTGAGAAATAAATGTTCGCAGTCGTAAGCTACTAAGATATAGATGTCACTTGTTAATGTAGCATAACTTAGTCTATCCTGTCTGATACAGAAATAACTGCACCTATTACATTACTAAAAATACTTTGTGCATGATTCATGGAAGCTCTGAGGTGCATTCTTTTTGTAAATAATCAAGTAAAACACAAACAAGGCTGCCTGCACAATTTTAATAAAGCAAACAAATGTAATCAAGTGATATAAAGCATCATAATAAAATCCAGTGTGAAATTTTTAAGAATCACAATAGAAGTCACTGTGTCAAACCCTGGCAAATGGAGCTGGGGAGAGCCATGAAGGGGGGGCTCTTACACATCATTTGCCTGATAACAGGTAACTATCACAAAAAAATTTTCCAAACCACCGTTGACTACACGAATCACACAAGGACAGCTAATTACTTCTACATAAACGCTTGCCTGTTTCAAAAACTATCCCAAGCCCAATCCAAAACTACAAGAGCCTAACCGTAACTCCAAGATTACAAAGCCCTATCTTACTGCAACTGACACTTACCAGTCAGACTCACCAGCTCTTGTAAGGCACTGCCAGCGCCAATAAGATTGCTTTTCAAAACAACTTGCGTAACCTCCTCTTTCCCCAATAAACCCTAACCCATTCCTTTATTCTCCACACATACTGGAAGCCACTTTGCTCTGTATGTATGTCTTGAATTGCAGTCCTACTTCTTGAATATTGTTCCCAAATAAAATCTTTTCATTTAGAGATTTGTCTTGCTACATTTTTTATATTGACACCAGTTTCAATCATTCATTTATTTATTCACTTGCCCTGCCAAAATTTGCTGACATTTGCTCTCTACTAGGCACTGTGCAATTCCCTGGTAATAAGGAGATAAATAAGATCTAGAAGATATATACAGAAAGCAAAGGGGGAGAGAGAGAAATATGTAAGCAAATAAATACAGCACAGTATGATAAGAGCTATAATAGAGACAGAGTACAAAGACAGAGAAGTCACAGAAGGTTTCATAGCAGAGAGAATCTTAGCAGGACCTTGAAGGATAGGCAGGTATTTGTTAAGTGAAGAAAACGGGATCACTACTCCAAACAAAGGAAACAGTCTGTAACACACGGAGGGCCATGAGTGAAACAGACAGCGGAGGAGTTAAGTTCCATGTGAGTATCCTAGTGCATGCATGGAGAGAAATAAAGCTAAAGCAGACAGGAAGCAGACAGCAAAGAACCTTCCAAGCCACTCTAGAGAATCCAACATTTACCTGTCAGCAACGGTCAGTCACTGAAAACTTTCCGCAGATCATGACATGATCACATATATGTTGCAGGAAGACAACACTGAGAGAAATACAGAAGCTGGGTTGGAAAGGAAGAGCCCAACAACATCACTGTTCTCTGTTTTGAGATTCACATGTTTCAACAAAGGCAAATGGCTGTATGTTTTGTTCAAAAGGCACACGCTAAATTGCCAAGTAAAAACAACAAAAAGCTGACTATATACAAAGGATTTACGGAAGTATAACACACAAGATTACTGGAAAGAATTTAAAGTCACTTCTTTCTTCCTCATAAAACATTCATATTCAATCCATCTTGCTTCTCACAAAGTATTCTGCTGCCACAAGCAACCCACCCTGACCTCACCACCCCAAACTTAAAATCAGATTACTAAGAGCAAACTGCTTATGAGAAGACAGAAAATTTTAAAAAGCCAATGAACAGATATATTTCTGAAAGACCACCCTTTTAGAAACCAAAACATAGATTAGCTAAGCAATGTTTTCCTTTCTATTTTGATTATACTGGTCCATGACCATGTATCTTACCAGACACTACTAATGAAGGCCGGTGCAATGAAATAGTCCCAGCCAGAATTTAGAATTGGAATGAGCCCTACATGGGGCTTCCACTTGAACCCCAATCTAATGTTTTGAACCTCACTACAAAGTCAGCGCCTTCTGTGGCTCTGCCAACTTGCTTGCATACCCTCCAATGGAAAGGGAGACACTATCTCTTGAAACAGTATATTTGATCTATGGCTAAATTTTTAGGTTTCTGATATTGCCAAAGTACCCTACACTTAACAAAATGACTATACTACCAGGAAATATGAGCAATCATTTGTACCCTTTAGAAATACAAAGCTATACATATAGTAATTGTAAGCAAATATAAGAATTATTAAGAATAATTACAAAATATCGGCCGTGCGCAGTGGCTCACGCCTGTAATCCCAGCACTTTAGGAGGCCGAGGCAGGCGGATCACCTGAGGTCAGGAGTTTGAGACCAGCCTGGCCAACATGGTGAAACCCTGCCTCTACTAAAAATACAAAAATTTGCCAGGCATGGTGGCACATGCCTGTAATCCCAGCTACTCGGAAGGCTGAGGCAGGAGAATTGCTTGAGCCCGGAAGACGGAGGTTGCAGTGAGCCAAGATCATGCCACTGCACTCCAGCCTGGCCGAAAGAGCGAGACTCTGTCTCAAAAAAAGAAAAAAAAGAATAATTACAAGATGTCTTATGAGAACTTAAGAATTTGCATAAATACTGTGAAGGTCCTCGAGGGCAGAAACCTCTTTTCCTGTTTGTGGTAGGAGAAAGTGTACTGGTTAAGGACACAGTTGTGGAATTAGAATACTATGTTTTAATCCTGGTTTCTCTACTTACTGTGCAACCCTGGGCAATTACCCTATTCACTTTATATCACAATTTTCATTTCTTGTAATATTAACATAATAAAAGTATCTATGCCATAGGATTGTTATAAGGATTAAATGAGGTAACACTGGGAAAGTCATGTATAGAAGAATTCAATACTTGCCAATTATTAGTCTTCTTGGTATTGCCAGCTTCTTAAATATAGTAGATGGCAAACAAACTTTGGAATGAAATAAATCAAAATAAACATAATTTTACAACCTTTTGACTATGCTGTTAAAACTTTTTAAACAATAAAATGACAATCATTTGTTTTTCTGTTTAAAGGGAAATTATCTGCAAAGCCTACCATAAAAATTGTATAAATAAAACCTAATACTGTAGGGGAAAAAGTGCCCAGAATTTTAAGAAGTTAGTTTCTACTTACATCTGGTTTGGAATGCTGAAATATCTTCAGGGGAAATTTTAAGTCCCCTTTAGCTAAAGTTACTAAATATTCTTTTAATAGCTCATTAGCCACACCAGGCGACTGTTTCTCACAACGATGAAGAAAGGGAACCATCCACTGGTAGGCACTTGTCACATATTTATCCTCAGAACACTGAAAGTACAATCAAGCAAAACAGACAAACAAGAATGAAGTTAAACTAAATGCCTTATTATATCAGACAGCGAGTTCTAAAGCTTACAGGTCCTCAGACTGATGTTAAACAGTGCAAACCCAACACTCTAAAACACACAGTCCAGTTCACCACTCACATGTGGATTGACAGGTAGCAGGAAAATGAATCACCTGCTACTGGGGCTAGTAGAGCTGACAGCAACAATATCACTATGGCTCATCTCTTTACATCATAAGCAATATGGGGTCCCAAGGAGCCTAAGCTCAGCTCTAGAAAACCAACATGCTGCTACTACAACTCAGTCATGAGGTCATCCAGAGCAAAGAGAAGGCATACGCAAAAACAGAGAGAGAGAGAGAGAGAGAGAGTATAAAAAGAGGCAGAGACACACAGAAAAGGAGACCTTAGACCAACAAAGAGTGAATAAAAAAAGTAGAAAGACAGAGATACACAAATAAGCACAGGTTCTAAAATAGGGGCCTCTAGAAAATAGGGTTTCATCTATAAAAGTCAGGAATCTCTCCCTTCTTTTTCCTCTTCCTCTTTGTTTTGCCCCTTTACAACCACCTTTACAAAATTCCAAATGACAGAGATAGTTTTACTCATTATCCCTAAAATTACACAATCGTTTCTCTTAATTATCCCCCAAAAGATACACCTAAAGCTATTAAGAGGAGTCAACATATAACACAAATTAATTTTAATTAGGTAGATTATCAGGAAAAGAAACTAATGAGATAACGGGAAAGTAAAGACAGAGGGAGAGACAAAAGGAAGATAAGCCAGGAGAGGTGGCTCACGCCTATCATCCCAGCACTTTGGGAGGCCTAGGCAGGTAGATCGCCTGAGGTCAGGAGTTCAAGACCAGTGCCTGGCCAACATGGTGAAACCCTATCTCTATTAAAAATGCAAAAATTAGCCTGGTGTGGTGGCAGGCGCCTGTAATCCCAGCTACTCGGGAGGCTGAGGCAGGAGAATCGCTTGAACCCAGGAGATGGAGGTTACAGTGAGCCAAGATCACGTCACTGCACTCCAGCCTGGGCCACAGAGTGAGACTCCATCTGAAAAAAAGAAAAAAAAAAAAAAAAGGAAGATAAATATAAGATGGGGGAAAATGTGGAAGGGAAGGAGAGAAAAAGAGTCCAGGGAGGAAAAAGAACCTATCATGCAGTTGTGACTCTGCCCCTTCTTCTGGACCATTCAACCTAAGCTGCCAACAAGCAAAAGACTAGAAAGAGCGTTGGCAGCTACCACCTCCACAGCACCATCCTTCTTGCCTGTTGACTCAGTGGCCGGAGTACAAATAAGGTTCTAATTTTGGGGAGAAAGCACAGAATGATCTAAGAATTACTGGGAAAATTCTCTTAAACATACTAACCCTGAAGCCAAGATGTTTTCTTCAAACAACCACCCGGTCCTCTTAACCCTGATACTTTTTTCCAGTCCTTGAAATACATAAGTAATTGGGAAGTTTAACAAAGTGAAAGGTTAAATACAGGATTACTAGAATCACTAGCTAGTTTAGAAAAACACCTAACTAGAACGGAAAAAAAAAGTTATACAGATGGGTCTGAGTAAAGGGCAAGCAAGGTATAAACACAACCAAAATAGTTTTATATGTGTTTAGTAAGTTATGCATAATATTTTACTGTGAAAAAAGTCAATCTTTATTTACTAACTTCTCAGGTCTGTAGAACATTTCATCTTTGGTTTGAGACACATATGTATCAAAGTGCATAGAAAATGCTTTAAAATATTTAAAAAGGAAGTTAAAATAAAACCTACACTATTCATCAGTAATCTTAGTTTTTCAATGTCTTTCATCTGCTGGAGTTCTTTCAGGGTTAGAGTTACATCACACCTGGCTTCATAAACCAATGTTTCCAGAGTAACCAAATTGTCACAGAGAACCAGCAAACCAGGAATATTCCGCTCCATCCCAAGTCGAATAAGTGACAATGCACAGTCCACCTAAAATTGAAAAGCAACAATAAGTTCCTGAGTATTATATATTTCTCATCTATTCTAAAGTAAAAGTCTCCAGTACAGAATCTAATTCTTATAATCATTTTTTATAAAATTGCATTACCAGTAACATACGTTTTTTATTTACTGCAAAAACATCAGAGTCCTTTATCAAATACATCAGCATCAAACTGTTTCAAAGGAATCAAACAATCAGCAAGAAATACGGAAGAGAAAGACAACCAACCTATTATAAATTTGTAGAGCGTTACAGTTCACAATGCAGCTTTACATATTTCTTTTAATTCTTACAACATTATATTTACATAATAAGAGAAAAAACACATACCTACTAATGATAATGTCAAAATAACCTTATTTTTACTATTACCACTCTGCTTCCAAAAAGAATGTTTGTTTTGAAGGTTTTACTTTTATATTCCTGTATAGTATCTATCCTTTCACACTGCCTTTCCATATAAAAGTCATTCAATAAATATTTGCTGAATAACTATGTTACAAACACTTTCTTGGTCTCAGTTCAAATATTTAGCCTTCAAAAGACAAAAACACAGACTGATATTCCTGAAGATGCTCAGGAAACAGCCATTTGACCCCTATTTCCTGGTCAAGTTTATGAACTGATACATTCTCCGAGTGATAGAGAAATGATCTAGTGTAGTCTAAAGCCATTCTCTCTCACACTACTTCTTACTCTCCTATTCCCAATTATTCATGAGGACCTACTAGAAGCTAAGCACCATTCACCATTTGTGTTAGAAATACAAAACTGAGTAAGATGAGGTCTCTTCCTTCAAAGATCTCTCAGCCTTGTAAGAAAAGACAACCACAATGACTGAAGCAGAGTGCAGTGAGTGCTGTGTATGATGCGGATCCCACAGAAGACAGTACTTAGCCAGCCTGAGAGGGTCCCAGAGGAGGGAACACTTAGCATGGACTCTAAAGAATCAAAGGGTATTTGTGAGGTGAGGAAGGAAGATTATGGGAAGGAGAGCAGCATGGAATGCAGAGATGCATGGTGAGTTGTGAAAGTACAATTCCACGTGACTGAAAAGAAGGTGTGAGGGGCAGCAATGAGAAAGACGGCTAGAGTAGGAGGGACGGGCCGGATCATGAATGCTGTGTGTCAAGCTAAGGAACACGCAGCTGATCAGGAAGGCAGAGGATTTCTGAATGAGACATGTCACAAATAGAGCTACACTTTGGAAGGAATACTAAGTATTTACTGACTGATGAATGAAATGTACATGATGAACTGGAAATGGACTGGAGTGAAAATAGGCAGGCTGGTCAGAAGAATTACAGTTACCAGTATTAGAGAAATTCTGACAGAAACACACTGATTCGCCATTCATTGACTGATTAGTTCACACACTTATTCACAGACAGTAAATACTTGTTGCATATTTCTAATATACTGGGCAAAAATAATAAGGGGCTAAACTATGACAGTATTCCTGAAGACATACAAGAAAAAGAATATAACAGATAATTAAGCAGACAGAATTTGTGAAATTTGGTCAGAGCAGATGAGAAATTTGAGTAAAGAGGAGTCTAGAATGATTTCTCATCTAATCCACAGCAGAAATTCATATTCATACATATATATGTGTGTGTGTGTGTGTGTGTGTGTAGAAGAATACATTTATTAAAAGTAAAAATTGTGTGTGTGTATGAGTGTGTGTGTGTGTGTCTGTGTTAGAGGCAAGGTCTTCCTATACTGCCCAGGTTGGAGTGGAGTGGGTTATTCACAAGTGCAGTCATAGCACATTACAGCCTTGAACTCCTGGGCTCTAGTGATCTTCCCACCTCCGCAACAGAGCAGGTGGGACTAAAGGCGCATGCCACCATGCCATGCCTGGCTTTTAATTCTATATTGACCATGTTGCTTGTGAGGTGCCCATATCTTGATACAGATGCCCAATAGTAGGTCCAAGAAGAAGAAAACAAAATCTGTGCCAAAGTACATGTACTTGGTTGACGATTTTTTTCTTTTTTTTTTGAGACCGAGTCTCACTCTGCCTCCCAGGCTGGAGTGCAATGGTGCGATCTCGGCTCACGGCAAGCTCTGCCTCCTGGGTTCACACCATTCTCCTGCCTCAGCCTCCCGAGTAGTTGGGACTGCAGGCATCTGCCACCATGCCTGGCTAATTTTTTTGTATTTTTAGTAGAGATGGCGTTTCACCATGTTAGCCAGGATGGTCTCGATCTCCTGACCTCATGATTCGCCTGCCTCAGCCTCCCAAAGTGCTAGGATTACAGGCATAAGTCACCATGCCCAGCCAACGATGATATTTGACAATTGTCAGCACAAACATCATAGAACAGTATTTGGGGAGAGGGATCTAAATGGGTCACAACTGCAGACTCTCTTCTAGTAATAACAGTAGCACGCTGGGCAATAGCAATAATTAAGGGACAGGCCAAAGAACATGAGCCCTAGGAGAAGAGTACAATGAATGGTTAAGACAACAACAAGAAACACCTTAAAAATATCACAGAAGCCGAAGAAGAATTACAAGAAAGAAGCAGTGAATAATGTCAAAAAGCAACGATGTTAAACTACAAATGAAGAGAATGTGACATTAAGAGGTAGACTGAGGTGGGCTGTCAGCCTTACTGAGTGCGGTCTCAGCAGGGCGGTGGGAGTCGCCAGGCTCTGGGGAAATGAGAAGTAAACAAAAAGCAGAGTGGCTATTTCTGAGCTGAACTGTGATAGAAATAAAAAGCAAAGAAAGAAGCCAAGGAGAATATGGTTCTTTTTTTTATTTACAAAATACAAGGGATGTGAATTTTATGCCCACAAAAAGGGGAGGGGCAGAGAGAGTAGATGCAGTAAAGAAGGAGAGGTAAAAGATACAAGCCAGAGAAAACAGACAGCTTAGAAAGCCACGCTAAGCAGGGGGGAATGTGGAATCTAGAGCAAGGTAAGGAAAGAAAGTGGCTCTGACCAAAAGAGGAGAGCCCTCTTCCTCGGGAAAAGCTGGAAGGAGCACATGCAAATGGAATGGAGTTCTCAAATTTTCAAATAAAATACAAAGCCAAATCATGTTCTGAGAATGATGAGGGAAGTGGTGGGGTAAAAGGAGTAGAGGAGAAGGGGAAGAGGGGGAAGCAACGTAATGCCAAGAAAAAATGCCACGCAATAATAAAGGCCCACTCACAACCCTTCAAAGACCTAGGGATGGACAAGTGAAGATGAAGTGAAAAAAGAAGAAATGCATTTTCAGTTGGAAAGAGTGGTCCAAATAAATATAAGGGGGGAACAGTAGAGGGAGGTACAGTATGAGGCAAAATATGGGGGCTCTCCCAGTACTTCAACAGACACATGTTTTTTTACCTTAATGCCTAGTAATAAAAACAAAGTTCAAGTCCGAAAGAATACATCTACCTTTATAGCAAGTTTTTAAAAAAAACAAAAACAAAAAAACCTCTATCTCAAATGAATTCTCAGAAAGCATTAAGAAAGCTTGATGCATAGAGCACAGTTTTGTGCAAGTGATAGTCTGAACACACAGTACATCAGCAATTTGTAATATACTCACCAATTTTGTGATCCAAACTAGTATTTTTAATATCAGCTTTGAATCTGTTGCCTTCCCAAATACTTACTAAAGTATAAGTGTTTTAAAATGAAATTACTGACACTTTAACTGCAAGTAGGCTCTAATGCAACTTACAGAATTATATCATATACCCTAGGTCCTGGCCAGATAAAATTCACCACAATAAACATTTCCCTAAACCAACAAACAAGTTTCGCTAAAGGCACTAGGGAAAAAGAAGTCCCACATCAATTAAATCTCTAAAAATGAAAAAGATAAAACTATGTCAGATATCACTTTGATCACAGCATAATCCACATGAAACATCAATACCTAACATGAAGCCAAAAAAAAAAAGCCTCTAAGTGTTTTAAAATAAATGAAAGAATGAGAGAAAGAATACAAGCCAACTGAAGTCCTCCAAAATCAACTTACTTTCTTTATAATTATCCCTTATTACTCAAAAAGAGAATTCAAGGTGTCCAGGCATTATTGCTAGGTTATTTACAAATTAAAGTTTCAGAAAGCTCTATAGGTTTTTCCTTTAATACACTTTATTTTTTAGAGCAGTTTCAGCTTTGCCATAAAATTGAGCTAAAAGTACAATTTCCATATATCTCCTGCCCCACCCTCCAACCACACAACCTCTCCCACTATCAACATTCCCCACCAGGCCCATGAACGTGCACTGACACATCATCATCCCCCAAAGTCCACGGTTTACATTCAGATTCACTCTTAGTGCTGTACATCCCAAGAGTTTTGACAATTGCATAATGACACATATCCACCATTATGGTATCCAATGAAGAACAGTTTCACTGCCCTCAAACTCCTGTGTGCTCTGTCCGTTCATTCCTCCATCTCCCTTAGCCCCTTGTAAGCCCTGATCTTTTCACTGACTCCATAGTTTTGGCTTTCCCAAAAAGTCATATGGTTGGAATCATACAGTATGCAGCCTTTTCAGATTAGCTTCTTTCACTAAGTAATAGGCATTTCAGGTTCCTCCATGTCTTCCATGGTTTGATAGTTCATTTCTTTTTAGAGCTGAGTAAATATTCTATTTTGGGGGCACCACAATTTATCTGTTCACCTACTAAAGGACATCTTGATTCTTCAATGCTAACAAATGTATTGCTCAAATGCAGGACGTTACTAATAACTTGTGAGTGGGGGGAGCAATATGGGACTCTGTATTTCCTACCCAATTTTTCTGCAAACCTGAAATTCCTCTAAAAAATAAAGTCTATAAATAAATAACAAAATAGTTGATTGTAAAAAAAAAAACCCACAGCTTATTTTGCATTCCATTGTGGCATTTTTTTCTGTCACTAATTTTTTGAAACTGAATAATGTTTGAAATTTGGGTTACAAAATATTTAAACACCAAAAATTGAGGAATCATTAATGATCTTTTAAAATTCATGATACTGATTGCCCAGCACTTTTTACTGACATGAGAAATTTTTTAATTCACATTCCTAGCTCAACTGACAAAACTACCTAGAAATAAGTTTTTTTGATGTATATATAAATACTCAAACACAGACACACTTTTCTCCTTATTCTCAAAGAGCTTTATCTATAAGTTCAACTAGGAAACCGCAAAAGGCTCAAACAAAACTTGTCCATCTAACAAAATCATTTTTCTTGTTAGCCAGAGATAACAGCAAAACACATATATTTGCAAAACTCCTATAACTCATACAGTGCCACTGGAGTCTTAAAAAATGTCTAGGTGCACGTTACAACAACCTACGTGGAGTTGATCATTTATTTTTTTACAGTTTTTTTTATACAGATTCTATTTTAAAAGATTATACAGGGACCCAGATTTTGTCTGGCTCTGCCACTGTGTGTCCCTGTGCAAGACGTTCATTCTTTCTGTGAACTTTATCTATTTATAAAATACGGAATTAAAGTAACTGAACTAGCTTATTTCCAAAGATTCACTTCATCGTGTTATCTCTTCAGATTCTACACATTTTCAAAAGTGCATCTTCATAGACTAGGATGTCAATCACAAATGTTCTTGGCCATCACCCAAAGAGTTTAGTCTAGAATATTCCCAACAGCTCAGCAAATAATTCATCTTCAATGCTATGAATATTATAAAATAGGAATTAGGTTAAGCAGAAATTCAAGAAATCTATCATGTGGAAGCACATGGGTCATGCTAGATAAACTAAGTAGAAATTCATTTTATTTATTTATTTTTAAAATTTTTAAAAAACTTGTCACTGACTTGAAGCTCAACTAAGTAGAAATTTAAACAAAGGGGATATATTACCTCCCATGGTACTGCTGCTCACCAGACCACCTGGATTCACCTTTCCTGTCAAATCAAAGGCTGATGGTAGGACAGGCAGTAAAAAGTGAAGACTGAACGTGGAAGAAAGAAATCATCATCTGCTAGCTAGAACCAACCCCATGGGAAAACCAAGGTACAGAAAAGACAGGCAATAGGTCCGAGTCACAAAGTCTATTAGCTGAAGAGTCAAGATTAGTATTCAGATACTCTAAGGTTCAGTATAATCGTCATCTCTCTCTTCCAGATCCTTCTCTAATGCAGCTGTTTGGCATCTCTGTAAAAGTGTCTAAGAACTGAGAGAAATTAGGCATGAACTTCAGGAAAACATTAGAAACAACTTCAAACAGGGTTCCTGAAAGGCAAAGTTACAATCAACTGCATTACTGCAATAAAACAGTGGCTTAACCAAGAATTTGTATGTAGACACGATCTTTTAAATTATATGGTGTTAAGCCTACGAAAAATATATAGAAAACAAGGGACAGTATGTACCACATTTTGCAACTTAGGTTTTAACGTTACTTTTATGCACCTGCTCTGTAAGAATCCAAAACAAAAGCCACAAAACGTTCTAATGCACAGGATAACAAAGAAATAAATATTCAATTCATCTCTTGCAATTATATACATGATTCCTGCACTGCTGTCAGCCCCGACTCCGTGTACTGAATCCTAAGGATCCAAGGCAGTTCCACTAACATTACTGAGCAGCAGCTGCCATTTCCCCTCACCTGCCGAGCATAATGCTCTATTTCCTCTGCTCTGGTCTGATACCAGTCCATAACCTTCTCCACCGTAAGCTGGGTCATCCTGAACCTTAGTAACTCAGGCTGTGCAGCATACAAGAATTCACTTTCATCTTGGAGATTCGGCTCAACAACCATTCTGTGAAGCACAAAAGGACCAATTAATAACTGACTAGAATGTTGGAAAAACATATAATTTTGTGAGAGAAAGACAGGGACAGAGATGGGGAGAAAGTAAGAGACAGGGAGCATACATGTATGTGGTTTGTGTATCTATCACATGCACACGCACCCTTACAAGATAAATGAGACTTTTTTGGATGCGTAATTTATTTTCCCCCCGTTTTCCCGATTTAAAAAATCAGAAGGCATAATACATCAAAACGGCTATGCCACAAATCAATCAAATAAGTACTAACAAAATCAAAAATCACCGAGGGAAGCTTTTACAAAATATACACAGCTGGGTGCTTACCGCAGGCCCACTCAATCAAAATCTCCTGTGCTGGCCAGCCAGGCCTAGTTTAGGAAAATATCCCCAGTGATTCCAACTTGAATTTGAATTAAGAAATCTTGTTTTCGATGTTCATAAAAATAAGAGGAAATACACCTTATTTATGTTGATAATATACCTCTACTAGGTGCCAGCAATTTAGTACTGTACTGACATTTGCACAGCACAGGACTACTCTATACCATTCCCTATCAACTGTGAAAAAAAAAAGAAACCACATTTGGAGGAACACACACAGGGCTAACCTCGTGGGGATTGCTGATCATGAGGAGTTTTTAACGAGAATGATCATGGCCAATTGCCTTCCATGTTTAAGGACAAAAAAAAAATACAAAGTAACAAGTATCAGATGGGCATATGTAAAAATGCTATGTTCCATTAGGGATAGTCATTCATCTAAAGCAAGCTGGCAGTACATGACTGGTGCTACAATGGTTCTTGTTGTAAGGCAATGAGCTTTGGAGTCAGAATAGAATCAGACATACAATTCCATCACTGAAAGCTGTGAAACCTGCAAATTCCTTAACTAAAACTAGTCTAAGATCTCCTTTATTCCTATTTATTCCTTTTATTTAAACGGGGAAAACACTATACAAGAATGTTGTGAAAATTCAAAATAACAGAGCACTGCCTGGCACAAAGGAAGTGCTTAATTTTATTTACTGTTATTTTTGTTAAAATTATTAGCAGAAACACAGCCTGTAAACATTGGGGCATTTTACCCAAATGCCTTTGACAACCTACTTTGCTTATACCTGCCACTACAATAAAACTTCCCTATATATGGAATGGTCCTTCACTTACTAGTCTCACAGTGTTGTTAACATTCTTCCAGGGATTTCCCCCCAGCTCTGCCCACACGAAGCACATCACTCACTCCTCCTGGCATCTCTTACATCTGCTCTATTTTTGCAAGAAAAAGGGGCCAACAGTAACGCTGAGTTCCTCTGATACCTCCTTCAGTTCTGCATATTTATTTCCTCCTCAGCACCCTTTGATAGAACTGACCGCTCCTCCTTCTGGAAATGCCCTTTGCCCCTCGTCAGTCTGCTGTCATGCCGTGAAGCATTCCTCCCTCTGGCTGCCCCTTCTCAGTCACCTTTGCTACAGCATCCTCCCTCCTCTCCCCAAGCATGAATACCAGAAAGGACACAGGCTTGTTAGCCCAGCTCTCTTCTTGCTTTCCACTCTCCCCAGTCTCCTCTTCAACTCTACACTATCAATTACCATAGACATTACAACAGCAACAGTACATTTTATAAACCTTTAGGTGTTTAACTTCATATCTGACTAGTGATTTTAGCTGATACAGAAATCTATAGCAAAAAATATTATCCTCCAAAAGTTTCAAAGGATTGCTCCATTGTTTTCTAGTTTCTAGTGTTTTTCCTAAGGGGCCTGAGGTCATTCTGATTCCCAACTCCTTTTACATAACATGCCTTTCTCTTCACAAGACTGTATCCCTAATATTCTGGAAGGTCATGGTGGTATGCTGTAATGTAATAGGCATTTCTGAGGATGCATAATCTTCCATTCAAAGCAATAGGCTTGAATTATTTCTTATAATTTCCTCCCCTCTATTACCCATGGCATCTCTTTCATCTATAACTTGAATATTACACTTGTTTTTTAAATAACTGGTCTCTTACTTTCTAGCTATGTATTTTTAACCTATTTTCTAGGAAAGTTTCTTGCTTTTATCTTCCAACTCTTCTAATTTTTATGTACCAACTATCACATTTTTAATGTCCTAAATTTCTCTTAATTCTGTTTCTATTTTATACAATGCTATTGATATTTCACAAATACAGTATCTTCTCTTATCTCCAGGTAATATTAATGATAATTTTTAAAGTTTTCGTTGTGTATGTGGTATCACTTTCTTTCAGTTCCGTTTTCCGTATGTTTTGCCCTTCTTGTTCATTTGTTCTTCCTGCTGGAGTCTAACCTCGGATGTCCAGGAAGCTCTGCAGGGGTGGCAGAACCTGTTCGTTTGTTGGCTTCATTATGACCTTGTGGTGCACTAACTTTTGAGGGCCATATCTCAGTATCTAGAAACCTCTTTTCAGAGGTTACTCATTTCTCCAGAAAAGAACTCTCTAAACTTCTACTTGGGGAATATGCCTGCATCTGGGAGCAGGGAGTGGGAAGGAAAGCAGAGTTTGGACATTCAGGTCATACATTTTCTAAATGCCCAGATTTTCAAACCAATTACTCAACTCCTCCTATGCAGATTCAGATTAATATCCAGTAATCTGAAGGTTTTCTAGCTCAATTTAGAGGCCCTTTGCCTCAATGCATGAGTCAAAAAAAGCACAAACCTCTTGTCTCACATGAAAAAAGAAAAACAAAAAGGAAGAAGAGACAGTGAAGGAGTATTTACCCGACTTTGAGGAGTAGGGCATAAAGGCATTCCAATATTCCTCACATGAATTTTCAGCCCCACACCGACTCTCCCACCCCCCTTCTGCAGTACTGGATGCCTACACATTCTGAGGCTTCCCAAAGTTAAATCTGACAAGAAAAAAAATTAAAACTGATCAAGAACAAAATTGCATACATACCATAATTACAACTATAAAAAAATTAATATCACTATATGTGAAAGACTGAAAGGGAATAACACAAAATGAAAACAGTTGTTGTAATAAGCACCATTTTTTAACATAATTCCTTTGTAGTATTTAATTTTTCCATTAAAAAATTTTAACATAACTGAGTCAAAGGAGTTTAAAACTTCACTCAAACTTTCTAAATTAGGGAGTGTCATCAAGTAAGGTTTCATTGGTCAGACACCACTTTCACAGGGCCATCAGTTCACCCATCCCACAAAGAAACAAAGATGCCTCCTGCAGGCTCATACTGACCTGCAAGCCAACTCCTCGCACCAATCTTTAGCTCGGTGTTTATGTTCATGCCAAGGAATGATCATCAGGGAGTCACCGTTAAAACTCAAATTTAAAAAAAAATAAGTGTTTAAAATTCACATTACCTCAATGACTTAGCCACACAAGGAGTAAAATGCAAACAGCATCTCTATAACATTAATATCTAAGATTCATGCTTATAGTATTTTAAGTGGTACAGGATACATATTATATACATACTATATAAATGGGAAATACCATATTGCTGAATCATAAAATGGCTCAAAAAGAAAAATTACAAATAAAAAATTTGGCAAGTAATTAAAGGAAGGTATGGATAAGTTTTCATTCACAAATTCTAAAACACTTATCAAGAGCCTGCAGTGCATGTTGTTAAAACCAACATAAATGGTCTTCTGGATTGTAAGCTGTTGGGGCAGAGTAGTGCTTTCAACAGAACTTCCTGTGATCACAGAAATGTTTTGCATCTTTGCTATCCAATACAGTAACCACCAGCTATGTAAATGCTCACTGGTTATAAGCACTTAAAATATGGTTACTGACATGAGGAAAGTGATTTTTAATTTAATTTTAATTAAGTTAAATTTAAATAGCCACATGTGGCCAGTGGCTACCATATTAGATAGCACAGACCTAGAGGACAGGTGATAGTAAGAGTAAAGGAATGATTCTGCAGGTTGAAAAGTATCACTGAAAAACAACAGAAAGAAAATCTAGGCCTGGTATTGTGGCTCACACCTGTAATTCCAACACTTTAGGAAGCCAAGGAGGGAGGACTGCTTGAGCCAAGGAGTTCAAGGCTAGCCTAGGCAACATAGTGGGACCTCATTTCTACAAAAAATTTAAAAATTATCCAGGTGTGGTGGTGGCATGCCTGTCATCCCAGTGTCCCAACCACTCAGAAAGCTGATGTAGGAGGATCGCTTGAGCCCTACTAAAAGGTTGAGACTGCAGTAAGCCATGATCAAGAAAGAAAATCTACAGGAGGCAAAGATAAGGCCTGACTGAATATAACATAAGAATAAATTAAGGCCAGGCGCGGTGGCTCACGCCTGTAATCCCAGCACTTTGGGAGGCTGAGGTGGGCAGATCACGAGGTCAGCAGATCGAGACCATCCTAGCTAACACAGTGAAACCCCGTTTCTACTAAAAATATGAAAAATTAGCCAGGTGTGGAGGTGGCTGCCTCCCAGCTACTCAGGAGGCTGAGGCAGGAGAATGGTGTGAACCCAGGAGGCAGAGCTCACAGTGAGCTCAGATCGTGCCACTGTACTTCAGCCTGGGTGACAGACTGATACTCTGTCTCAAAAAAAAAAAAAAGAATAAATTTAAACGGAAAAGCAAGGTAAACACAGTATGGTAATAGAGCAGAGCAATGTTCCACAAATCAGGACACCTGAGAAACAGAAACAAATCTGTCTCTTCATGAGCTAGGCACTCTCTGGCATGTGACTCTCTAAAATGAAGGGCTTCAAACATTCTCTCTTAAGTCCCTTTTAGCTTTAACATCCATGAATCCATGAAAACAACTAAATCATTCTGAATTAAGAATAAAGACAAAAATTGTTAAAACAAACTTCAATTGCCTTGCTTTATAGCTCAATAAAACATTTTCTCTAATATTTCTGAGTATCAATAGTAGCATTTTCCTAAAATTTATCATAGCCCCAGAAAAAGGATTGTACTTTCTTATATTATTAGGTTATACAACACACTTTGCACAAGAAACACTTCATAAACGTTTGAAAATTATGTTGGTGAAGAGATTGGTCTTCATGTAAAAAGTAATAAGAAACCACTGGAGGGTTTTAAAGCAGAAGAGGGAAGCTAATGAGGTCTGGGAAGGGGCAGTGACGACTGATCAATCAACAGCATCACCCTTGCAGTTATTATTATTGGGGCAAATTATCCAAAGTCAAGGTTCCCCTCTAGATTACAAAATAAGAAGTTTATTATATCGTGTATCTAAAACACAGATTTCCAGTTAGCATGTAATATCCTAGCAAACTATGTACCAGAGATAGGTTTTTGAAGGTGTGTGAGTCCATAATTTTAAATTTCTGAATCATACAAATGATGATTTAGAATGGATGCTACAACCATACTATTTCATTTGTCACCAAATAAAAAACTATTTTATTTTCTTCCATGTCAATAACTAATATTTTATCACAGATCACTGAAAAGTAAAAAAGATAACATCTGGATACAAGGATGATGATGATTACTCTTCCGACATAAGAATAAATTACAGCAATGAATTGAGGAATGAGGAGAAAATAAATAAACCTAGCAAGCTATTATGACCTTTCTAATTAAAACAGACATGGCTCCTTAAGCTACATAAAATGTTTTCTAAAAGAATTTTAGAAAAATGTATCACAAGTTGAGATTTGTATTTCCTATTCAAAGTATATATTAGATGCAAGAGTTATTAGGAACCCTCAGCAAAATAATACTTATTTGGTATGTAGAGACTAGTAAGTTGTAAAATGGTATCTTCACTGAACAGAAATAAGAAAACAGATATATAATATACATATTTTTTAATCAAAACAGATTTTCACATTTGCTGCATTTTCAAGGTACAGCACAACCAGTCTGTTTCTAAATTTGCTGATCACACTGATATGATGATGATGACAATGATGATGATAATAATAGCATTACTATTACTACTACTACTGCTGCTGTATCAGCAATGATCAGTGACAACAATAATCTTTAGCACTGACTGATCTCCTACTATGGACTAGGCCCAATACAATGCTGTTAACATAAAATGTCTCAATTTAGTCCTATCAATCTAATGTAGTAGATATTATCTTCCTCATATTACAATGAGAAAACTAAAGCATAAATTAACTTGTCCATCCTAACAAAGCTAATAAATTGACAAAGCCAGGATTTGAACACAACCAGTCAGAATCCAAAGCTTACACTTTTAGCTAGCATACTAAACTGCCTGTAGAAAGGACATAGGGACTATAGTCTAGTCCCCAACCATTTTTCCACCATTCCCCCTCCATGCATCAGGAGCCACCAGTCAGATTTGTACACAGCAGGTAGAGGGCAACTTTTTTTTTCTTTTTTGAGATGGAGTCTCGCTCGGTCGCCCAGTCTGGAGTGCAGTGGCACAATCTCAGCTCACTGCAACCTCCGTCTCTCAAGTGCAAGCAATTCTCCTGTCTCAGCCTCCTGAGTAGCTGGGACTACAGGTGCCCGCCACAGTAGGCCCGGCTAATTTTTTTTTTTTTTAGAGAGACAGTTTCACCATATCAATCAGGCTGGTCTCAAACTCCTGATCCCAGGTAATCCACCCACCTCGGCCTCCCAAAGTGCTGGGATTACAGGCGTGCGCCACTGTGCCCAGCCGGTAGAGGGCAATTTGAGCCTTCTCAAGATTTAATACAGACAACCCAAAAAGGACCATTTACATGCATATCAAAAGATACATTTAAACTAAGATATATAACTACTACATTACTAGTCTAATAAAACTAATATCTATGGAATATGGTTTAATCTTAGGTTTGATCACTCATGTTCATGTAAAAACAAAAAAACCCTTCTTGTTGCTCTTTTTCTTCCAGGATGTTTCTACAAAACAATGTATTTTAAACCAAACTTTAGGCATTTGAAGTGCTAATAAAATCACCGTAAGTTCTTTATTTTGCTTCAAATGATAACATTTGAGAAATAAACAGGATCTTCTCTCCAGCCAACATAAAAACTCTTTAAAGTCAGGATTCTTGTTTATTTTGTCTAGTGCTATATCCTCAGCACCCAAAATAGTATCTGGCATTTAGCAGACTCAAAAAACTATATGTAGGTTGAATTAATTGACAACACAACAAAAAAATTTTAAAATGATCTCATGGATATCACAAAAATTTAAGATTGGAATATAGCAATGGAAAGGGATAGTTTGTTCATGAAAAAAATGGATATGTCAAGGAGGTATGCTTATACAGAATCTACGGTCTGAGAGTGAGAACAACAATGTTTTCCTAATACATATTATTAAACTGATGGAAGAGCAAGCTACACTAGTAGTAATGGTATACATCTACTAACTGGATAGTTGGATATCCCATTATATCTCAGTTAATAAAAAAAAGACAAGAATACATGTTACCCTAAATGTCATCATTCTTTACATTACAAATTAATTGATTGGTTCTGTTCTTACCTTTTAAAAACTGCCCAAATTTTAGCTACTTATTCTTTCGTTAGGTAAGCAGAATGATAAAATGTTTAATAAAATTCAGAGAAAACCCTTTTCATGGATTCGATTCACAATTAAAATATTAGACATTAAGTCAATTACTAAATGGGTTAGGCAAAATTGTAGCTTGAAAAAAACCTAGAAATCATACTGTTCCTTCTACAGAACTATAGAAACTTTGGGTAGGTGTAAAACTTACACCTTGAATCTCAAGTTCTATAAACATGAAACTGCATTTACATATACTTTATTTCATCTTATTTGTCTATTTTTCCCCTGCTTGGGAAGTCTTAAGATTTAAATACATCATCTCCACTTAAAAAAAAAAAAAAGGATTATATGGTAAACTCAAATTATCTCTTTACAAAATAATGGCTGCTTTTACTTAATTTTAGGATTCTTTATATTAGAACCCTATTCATTGTTTTATTTCAAACAATAAACTACGCTGGCTTTCATTTGATGGTAACATTTATCTGCCAGCAGGAAAGGAATTAATATAACAAGTTCTATTATATCCAACAATTCTCCCACCAATTATTTCTCAAACTAAATATAAATGTTTTATTTCAAAGAAATTTCATGAAGAATAAACTTTCAAAAAGTTCTTTTATTCATGTTCTATGCCTCGGAAACAAAAGGTTAAATAGACAGTGTATTACTCGTAATTGCCACCTTTTAAGCATTGGCTTTAAAATGTGGAGTTATATTTATTTCTATTATTTAGCAGAGAATAAAACGTTCTGGCAAGTAAAGAATAAAAATAATAATACTTGGGGCCTACATGTATAACTACACTGTGGTTGACATCACTGAACAAGTCAAATTGATCTGAAACTCAGTGGGAAACCAATTAAAAAGCTAGTTATCACTCATAACACCAAGTCGAAAAAAAAGCTGTCCGAAGGCATTATTCAGAGCTCTCTTCTGGACCAATGGGATTCAATTTCATTTATAAATAACTTAGAAAACAGAGCAGAAACTAAGAAGATATTTTGAAACTTACCAGTATTCTCAGAGGCTAGCAATGTGTAAAAGAGAGACAAGAGTGAAAACAACAGCACTCTAGGATTTGGATTCACCTCCTCCCACCACGAGTTTAATCTCTGGGACCCAGCTGCCTCATCTATTTAGTAAATGCCGCAATACTGCCTGCTCAAATGAAAATGAGACTAAAGTAAAGATTGTCTTGAATTCTAATCCATAATACTTAAGATTATGCTCTTAGAGAAGTCTAACCTCTGGGTTAGAATTGTGAGTCTACCTTTCATAGCTGTAGAACCTTGATGGAGTTACTCAAACTGCCTGTGCCTCACTTTCCTCACTAGTGAAAGAGGGATAATAACAATATTTAGCTCATTTGGATTAGGAGAAAATCAGATTAGTTAGTACATAAAGGCCCTTACAACAGTACCTGGCATACAGTGAATGTTATAAAAACATTAATACCAGCAAGAAGGTTTTTCACAAGTAGTGAATACAAGATATATATGACTCTGGTTGACATTTCAAGATCTACTTTATGATAAACAATAGCATCATATTAATAATTATATCAATGATTACATTTCCAAATACCTAACAACTGCGATAACCTCCACTTATACCATCCTGAGTAAAATGGCAATTAACAGTAATATGAAAATGTGATGAGTTGATTTATGAAGTAGAAAAAAGCAACCATTTCCAAAAGGCATTGTCTCTGTCCCAAACGCTTCAAACCAAGTTTTAAAATTAGTTTTTACCCATGAGCAAAGGACAATTTGATTATTATAAAGGAGAACTAGTTTGTTAAATCATTAAAGTACAAGAGAAAGTCACAAACTTCAATGAGAAGTATTAAAGAATTTCCCAGGGCCAGGCCTGGTGGCTCACACCTATAATCCCAGCATTTTGGGAGGCACAGAGAAGGGATGATTACTTGAGCCCAGGAGTTTGAGACCAGCCCCGGCAACAGAGCAAGACCTCATCTCTTCAAGAAAAAGAAAAAGGAAAAAAAAAAAGAAAAGACTAGCAAGGATTCAGGGGAAGCTGTCACAGGCCTGTAGTCCCAGCTACTTAGGAGGCTGAGGTGGGAGGGTCACTTGAGCCCAGGAGATGAAGGCTGCAGTGAGCTGTGACTGTAACTGCATTCCAGCCTGGATGACAGAGAGAGACTGTCTCAAAAAAATAAATTAAATTAATTAAATAACTTCCCAAAAAAGTCAGTTATATAACTCAGAAAGGCTGCTCTATACAAGATGATTAATGTCAACAAAACAAGAGAGATAAACAAAACAAGAGAGATAAACAAAACAGATGACTAGAGAAAACAGATGACAAGAGAGACAACAAAACAGATGACATGAGAAGTCACTGGTATGAAAACTGACCTCCACCAGTACCACTTGCCTCTTGGGCAGATTACCCTAATTTTGAATAAGAGACACTGAAGGTCCTCAGAACAATGAAGGATGCCTATGCTCATTACAAAGAAAGTCACCAGGAAAGAAAGGAATCCTCAAGTATAATTTCAATGGCCTTGTACTTTATCAAGAATAAGCTAAAATGACCCACATCAAAAAGTCTCCCAAATAAAACACTTAGGTAATAAGTTTTACATTCTGAATTTGGTGTTATATACGTAAAATGTTTATAAATACATAGGTTTTATTGTTCATTTATTTTTGATATGATGTTCATATTTGTAGTATTACAGATGAAAAATAGGGACTCAACTTAAAATTGATTAACTACAACTTTCATTTATAGTAATCAACTAACCTATAGGTTCGAGGTTGCCAGTATTCCATTCAGTGAGGGGGAATATATATTAAATGTGGTAACACGGAAAGATCTGAGATCTGAGTCAACCAAGGATTGATGAGAATAATCCTTATACAGGGGAGACCCAAAAGTACATATCTACAACTGCCAAATGGGAAGAAATATGAGAGCAATCTAATAAATTCCACTCCCTATTCTGTAACTTAGACTGACACAGAACCAGTGGAGAGAAAAACAGAGAGACCCTTATTTCACATTACATGAAGACAAGCAGACCCTGACAAATAGCCTTTAGACTATTAATGACACCAGAAAAATCACTTCCAGAACAAAGATAAAAATATATGACATTTAAATTTATCAATTACAAAACTACTGAAATGTACCAAAATATTCATGAATTGTATCAGTGTTCATTATAAAAAATAACCCACCTATGTGAGTATGTAGTGCTAATGGATTTTGAATAAAAGGATTAGAGAGGAAAGAATACTTTTAAATCTCGTTTTCATTCATCTTACCAAAAAAGCACAGATTATGCCTATGCAGACCCCAAGCCAAAGGAACACTGATTTCTTCATAGCCACCCTTAAGAATCCCCGTATGTTCTTGCCTCTAAACTGTGCTGAATGGACATTTCACACACTATTTATATAACCATTCAACTCTGCCCAGCCTATGTATAATACTTATATAGTACTTAACTATCTGCAAGCACAAATATAAAGTTGTAAGCAATTACATATGTAAATTCGGCAGCCCTGAGAGATAGACAATATTATCTTTCTCATTTTACAGGAGAGGAGACACAGGCACAGAAACAGTAAGCAACTTGTCCAGGGTCAAATAGCTAAGTTGCAGCTGGAATTTGAACCCAGGCAGTCCGGTTCCAGAGTCTACGCTCTCAGCCACTATGGCATTTTACTTATTTGAATCCCGCCTTTTCCAGCTCAAATTCCAGCTTCCCAAAGATGTTACTGTAGCCATTCCAGTCCAGATTGGTTTCTTTTTGTTCTAAATCCTCACTACTTATCTGGACAACCATGTGGCATTTAATCTTTCGATAGTATATAAGTGGTATACTTCTCAAATTCCCTGAAGTTCTTATCTATTGTTAATTTCCTAGATTGTCTCCCCACTAAAAGTAAATATTCTCTGATAAATACCCCTTTGTGTCCATCACAACTCCCAGTGCTCTTATATGCATAATAATAACATATAAGCAATAATTTTAACTAACTTTATATAAATGCATTATTTCATTTAATCGTGAATCAAACACCCTAAAAGGTATATATCACAATTATAAATTTCCAGATAAACAATCCACATGAGCTCAAAAATAGTCACTAATGAATGAATGATCAGTAGGAACAGACCATTGATACTCTCTTAATTCTAAAATCAGAGCTCTCAAAGGAAAAAACTCTTAAGAACTAGAAAGACAAGATCAAATCAAGCTGTGAAAACTTATTGCACATTGAATAAAAACTATAAAAGTCAACGTAAGAGGAAGACTACATAGCTAAGACTATTTGCCTGTAGATAACCCTTTCTGCATTTATCTCACTGCTACTGTAATTATTTGTATACATATATTTCAGAGGAGGGTACTTTATACTCCCAGCACCTAACTCACAGTAGTAGCTCACAGAAATGATTCAATCAAGTAACTAATTAGCAAGCTTCCTGAAATGAATCACTGTGCTTCTCAAGCTTGTGAAAAACCCTCCAATGACAGAAAAAATTATACTTTGGAAACCAAGTTATACAAAGGCAGTAGGAAGAAAAAAATGTTGATATAAAATATTCAAAAAGAAAAACTAAAAATCATAAATATGGCACGTTAACCTCATCTAAATGGATAGAAAGGTAGCACGATTCACAGCATGCATATTTATAATGTTGTCTTTAACTGTGTCAGTCAATGCGGTGTTCATTAGAGGAAAAAAATTGAAACCTTCTGATGTTCCCAGACCAAGCTTATCAGACTTTCTTCCATGTTATTAAACCTCTCATGTATTTCCATTACTGCTGTCATTGCACTGAATTATAATTATTTATTTATGTGTCTTGCTCCTTCACTAGACTATGAGCTCCTTCAAAGCTTTCATCGTTTTTGATTCGTTAGTGGAATACCTGGCATTTATTTAAAACTTACTACATATTTAATAGATGGATAGATAGACAGGAGGATGGACAGACTGAAGGAAGAATGGATGATTATGTATAAATAAATGAAAAAACAAAAACTATCCCCAAATCATAAGGGTATACGCAATGCTTTCCTGTGGCAAAAGATTCGGAACATGTACAGCAGATTTTTTTTCAAATGTTCATAATTCTAAATTCCCAAAATGGTCTACACAACTCCCTATTTTCCACCCATGCCATCAACAACAATGCAATGTTCTATGGGACAGGTGACTCTTCGCCTGTGTATGAGCACTTATGAGTACAAAGAGATGTGGAATTTAGCTGGGCATGATGGAGGATACCTGGAGTTCCAGCTACTGGGGAGGCTGAGCAGAAGGATCACTCGTGCCCAGGAGTTTGAGACCATCCTGGGTGACAGAGAGTCTCCATCTCTTGAAAGAGAAAGAGAGAGAGAGAGGTGGAAAGTCCTAAGCTATTAATAAACAAAGAAGCACAGAGGTTGTTTGCCCTGAGATACTGCTGCACAAGTCTATGTGAGCCTTTTACAATCATGAGTTCTTTGAGTCTAGGCAAAATTACACTGCAGACAGGCATAAAATCACAGCTGAGGAAATGAAGACCCTGGAAATGAAGAGGGAGTGTTCTGATGTCAGTTCGACAGAATGTGACTAGGAAGACAATGGTGTAGCTATCTGCAGGGCGAATAAGTCTAACACACTTTAGTGTTGATGAGGTTCAAGATTAAACTAGAGTTAGGTAGAGAAGGGAAACAAAACACTAAAGAATTTGAAGAAAACAGTTCTTATGACTGTCAATATAGATTTTTAACTACATAACATTCATTCATTCCACAAACCTTTATTGAACAACTAAAATTTTTAAAAATAAATACAAAGGTATTGCTCCTGCCCTCAAGAAACACAAAAATAGACCAGAAAATAGATGCTATAATAAGTTAACAATTGAGACACAAAGTGCCACTGGTATTCAAAGAGAAAATGACCCTGAGAGGCAGAATGAGAACCAAGGGTCCAAGAATGAAGTGGGATATATGTGACTGTTTCTTTAAAAAATTGTCCATAAATGCCCTTGAGAGATAACACATAGCACCAACTCTCCCAAACACCTGCGGCTGACAGTCAACCTCTGGGATGGCAATTTGGAAAAAGAACATCTCTGGCTCAATACATTGCAGCTTTGCTTATTTGTTGTTCGCAGTAATGAAAAGTCCATGTGTTAAAATATACTGTATTTCAACTACATTTCTCGATCACTTTCTGTAATTTCCAGATTAAGGAAAGCCTTTCACCTGTTCCTAATTCTGAAATCCATTTAATCAACTGCATAGAGACATTAACCTTATAGTACACACCATGAGGTGGCTGGTGGAGCTCGTATTTTGATTAAATAAATCATATGTTATGGGAAAAGACAGAATAGGCTCCATGACAACAGGGATAAGAACTCAACTAATGAGATGAACAAACCTACACAAAACAGACTAATAAAAGATCAGCTCAGGAAAATTACTTTAAAACACTAAAAGAGAACTTCTGCTTTGAACAACAATGAAGTATGGAGTAACAGGAACAGTAATGAATCTCTTGAATTAATCTAAAAAACTACCACCACGATCAACAACAAAAATAGACAGCAGGACACCAGGCACTGCAGGATAACGACACTAAGGGAAGGGAAAAAAACAAAGTGAGCCCAGCAGCGCCCTCGCTCACTGCCTGAAGAGAAGTGACAGGCTGCAGCATAAAAAGGGAACTCTAAACAGAGCCTGGCAGGCCTTCTGGGCTGCAGAGACAGAGTTTGAAAGTCAGAGAGCCAGAGTAGCTAGAATTTACAGACAATGGATCAGAGAAGAACGTGCACTGAGAAAGAAAGCTCCAAAAATCCTGGGAGGGGTCCCTCTAGTCATTGACTAAGCACTGCTCAGTGTGTACCTGTGATGAAATCACACAAGGATGGGGAAACCAACCAAAGGAGCAGAAAGAACATCCCTGGACCTCACATAGGGCCAGGAATAGTTCAAGTTCCAGTCAGCCAGAATACGAAAAACTAGTAATCTGTAGGGTAACAGGTTTTATTATTTTATTTCATTATATATTAAAGAATATTACCCGGCCGGGCACGGTGGCTCATGCCTGTAATCCCAGCACTTTGGGAGGCCGAGGCAGGCGGACCACGAGGTCTGCAGATCGAGACCATCCTGGCTAACACGGTGAAACCCCGTCTCTACTAAAAATACACACACAAAAAAAATTAGCCGGGTGCAGTGGCAGGCACCTGCAGTCCCAGCTACTTGGGAGGCTGAGGCAGGAGAATGGCGTGAACCGGGAGGTGGGGCTTGCAGTGAGCTGAGACATCGCCACTGCACTCCGACCTGGGCCAAAGAGCAAGACTCGGTCTCAAATAAAAAAAAAAAAAAAAAAAAGAATATTACCCCAGCAGGTGAGCAAAATTAGCCTTAGACAAAAGGCTGCCCTGTTCCCACTAACAAAGCTAAAAGGTAAACCTCAAGATCATCAAAGTTCTTGAGTAATTTAACTGCACCCCAGAAAAAAGCTTCAGAATACTTTCAGGGATAAATTAAAAAAAAAAAATCTTGAGGGGAGGAGCCAAGATGGCTGAACAGCTCTGGTTGCAAACAGCAACAGCTCTGGTCTACAGCTCCCAGCGTGAGCGATGCAGAAGATGCATGATTTCTGCATTTCCATCTGAGGTACCAGGTTCATCTCACTAGGGAGTGCCAGACAGTGGGCGCAGGTCAGTGGGTGCAGCGCGCCGTGCACAAGCCGAAGTAGGGCGAGGCATTGCCTCACTCGGGAAGCGCAAGGGGTCAGGGAGTTCCCTTTCCTAGTCAAAGAAAGGGGTGACAGACAGCACCTGGAAAATCGGGTCACTCCCACACGAATACTGCGCTTTTCCAACAGGCTTAAAAAATGGTGCATCAGGAGATTATATCCTGCACCTGGCTCGGAGGGTCCTACGTCCACGGAGTCTCCCTGATTGCTAACACAGTTGTCTGAGATCAAACCGCAAGGCGGCAGTGAGGCTGGGGGAGGGGCAACCGCCATTGCCCAGACTTGCTTAGGTAAACAAAGCAGGCGGGAAGCTCGAACTGGGCGGAGCCCACCACAGCTCAAGGAGGCCTGCCTGCCTCTGTAGGCTCCATCTCTGGGGGCAGGGCACAGACAAACTAAAAGACAGCAGTAATCTCTGCAGACTTAAATGTCCATGTCTGACAGCTTTGAAGAGAGCAGTGGTTCTCCCAGCACCCAACTGGAGATCTGAGAACGGGCAGACTGCCTCCTCAAGTGGGTCCCTGACCCCTGACCCCCGAGCAGCCTAACTGGGAGACAGCCCCCAGTAGGGGCAGACTGACACTTCACACGGCCCGGTACTCCGCTGAGACAAAACTTCCAGAGGAATGATCAGACAGCAGCATTCGCGGTTCACGAAAAACCGCTATTCTGCAGACACCGCTGCTGATACCCAGGCAAACAGGGTCTGGAGTGGACCTCTACCAAACTCCAACAGACCTGCAGCTGAGGGTCCTGTCTGTTAGAAGGAAAACTAACAAACAGAAAGGACATCCACACCAAAAACCCATCTGTACATCACCATCATCAAAGGCCAAAAGTAGATAAAACCACAAAGATGGGGAAAAAACAGAGCAGAAAAACTGGAAACTCTCAAAAGCAGAGCAACTCTCCTCCTCCAAAGGAACGCAGTTCCTCACCAGCAATGGGACAAAGCTGGATGGAGAATGACTTTGATGAGTTGAGAGAAGGCTTCAGATGATCCAACTACTCCGAGCTACAGGAGGAAATTCAAACCAAAGGCAAAGAATTTGAAAACTTTGAAAAAAATTTAGACGAATGTATAACTAGAATAACCAATACAGAGAAGTGCTTAAAGGAGCTGATGGAGCTGAAAGCCAAGGCTGGAGAACTACGTGAAGAATGCAGAAGCCTCAGGAGCCGATGCGATCAACTGGAAGAAAGGGTATCAGCGATGGAAGATGAAATGAATGAAATGAAGCGAGAAGGGAAGTTTAGAGAAAAAAGAATAAAAAGAAACGAACAAAGCCTCCAAGAAATATGGGACTATGTGAAAAGACCAAATCTGCATCTGATTGGTGTACCTGAAAGTGACGGGGAGAATGGAACCAAGTTGGAAAACATTCTGCAGGATATTATCCAGGAGAACTTCCCCAATCTAGCAAGGCAAGCCAACATTCAGATTCAGGAAATACAGAGAATGCCACAAAGATACTCATTGAGAAGAGCAACTCCAAGACACATAATTGTCAGATTCACCAAAGTTGAAATGAAGGAAAAAATGTTAAGGGCAGCCAGAGAGAAAGGTCGGGTTACCCACAAAGGGAAGCCCATCAGACTAACAGCGGATCTCTCGGCAGAAACTCTACAAACCAGAAGAGAGTGGGGGCCAATATTCAACATTCTTAAAGAAAAGAATTTTCAAACCAGAATTTCATATCCAGCCAAACTAAGCTTCATAAGTGAAGGAGAAATAAAATACTTTACAGACAAGCAAATGCTGAGAGATTTTGTCACCACCAGGCCTGCCCTAAAAGAGCTCCTGAAGGAAGCACTAAACATGGAAAGGAACAACCGGTACCAGCTGCTGCAAAATCATGCCAAAATGTAAAGACCATCGAGACTAGGAAGAAACTGCATCAACTAACGAGCAAAATAACCAGCTAACATCATAATGACAGGATCAAATTCACACATAACAATATTAACTTTAAATGTAAATGGACTAAATGCTCCAATTAAAAGACACAGACTGGCAAATTGGATAAAGAGTCAAGACTCATCAGTGTGCTGTATTCAGGAAACCCATCTCATGTGCAGAGACAAACATAGGCTCAAAATAAAAGGATGGAGGAAGATCTACCAAGCAAATGGAAAACAAAAAAAGGCAGGGGTTGCAATGCTAGTCTCTGATAAAACAGACTTTAAACCAACAAAGATCAAAAGAGACAAAGAAGGCCATTACATAATAGTAAAGGGATCAATTCAACAAGAAGAGCTAACTATCCTAAATATATATGCACCCAATACAGGAGCACCCAGATTCATAAAGCAAGTCCTGAGTGACCTACAAAGAGACTTAGACTCCCACACATTAATAATGGGAGACTTTAACACCCCACTGTCAACATTAGACAGATCAACGAGACAGATAGTTAACAAGGATACCCAGGAATTGAACTCAGCTCTGCACCAAGCGGACCTAATAGACATCTACAGAACTCTCCACCCCAAATCAACAGAATATACATTTTTTTCAGCACCACACCACACCTATTCCAAAATTGACCACATAGTTGGAAGCATTCCTCAGCAAATGTAAAAGAGCAGAAATTATAACAAACTATCTCTCAGACCACAGTGCAATCAAACTAGAACTCAGGATTAAGAAACTCACTCAAAACCGCTCAACTACATGGAAACTGAACAACCTGCTCCTGAATGACTACTGGGTACATAACAAAATGAAGGCAGAAATAAAGATGTTCTTTGAAACCAACAAGAACAAAGACACAACATACCAGAATCTCTGGGACACATTCAAAGCAGTGTGTAGTGGGAAATTTATAGCACTAAATGCCCACAAGAGAAAGCAGGAAAGATCCCAAATTGACACCTTAACATCACAATTAAAAGAACTAGAAAAGCAAGAGCAAACACATTCAAAAGCTAGCAGAAGGCAAGAAATAACTAAAATCAGAGCAGAACTGAAGGAAATAGAGACACAAAAAACCCTTCAAAAAATTAATGAATCCAGGAGCTAGTTTTTTGAAAGGATCAACAAAATTGATAGACCACTAGCAAGACTAATAAAGAAAAAAAGAGAGAAGAATCAAATAGACGCAATAAAAAATGATAAAGGGGATATCACCACCGATCCCACAGAAATACAAACTACCATCAGAGAATACTACAAACACCTCTATGCAAATAAACTAGAAAATCTAGAAGAAATGGATAAATTCCTCGACACATACACTCTCCCAACACTAAACCAGGAAGAAGTCGAATCTCTGAATAGACCAATAACAGGAGCTGAAATTGTGGCAATAATCAATAGCTTACCAACCAAAAAGAGTCCAGGACCAGATGGATTCACAGCCGAATTCTACCAGAGGTACAAGGAGGAACTGGTACCATTCCTTCTGAAACTATTCCAATTAACAGAAAAAGAGGGAATCCTCCCTAACTCATTTTACGAGGCCAGCATCATCCTGATAGCAAAGCTGGGCAGAGACACAACAAAAAAAAGAATTTTAGACCAATATCCTTGATGAACACTGATGCAAAAATCCTCAATAAAATACTGGCAAACCGAATCCAGCAGCACATCAAAAAGCTTATCCACCATGATCAAGTGGGCTTCATCCCTGGGATGCAAGGCTGGTTCAATATACGCAAATCAATAAATGTAATCCAGCATATAAACAGAACCAAAGACAAAAACCACATGATTGTCTCAACAGATGCAGAAAAGACCTTTGACAAAATTCAACAACCCTTCATGCTAAAAACTCTCAATAAATTAGGTATTGATGGGACGTATCTCAAAATAATAAGAGCTATCTATGACAAACCCACAGCCAATATCATACTGAATGGGCAAAAACTGGAAGCATTCCCTCTGAAAACTGGCACAAGACAGGGATGCCCTCTCTCACCACTCCTATTCAACATAGTGTTGGAAGTTCTGGCCAGGGCAATTAGGCAGGAGAAGGAAATAAAGGGTATTCAATTAGGAAAAGAGGAAGTCAAATTGTCCCTGTTTGCAGACGACATGATTGTGTATCTAGAAAACCCCACTGTCTCAGCCCAAAATCTCCTTAAGCTGATAAGCAACTTCAGCAAAGTCTCAGGATACAAAATCAATGTACAAAAATCACAAGCCTTCTTATACACCAATAACAGACAAACAGAGAGCCAAAGCATGAGAGAACTCCCATTCACAATTGCTTCAAAGAGAATAAAATACCTAGGAATCCAACTTACAAGGGATGTGAAGGACCTCTTCAAGGAGAACTACAAACCACTGCTCAATGAAATAAAAGAGGATACAAACAAATGGAAGAACATTCCATGCTCATGGGTAGGAAGAATCAATATTGTGAAAATGGCCATACTGCCCAAGGTAATTTATAGATTCAATGCCATCCCCATCAAGCTACCAATGACTTTCTTCACAGAATTGGAAAAAACTACTTTAAAGTTCATATGGAACCAAAAAAGAGCCTGCAACACCAAGTCAATCTTAAGCCAAAAGAACAGAGCTGGAGGCATCATACTACCTGACTTCAAACTATACTACAAGGCTACAGTAACCAAAACAGCATGGTATTGGTACCAAAACAGAGATATAGATCAATGGAACAGAACACAGCCCTCAGAAATAACGTCGCATATCTACAACTATCTGATCTTTGATAAGCCTGAGAACAACAAGCAATGGGGAAAGGATTCCCTATTTAATAAATGGTGCTGGGAAAACTGGCTAGCCATATGTAGGAAGCTGAAACTGGATCCCTTCCTTACACCTTATACAAAAATCAATTCAAGATGGATTAAAGACTTAAACGTTAGACCTAAAACCATAAAACCCCTAGAAGAAAACCTAGGCATTACCATTCAGGACATAGGCATGGGCAAGGATTTCATGTCTAAAACACCAAAAGCAATGGCAACAAAAGCCAAAATTGACAAATAGGATCTAATTAAACTAAAGAGCTTCTGCACAGCAAAAGAAACTACCATCAGAGTGAACAGGCAACCTACAAAATGGGAGAAAATTTTCGCAACCTACTCATCTGACAAAGGGCTAATATCCAGAATCTACAATGAACTCAAACAAATTTACAAGAAAAAAACAAACAATCCTGTCAAAAAGTGGGCAAAGGATATGAACAGACACTTCTCAAAAGAAGACATTTATGCAGCCAAAAAACACATGAAAAAATGCTCACCATCACTGGCCATCAGAGAAATGCAAATCAAAACCACAATGAGATACCATCTCACACCAGTTAGAGTGGCAATCATTAAAAAGTCAGGAAACAACAGGTGCTGGAGAGGAGGTGGAGAAATAGGAACACTTTTACACTGTTGGTGGGACTGTAAACTAGTTCAACCACTGTGGAAGTCAGTGTGGTGATTCCTCAGGGATCTAGAACTAGAAATACCATTTGACCCAGCCATCCCATTACTGGGTATATACCCAAAGGACTAGAAATCATGCTGCTATAAAGACACATGCACATGTATGTTTATTGCGGCACTATTCACAATAGCAAAGACTTGGAACCAACCCAAATGTCCAACAATGATAGACTGGATTAAGAAAATGTGGCACATATACACCATGGAATACTATGCAGCCATAAAAAATGATGAGTTCATGTCCTTTGTAGGGACATGGATGAAATTGGAAATCATCATTCTCAGTAAACTATCGCAAGAACAAAAATCCAAACACCGCATATTCTCACTCATAGGTGGGAATTGAACAATGAGAACACATGGACACAGGAAGGGGAACATCACACTCTGGGGACTGTTGTGGGGTGGGGGGAGGGGGGAGGGATAGCATTGGGAGATATACCTAATGCTAGATGACGAGTTGGTGGGTGCAGCACACCAGCATGGCACATGTATACATATGTAACTAACCCGCACATTGTGTCCATGTACCCTAAAACTTAAAGTATAATAATAAAAAAAAATTTTTAAATTTACTTTCAACTAAAAAAAAAAATCTACATCCAAATTATGTAAAATTCTTAATGTCTGTTATCCAATAAAAGTTACCAGGTATGTAAAGAAGAAGGAAATTATGGCTTATAACCAGAACAAAAATCAATTTCTTGAAACAGATCAAGAAACACCAATGACATGAGAACAAGAGGCACAGAATATTAAAGACCCAAATCAAACTTCTAGGAATGAAAAACATAGTCTCGGAGATTAAAAAAAAAATACACTGAAGGCATCAATTATAGACAAGTCAGAAGAAAAGAATAGCAAATTTAAGGACACAGTAATAGAAACAATCCAAAATAAAATCAGTATAAAAAAGAAACTTTTTAAAATGGGCTGTAAGATATGATCACATGGTCAACATACATATAATAGGAGTCCCAGAAAAAAAAAAGTGTGTGTATTGGGAAGGAGAAACAAGGAAGGGAAAAAAATATTTGAAGAAATAATGACCATAAATTTCCTAAATTTGGTGAAACTCTGAAGTCCATAGATCCAAGGAACTTGATAACCAACAAGAATAAACTCAAAGAAGAACACACCAAGGCATATAATAATAAAATGGCTCAAAACTAGTTATAAATAAAATCTTAAAAGCATGCAAAGAAAACAAGACACATCATGCAAAGAGAAACAAAGATAAAGAATGACAGCAGACTTCTGCTTAAAGCAATACAAGCCAGAAGACAGCAGGGTAGCTCCAACGAGGTACTAAACAAGTACAACTGTTAGCCTAGAATTCTATACTCAATAAAATATCTTCCAAAACTAAGCAAAGATTTCTCCCCATCCATAAAAGCAAAGAGAATTCAACATCAGCACTGCAAGGCATGCTAAAGAAAGTGTTTCAGGCTGAAGGAAACTGACACTAGATATAAATTGTATCTACACAAAGCAATGAAGAGGACTGGAAATGGTAAATATGTGTGTAAAAACAAAATACATTTTCAATTTTAAAAAATTACTGATAAGAGCAAAAATAACAAAAATGTATTACGGAGTTCATAACACATGCTTGTAAAAGTTAAATGTATGGCAACAATAGTGCAAAAGCCAGAAGGAGGAAAATGGAAAAACATTATTTTAAGTTCTTACATTATACATGAAGTACTAGTAAACTATTTGAAGTTAGACTATTATAAGTTAAAGAAGTCTACTATAAACCCTAGAGCAACCACTAAAAAGAAAAAAAAAAATCACAAGAAAGTATAACTAACAATTCAATAAAGGAGATTGAATATAATTATAAAAATATTCAAATCAAAAGAAAACAGAAAAAGAAAAAAAGGGAAACAATGAAAAATTGAGACAAGTAGCAAACAAATATCAAAACAAATACCAAAAACGGGACAAGTAGTAAACGAATACCAAATGCCAACACACGGGACATGTGAACAAATGAAAATACCAATGGGACAGTAGTAAACAAATACCAGTTTAAAACATCAGCTTTACGCTGAACCATATTGAACCATGCCTTAAATACAAACAGTAAGTCCCAGCATGCCAATTAAAAGCTACACATTGCCAGACTGGATAATACAGAAAGATCCCATTATATGTTGTTCATAAATAACACTTTAAATTGTTTTTAAAAGTCAATGTACATCCAACATTAGAAAAGCAAGAAAGGCATCTGACTTGATGGATATGAGAATTTCATCTCTGTTGAGAGGGAAAGACAGTTCTTTATGTTTTCCCAGAGTTTAGGTAAAATAGTTCTCTTGGTCCCTTGATTAAGAGAAAAAGCTAATGTGCTGTGTTAGAAACCAAGATAGTGGCTCTCTGGAGTGAGGTGGCTAGAAGACGGTAAAAGGAGAGAGCACAAGGGATGCTGGTAATATTCTGTTTCTTAATCATGTTCACTTGGTGAAAATTCATCAAGTTGCACATTGATGATTTGTTCATTTTCCCGTATCCATAATTCAATTAAAAGTGAAATTTAAAACCTCAACTTCATTTGATGCAATGCTCACTAAGCAATTTTTTTATTAGTAATTTGGAAACTCAGGTACCTCACACCAGGAAAGGGGCACTGTCTCAGATAATAAATCAAAGCACAAGTGTTATCAAGAAGAAATACTCCTGTCTTACTCCATTTATGCTGCTAGAACAAAATACCTGAGACTGGGTAATTTATAAATAACAGAAATTTATGTCTCACAGTTCCAGAAGCTAGGAAATCCAAAATCAAGGGTTTGGTTTCTGGTGAGGGCCCAGTCTCTATTTCCAAGATAGTACCATGTCACTGTGACCCTCAGAGGGGACGAAGGCTGTGTCCTCACATGGTGAAAGGAACAAAATGGCAAGAGAGCACTCCTTTCTCTCTCAAGCCTTTATAAGGGTGCTGATCCCATCATGGGAACTTGGCCTCCCAAAGGCCACACCATTTAATACTGTTGCATTAAGAATAAAGTTTCAACATGAATTTTGGAGAGGGCATCATCAGTCGAACTACAGCAATTTCCTGTTATAATTTTCTATTTTGTTAATTCATCTTCAGCCTTTTGCAAGCCCTTTTAGCGTACCTAAAATTAAAAGACATCTATAATATAATGTATATTCCTATCAAAATCTACAGAAAAAAATTGCTGCTGCTACTCCTATAACCATATCCCCTATTATCACCACCATTACTGTCTAATGAACACCACTTATATGCTAGCAACTGTGCTAGATGATGTATCGCTTACGTTACTTAATCATAAGTACCTCTACAATCTCCCATTTCACACTTGAAGAAACTGAAGCCAAATGACTTTCCAAAAATAACACAGCTAGCATGTACTCACACAAGACGTACGTCCCTGTTTCTGATGGAATGCACCACTCTTTCCAGTACACTATACTACTACCTCTCCACATTAAGTATGTCAGCACCATATGCCATGTGATCCCAACATTCATATATGTCATGGATTTTTTTTCACAGTTCCTATTACATGGCATCTAAACTTTTAGGATTAAATGAAATAGGCACACACTGAGGACAAAACTTTTCTTAAAATAATCCATGTCTTGTCGACAAAATATTATTTTGATTCTTAGCAGAATTTTTCTTCTTATAAATGCAATGCTTAAACAGGCTTGCCTATATCAGAAATTAGAAAAAGGGTTTATTTATATGTTAACTAAATATAGTGTGACAAAGACACATGGCTGTTACAGACAAGTTTTACATACTAATGAAATGTAGGACCAAAAAGAATTATAGGGACTATTTACCTCAGGCAATACAACCATTCAGAAGATGTTACGATCTATGTAAGAAGCACACATTCTGAAATTATTGGTCAAGGTTTTTAGAGTTTGCAAGAAAATGAATATGAAAGAGAACTCCATGAAAAGGGTATCATTTGGTATCTGAGTCTAGTAATAGCATCCTTCTTTTTAAGAGAACACATTAGTTTAAAAAAAAGGATCTCTCAAAGATTTCTTAATTTCAAATAAAAATGGAAACTGAAGATTATATTGTTACATTAAAAATACTGGAAAATAGTTACATTCACACTAAAACAGTAATAAAATTAAAATTATTTATTAAAATAATTCCCTATTTCTGGACCTGTTTCACTGATGCCTCACAATCTTGCCCTAAAAGCAAAATAATCCCTTTCTGCTTATCTCATGAACATGCTATGTGAACTATATGTGAAACATAAAGCTGGTTTGTAAACTTAAAAACAAATGTTCCATAGTCAGTCATGAGATGTTTGTTGAATAAAAGAGGAAATGGGTTAATTAACTAGTACATCTTCATTTCTTTAGGACTCCCCAGAGTACCAGATACATAACAAATATCAATGTCAACATACTTCCAAGGCCCAAAAAAACTACTCTGAAATAATACTGACTTACACCTTCTTAATCAGAGAACTCGCCCTGAACCCTTTTTTTTCTTTAAATAGGAAGATAAGAACCCATTCTATCAAGATCTAAAGTGCCCACAGTGCCAGAAGACATGCAAACCAATTACCCCTACCACCAGATCCTAACCCTGTTCCCAGCCAATAGAGGCTGTTAGGCCTTTCTTAGCTGATACAACCACAAGGTTATTCTTAGATTCAGGAACTGCCAGCATATTCCACTCTGTTAAGTACTCTGTGGACTCCTCTCTGCGGACAGTCACCTCAGAAGGCCAAACACTTTTTCCAAGTCAGAAATACAAAGCCATTTTATTGTTTTTTCCTCACAGCAGCTCAGAAATAAACTGCACACAGGGGAATTGAATTTTGATTAGGTAACTAATCAAGTTTTCAATCTTAAAGGGAAAAGAAACACTTTTATGTTTCCCTGGAGAATCAAAAAGTAAATGCAATGCCCTAATCTTTCCATAAATATTTCATCATCCAGCCTACAGTTAAGGTGGTATTTTATTATCACAACAAAATTAGGGTAGAACTAGAATACCAAATGAAAATTACTTCTTTTTAAATTTCAGGGAATACAAAAAGAAATAACAGGACTAGGCTATATAAAAGCATAAATAAAAAGAGATTCATCTTTGTTTACTGGAAATATGCTACACTAGTTCATTTTCACCTAACAAATTAATTGGGAATATATTTTGTACTCTGTGAATAAGCAATATGATATACACAAAGACTCAGTATGTGAAATACTTTGGATTAAATATACATTCAGACACTTCTTTCCTACTCAAATTTCCCAACATCAAAAACATGCTCAACTTTCAAGGTCTAGATCCAAATCTTACCTTTCCAAGAAGGCTTTCCTGATTCACCTCCTTTGCAACAGAAAGTTGCATCTCTCCCATCTCTAAGCCTATCTACCCTCCTCATATAACACATTTTAAGATAGGTGTATCTATCTTAAAGTTGTATCTAACCTGTCTGATCTTCCCCACTAGATTACAAATTTATCTGTGGACAGGTACCACATCTGATTCACATTTCTATTTATTTACTGAATCAAATATAATTCCTTTATATGGAACACAAGTATTCCCTAAACATTTCTGAAATAATATAAAATTTATATGACTCACACATTTTTGCTAAACTGTTCTTTCAATGAAAGTGAAACAATATAAAGCAATTTAGAAATGTTTAAACTTATTTTTCTTTTTTTCAGCATCAGGTTCATTTTTGATGCTTTCATTTTTAAATGAGTTTACATGTACTCATGATTAATTATAAATTTCACTCAAAAGAAGGTTAAAATTCAAAAGCCAATAGCTGCTTTGCAAGAAACATTAACATTCTTCTTATGGAAGACAACCTTCTGGAATATCCATAAAACTATGAAACTATACCAACAGTAATTGATTCTGGGACTGTTTGGGAGAAAAAGGTAATTTAGCTTCATTCATTCATTCATTCATTCATCCATTTATTTATTTATTTATTTGACAGAGTCTTGCTCTGTTGCCCAGACTGGAGTACAGTGGAGCGGTCACAGCTGACTGTAACCTTGAAATCCAGAGCTCAAGTGATCCTCTTGCCTCAGCCCCCGAGTAGCTGGGGCTACAGAAGTGTGCCACCATGCCCAGCTAATTATTTTTATTTTCTGTAGAGACAGCGTCTTACTACATTGCCCAGCTAGTCTCAAATACCTACCCCCCAGCTATCCTCCTGCCATGGCCTCCCAAAGTGCTGGTATTATAGGCATGAGCCACCGCATCCAGCCAATTTACATTCTAAATTGAAAGCTGCCTAGAGTCCATTTTGGTGTCAATAAAAAAGACAGTTCAAATTATTTCATTTCTGGAAAATCATAAACTAATATAATCATCAAAATATCATCAACTTAAGGCCTACAGTATAGTAAAAAGTAGACTTCCATCTACCTTTGATTTGTGAAGAACTGGAATAATATCCTCTGATCTTTTTAAAGGTAAATTTCTTATTAATGATTTAAATTATAAAGTGAATCAATTTGACCTAAATCAAATTTGTTCTACTGGAAATTTTAATAATATGAATATTGATGTTTTGTTTTCATATCATAAGTTTTACGCTGTTGTAATAACACAAAAAGTCTCCACGTTTGCCTATTCAAATCCACAAGAGTAAAATAAAGTATCAAAAGACACTAGAAGTTCCCTTCAGGTTGGATACTCTCTTTATCACCAAAAGATGAAGAAGAGGTTCTTCGAAGGGATTCAGGCAAAAATAGTGACATAATCTCCCATCTCAAACTAGAGTTTATCTTCATCCTTTACAGTTTTGCAGCATAAACAGAAACATGACCCACAAGTAGAAACCACTCTAAAGCTTATTTAATCTTAATATTAATTTCACCAGAAGTATATCATACCTTGAGAACATTACGCTAAAAAAAAAAAAAAGTCAATAAATGAACAAGTACTGTATTTCCACTTACATGCCATACCTAGAGAAGTCAGATTCATTGAGATACAAAGCAGAAATGTGGTTGCCAAGGGCTAGGTGGGAAGATGGGGAGATGTTTAATAGGTATAGAGTTTCAGTTTTACAAGATAGAGTTCTAGAGATTGGTTGCATAGCAACGTGAATGTACTTAACAATGTTGAACTGTACACTTAAAAATAGTTAAGATGGCAAATTTTATGTTAGGTGTATTTTACAATTCAATATTTTTTAAGATAAAATTAAAAGTGTATCATGGCCAGGATGGGCACGGTGGCTCACGCCTGTAATCCCAGCACTTTGGGAGGCCGAGGCGGGTGGATCTCAAGGTCAGGAGATCAAGACCATCCTGGCTAACACGGTGAAACCCCGTCTCTACTAAAAAAATTAGTCGGGCGTGGTGGCGGGTGCCTGTAGTCCCAGCTACTCAGGAGGCTGAGGCAGGAGAATGGCATGAACCCAGGAGGCGGAGCTTGCACTGAGCCGAGATCGCGCCACTGCACTCCAGCCTGGGCAACACAGAGAGACTCTGTCTCAAAAAAAAAAAAAAAAAGTGTATCATAGCCAAATGGTCCTAATGGTCCCTATGCTCAACTGAGTCAACAAGATATAAAGATATAAAGTGTGATTTATGAATGCACAAAAAATGTATTCGCTCTGAATAGGATTGTAGAAGAACACAACTAGAATTATCTCCATGTTTACAGTCTGAGAAAGCCAACAACAGGTTTCCTTTCCAGATTCGGTTTCAAGAGAATGCTTCTGACTGCATCTTATTTACTTTGTCACACTACCTTGTATTTTCTAAATCTGCTCACGTAATCATTTATTCATCCAACAGTCATTAACCATCATTTCATGTATGCACTATATTCACAGCACTTTATTAGGAGATATGTGTTAGTCTTGTTATTTTAAAAAAATTGTCACAGGATACTATGACATCTGCAAACAGAATAGTACCCTCCAAATTGGTCACTAGAAGGGTGAGTGACCCTCCAGAATGGGTAAGTGACAATGACTCATCAGTAGGGAGAAAAGAATGCCAGACTTCTTTACCTGATGACACTCCCCAGTTAAAATTGGGAATTGGAAAACTTCTGGAGACCCTGAATTTCCTGTTGCACCATCAAGTGGGGCAGAGAGCACAAAAGGAACAAGGCCCAAGGAAAGCAGGAATGACCCAGGGTTAGCAAGAGAATAAAGTACCAAAGCCATCAGTTAAAGCATGTAGAGCACAAAGAGGCCCTAAGGAAGAACCCTTCTGCCAACAGGATTGTCATACAATTTATCACACTGTTTTGCAACATTGTTCTAAATGAAGGCAGGTGACTGTGCTTTCTGTGCTCTAGGAAAACAGCAGTTTCTGAAGATGGGGACTAGGTATATACTGACATAAGATTAAATTGGCATCCTATGTGATCTAAACCACTGGTGACCTAAAATTGTTCACTCAGTCACTTTTTAGCCTTACTGATAAGCCATAAAATTACTGTGAAACCAAAGGTCAAGAATAATTAGAAGACAACAGATAATCCATGCAATCAAATTCAGAAAGAAAAATGGCAACACCGAAAACATATTTTCATACTTTACTCAATTACAGTCCATCTGCATGTTACAGCAAGCTTTTCACAGTCAAACTTTGAATCATCAAATAACCTAACTAAACTTAGATACTTACAAGCAAGCAAATTGCCAGGATACTATAGTAACAGCTTTTCTTTTCTTTTTTCTTTTTTTTTTGAGACAGAGTCTCACTCTGTCACCAGGCTGGAGTGCAGTGGCGCAATCTTGGCTCACTGCAACCTCCACCTCCTGGGGTCAAGCGATTCTCCTGCCTCAGCCTCTGGAGTAGTTGGGACTATAGCTGTGCGCCACCACGCCCAGCTAATTTTTGTATTTTTAGTAGAGACAGGGTTTCACCATGTTGGCCAGGATGGTCTCAATCTCTTGACCTCATGATGCGCCCGCCTCGGCCTCCCAAAGTGCTGGGATTACAGGCGTGAGCCACCACACCCTGTCTAGTAACAGCTTTTCTAAGAGGGCGAGAAGAATCAACAGAGATTCCATCAACAGAGTTTTCCCATTAATACTATAAAATATTTTAAATACTGCAATATTTCAAATATACTAACTATAATTCAGTATTTTCTTACTGATTCTGGAGATAATATAGGAATATAAATGAGTATCAATTCTCATTGTTCAGTAAACATATAATTGTCACAGCATTTCTTAATGAACAGATATGGAAAAATAGAGTTTATTTCCAGATATTAAAAGTAATGAAGTCTAAATGCAATGTGGTATCCTGGACTGTATCCTCAAACAGAAAAAGGATATTAGTTAAAAAAAAAAACTGTTAAATCCAAATAAATCTGTAGTTAGCTCACAGTACTGTACAGTCAGTTCTGCTATAATATTTTAAAATGCAAATTTATTCCAATGAATGGATGTATTAGGAAACAACTTACATGTTACACAAATTTCTCATTTGCTGATGCACAATTTCATCCTTCTGCATGTTACAGCATCAGGTGAACATGGAAAACTGCACCCTGCTGAACCAAGCCATGCCGGATTCCGTGTGCATGTACATTCCTCAAACATCTACCAGCTACTTCAGTTCACCAAGTGTGTGAGAAGCAACTCCCATCCACAGCTGGTGTTATAACTCTCCATCAAATTTCTGATCACCCTCCTTTCTCCACTTCCCAATAGCTCACAAACTGCCACTCTTCTGATACTCACCTTCCATAAGCAAGGTCTTCTCCAGGTATTTTTCAAGGTAAAGGGCCATATTTTAGTATGTAAGTATTTCTTAACCATTCAATACACATAAAACTATACTGCAATTTTTTTTTTTTTTGAGACAGTCTCACTCTGTCGTCAAGCTGGAGTGCAGTGGCACGATCTAGGCTCACTGCAACCTCTGCCTCATGGGTTCAAGCGATTCTCCTGCCTCAGCCTCCTAAGTAGCTGGGATTACAGGTGTGTGCCACCATGCCCGGCTAATTTTTGTGTTTTTAGTAGAGATGGGGTTTCATCACGTTGGCCAGGATGGTCTCAAACTCCTGACCTCAGGTGATCCGCCCACCTTGGCCTCCCAAAGTGCTGGGATTACAGGCGTGAGCCACCGCACCCGGCCGATGCTATAATTTTTGTTAGGTTACTAAATATGTTCCAGTGAGCAAAGTTCTTGAGTACTATACCATTAATCCCCTTTTTCTCATATGCCCTATGGTTTTCACTAAATAATTCTGTATAATGCAGTGACTTTTAGGAATTCATGTGTCACATTATAGCAGAACGGACTATTCCAGTGCTAATTTCTAATTTCAACAAATATGCTATGGTTATATAAGAAGAAGAAAAAAAACCTAGGTGAATAGTATATAAGAATTATCTGTATTACCTTTGCAACTGTTCTGTGTACATATTCCAGTAAGAAGTTTAAAGCAATAAGTATATGAAGTATATAAGCACATAAGACCAAGGCTTCAGCATGGGATTCTGTATTAATAATAATTGCTAACACTAAAGCAACACTTACTTGGTGCCAAGCACTGTCCTCAGCGGTTGATATACCTTAACTCATTAATCATTCTCACAACACTATGAAGTAAGTGCTATGAGCATATCCACTTTACAAGTGAGAAGACTGCAGTGCAGTTAAGAAACCCAAGATCACAAACATAGGCAACTAGATAGTCAATGCTCTTGCTCCTACGCTACACTATTTCAACAGACAACTGTTCAAAATACAGTCTTTTTAACCAAATTGTATTCATCACTCAGGAAATATTTTTAAATAGAAAAAGAGCAAAAATGAAAAATCTAAATAATCTTTCTGAAATATGCTATAGGCACCAAAAAATACCCCACTGCCAAAATGCTTCTTCTAACAGAAAATCTCTATTATCTCAAGTTGTGGAAGCTAACAAAGACTGCAAAAAATGTCACCTTTGTACTTTAAAACAGCCAACTAGAATATAAAATGTAAACATTTTATAACAGTTACAAACTCAGAACAGGTGGCTATAAAAAGATGCATCAACTATGACAGCAAATGTAATTTCAAAGCTTTACAAAACTTGGTCACATTTCATCAATGTCAAATACACATGATGATTTAAGACTGACAATATAAAACACAAAAATAGCCCATAATTTAGAAGTTTCCCAGCTTTCATAATCATAAAATGTGTCTGAATCGAAAGTGGTTAATCAAATGTTGGTTAAATGCCAAGGCAAAAGTTCTGCCAGTGGGATCTCAAAACAGAGCAGGCAATAGGTCAACTTGGCATAACTTACTATTGCTTTGCAAAATTTAATATAGCTTGAACTCTAAAATCTAAAATTCTATCTACCCTTCTATGCACTTAATTTGTGGTTCCTAAGTCACTCATTCTTTCAAAAAAATACTTCCTGAGCTACTGGTTTGTACTAGGCACTGTTCTCAGTACTGCAGCTACATTCGTGAACAAGAGGCAAAGTCCTTCTTTATGGATCTTACATTCACTCATGCATTTATTCATTCACTCAACAAGTATTTAACGAATGCCTACTTTCCAGGCAATATTCTAACTGCAGGAGATAAGGATGGAAACAAAACACACAAAATCGCTGTCCATTGGAGCTGCTATTTCAGAAGGGGAAACAGACAATAAATAAGATAAATAAGTAAAACACAAATTAATTAGATTACTATATAATAAATGCTAGGAAGAAAATAAAGCAGAGAAGGAAGATTTAAAATGAGAGTAGAATTTTAAATAGGAAGGCCAAGGAAGATCAGATAAAGTAGAGAAGACAAATAACCATGTAACATATTAGGAGTAAGGCTATGAAGAGAAACAGAGTATAGGCAAAAAGCAAGGGCAAAGTGAAGCTTATATGAAAAATGTGATCAGGGAAGACCTTTATGAAGAGATATGCTGAGTAGAGATTCAGAATGAAGTAAGAGACCCAGTCACAGGATGACATGGGAGAAGGGCACACTAAATTAAAAAGACCCAGGGCAGGAGCAGGCTTGGCAAGGTCAAGGAACAGCCAGAGGCCTGTGTGGCAGGAATGGAGAGAGCAGGGGGCTCTATGCAAGCCTCCTAACAGCTGGCTGAAGACTGCACAGTGAGACAGGCATCTGGGGAGCCATACACTTAAGAGTCTAGTGACTTGTTTCAACTCAAGTCACTAATTGACTTGAAATCAATTCAACAGATTATTAAAAAGTCATTATTACTTGCAAAATATAAGTGGAGGAGTCAAAGAAAAGAGCAAAATGAAACAGGCTGAGCCACTGAGCAATGTACACTCTCATAGAAGAATAAGGCACACACATGGAAAGTTAACGGCCATCCAAGGCAGTGAGGGGATGTCAAGGTCATTTTGTTAGTTTTCAGCATTGCTATTGACGAGAAAAAAGAAAAGAGCAGAATGAGCTGCAATTACTTATTTAGGGTATGTTTAAGTTTTCTTTCTTCCTCAGTTTAAAAGCATGATGCTGTAACAGGAAGTGCTACTGCTTCGTAAAGCATCCCTGATCACTCGTGCTGAAGAGGAGCTATGCTCTACTCATCCTCAATCCCTACCACAGTTCCATGCACGTTCGAGGTGCCCAACCAATGGTGCGTGGAAAGTGGAGGAAAGCACTCATGCACCAACAAATAGGACACTGCTCATCTGAACTGCTTCCAAGTGAGCTGAAAATGAATATCAAGTATTCAAAGAACCCTCACAACGGAAATAATTTCTAGAAGTACATCTTACTGCTCTACTTGTCATTTAGGGTAAAGCTTCAATTAGAATAAAAGAGTTCTGTCCTTAACGATGGGTTGAAACAGCAGTTGAATCCTTCAGGTCCTCGGTAAACACAGACCTGGGCTTCTTCCAGGTTAGCAAGTGAAAGTCCATCTGCACTACCTGCAGGAAACTTCATAATCTCTTTTTTAAATGACACAAGAGGACCTAATTTATGCAGTCAGCAAATATTTTCAGTATACTCACTATACAAGCGCCGCCCTAACTGGGATCTGAACATAAGGAAGAGATGGTCTCTGTCTTTAAGAGTTACTCGGATATTTATTAAAGAAGGAAATGAGGGAAAAAGGCAGAAATAAGTATGACTATAACACAGTGTAAAAAGTGTTACATTATGAAAATAAAGAAAGAATTATGAGTATAGGGAAAGGAGTACCTTATAGAAATCCTCCTAGAAGAGGTTATGCCTGAAGCACAAGTGTGATTTTGCTTTGCAGTAACTATGACATGGTTTAGATGTTTTTTCCCACCAAATCTCACACTCAAATGTGATTCCCAGTGCTGGAGGCGGGGTTTGGGTGGGGACAACTGGATCATGAGGGCAGATCCCTCATTAGTGGTTCAGCACCATCCCCTTGGTGATAAGTGAGTTCTCACTCAGTTAGTTCCAGTTGTTTAAGAGTCTGGGACCTCCCCCTTTTCTCTCTTGCTTCCCTCTCACCATGTGAGAGCGCTTGCTCCCCCTTCACCTTCCACCATGACTGGAAACTTCCTGAGGCTCTCACCAGAAGCAGATGCCAGAGCTATGCTTCTTGTACAGTCTGTGCAACTGTGAGCCAATTAAAACTTTTCTCTTTATAAATTACCCAGCCTCAGGTATTTCTCTGTGGCAACACAAACAGACTAATACAAACCTAAATTATGAAAGGACAGAGATATTATTGTAACCTATTGTTCATTCTCACTATTTACAACTATACAAAAAAACAGTGTGAAAGACTTTCTTGAGAACAAAGGTTAATTTTAAAAAAACTCTATTTTTTCCAAATGTGTTTGAAAACAAGCTAACTTAAGAACTCATAAGAAATCAGTCTCTTCAAAGTTTGTCTAAACAACATATCCCCAAACAATGATTCAAAATAACATTATATTCTTTTAATTATACTCTGCTGCAATAGGGTATGACTAAATTATTGATCACAATTTAAACTGGTTCTTGTGGCAGGCCCCATAAAGGAACCACAGGGCATTCAAAGAAAAGTGTGGCATTGGGTACTGTGCAGCTCTTTTGCAAACCAACTTTCAAATTTCAGGTTAAAATCAAATGCTTATCTAAGCAATCATCAGAAAACACTGACAATAAATGCATCCAAATCTGAGGACATGGGGGAGGCCCTTCAGGGTGGTATGGCCTAGACAAATGTATCCAAATCGAAGGAGAAACTGCCTTTAAAAAAACCGTTAAGAGACAGTAGCCCTTTTCTCTATACTAACAATTTACAGTAGGAAAGATCATTTCCATTTTCCATTCAGATTAGATTTATTCTGCAAAGAGATAGAGAACCATTGATCTAATTATATTCTGAAAACATGCATAAAATATATTTATAAAACATCATTTACATTATCCCTCACTATACAGATCTAAAAATTATTTGAAAATGAAAAAAGCATCCTGAGCATTTTTTCTTTTTTTTTGAGATGGAGTCTCGTTCTGTCACCCAGGGGTGCGATAGCTCACTGCAAGCTCTGTCTCCTGGGTTCACGCCATTCTCCTGCCTCAGCCTCCCAAGTAGCTGGGACTACAGGCCCCTGCTACCACGCCCAGCTAATTTTTTATATTTTTAGTAGAGATGGGGTTTCACCATGTTAGCCAGGATGGTCTCGATCTCCTGACTTCATGATCCACCCACCTCGGCCTCCCAAAGTGCTGGGATTACAGGCGTGAGCCACCGCACCTGGCCCTTTTTCTTGATTTTTATCAGAACAAAGAGTTACTTTTCAAGGACTAACACTAATGTAAACTAAGGAGTTTATAATATATTCTCGCTGCTTACTGACCTACAACTTAAAGTAAATACGGGTTCAAATTCTGGCTGCCCATATATAGATTTCAGCATGCTACTGAACTTCTGTAAATCTCAGCTTTCTGTAATAACAGGGTAATACCAAAATTATTTGAAGACCAGAAATAAGTGCCAAATACATAGTAATTACTCTATACATGTTGACCATCATCATTAATACCCATGCCTAGAAATAGGATATTGAGTGGAGGCAGCAAGGGAGGAATGAGGAAACCAAATGATCCCCTAATTTGAATAACATCTCTTAGCACTGTAAGTTTCCAGTAGCTGAAATTAGTAAAAATGATTTCAGTCAGAATTATCTTAACAGTGTACTACAAGGTACTTTACAGTATACTATAGTTAACAAGCAGATATTATAATTATCAATTCTGGTGTTACTAAAAATATGCAAAGTGAGTAAGCAAGACAGGGACTTCAACCCATTTTAAAGATAAGTAACTCAAATGCAGAAAAGATAAATCATGTAGTTAATCATTGAGCCACACTTACTAGTGGGCTAGCTTACCTCACGTAAAAGTTCACACAAATGGATGTGTCATCTTACTCTTTTGCCTTATGCCTCTATTCAGTAACTGACCTAAGCAAGGTATGCTAAGCCCTCTTTTCTCCCAGGTGCCATTCAGGCCTGGGGCAAATGGTCTGTTTTTGAGCTATGCAGTGAGACAAATGTACTCCCTCTCCTTTATTCTCAAGAACAGATGTTCTGGCCTCTGGAAGACTACCAGGTGGTAATACAGGGACTCAATGGTTCCAACATAGGCTTTGACACTATATCACATGCCCCAACCCAATTATCAAATCACCGTGAATTAAGAGGAGGATAATTAGTCTAGTGGTAAAGCAATATTTTGATTTCCCATTTGTCTTTGTGCCTGTGGAATTTCCTATGAAGAAAGGGTTGCTGAGCAAAGGAGGATGCAGTATTCCTGGGTTTCTGGGTCTTCCCACCTAATACTGTCAAAAACACACTTCAATTTCTAAAAGATACAACTAACTCAGACATACATTATCCTAAAAACTGTTCTAAACCAGAAAACAGTACATACTGAATACACAGAAGTAAAATCAGGAGGCTTTCAAAAAAAGGAAAAATTTGTGCTCATTAAGTTAAGGTAAGCCTGTTACACTGGAAACATTTTGGCTTCAGGACCATTTACAATAACTTAATTTTTTATCAGGAAAAAAGTTTAAATATATTACATTAAAATTATTTTTTTTAACTTTAAGGTGTTCAGCATGACAAAAAAATTATCAATATAAAAAAGAAGGTAAAATTCTGTTAACATAGTCACATACCAAGCTTCGGGCAGCAAAACAGAATATTCATGTGGAGAAGTGGTCTCTGGAAAGTTGGACAGAATTGCAAGGCGATGAGGAAGCAGGTCGGAACCATGGTAAGTAAACAGAATTTCCAGGGCTTGTACATTACTTTCCTGTACAAAAGGCAAGGGGTAAGTTTCTAATGTAAATCTAAGAAATAAAGGAGTGATTTTATATGACAACATTCAAAAACTAACTTTTTTATGCAGCTCTGATATGAAACACCTTGAAATGACCCTAGTTTTTCCTAGCCTATATCCTGTTTCTCAATCTAAGGCTATGAAAATTATTTATTTTTAAAACTCAGAATGATGGATATTAAATTAAAATTTTCTCTACACTTATTAATATTAAAACAAAAAAGAAAATGTAATATATGCACACAATAACATTAACTGCACAGCTCAAAGATTTAGAGAGTGTTAATAACCATAATTATTTTATTTACAAAAAGCAAATTACCTGAGCATAAGTTCTTGCTGAGAGAACAATATTCTGATTTCTGAATTTCTTAAAGAATTCAGCATCATATCTCTGTTCAGATGCATGAGGCACTCCTAGGATTTCCTGAGGGGAAATTTAATGAAAAGTGATTTAATGAAAAGGCTTTTAAATATGGGTGACAAGAAAATATTAAAAACCTTTACAACTCTGCCTGCCTAAATAAATAAGGCCTGAATTAATTAATTTCAACCATCAATTGTTAACTAAAGTACTACATCTGCATTATTGCCTTTATTTTGGAAAGGGCTATATTAATAAATGTTATTTTTTTAATCCGGAAGTAAATGAAATAGGCAGTAAAAATTAAGTTAATTGCAGTAGGACAACCAAAATCAACCACCAGGTAAAAATAAGCAACAGTTATTCATGACAATGTATTATGAGCACCTGAACCTCTATAGATGAACTTTAGTTTCACCACTGCTAGGGTGACCTATGTCAAATGCAGATTGAACCATTCATTCATTCAACAAATATTAACCGAGTGCCACTCACCATGTGCTAAGGGAGCTGTGATAGGCACTGTGATACATTGAACAATACACTTTTCCCACCCTCTAATGTGCTTAAAATCTAGTAGGAAAGACCAGGAACAGGTGAGGGGAAATACTCAGTAAGGTGCCACAACTAGTTCTGGGAGGACAGAGAAGTGGCCCACAAGCTGAAACATAAAAGACAATGAAAAGTTAGCCATGGAATCGCAAGTGTAGGTCTCCCTACTACAACGTATGACTTAGGGCTCATGTCTGCCATGTTTAATACTGAATCCCAGATTCCTAGCACACTGCCTGTCAGTATTCTTCTGACTGTATTTATAAATAGCCAATAAATATTTGTTGACTGAATTAATTTGCTGAGACAGGAAAGAGAAGAATGAGGAGATGTGGAGGAGGTGAGGGAGGGAGGGAGGGAGGAAGGAGAGCTGAGCAGTTCACTTGTAGATGGGTTAAGTTGGCAACTATGGCATGTCTAAAAGGAGCTATGCAGCGAGCAGGTGAATACACAGGTCAGGAGTTCTGGACTAAGATGTGAGTTAGAGATATATGGCATAGGGCTATTAATACAGAAGTATTATTCCAAGGGAGATTAAATAGAATGAGTTTGAAAGAGCCTTGAGGAACAACATTATTTAAAGGATGAACAAGGAAAAGGGAACCTGCATCTGAAAAGTAGATGGAGGAACAGTCAGAGAAGTAAAGGGAAAAAGAATTTAATGCATACTCATGGAAACCAAAAGAAGAAAAGTATTTCACAGATGTTCCAGCCAGGCGTGGTGGCTCACGCCTGTAATCCCAATACTTTGGCAGGCTGAAGTGGGAGGATCGCTTGAGCCCAAGAGTTTGAGAACAGCTTGGGCAAGATGGCAAGATCTCACCTCAACAACAACAACAAAAAATTAGCTGGGCATGGTGCCATGTATCTGTAGTCCCAACTACTTGGGAGACTGAGATGGGAGGACAGCTTGAGTCCAGAAAGTCAAGAGTGCAGTGAGCTATCACTGTGCCACTACACTCCAGCCTGGGCAACAGAGCAAGACCCCGTTTCACAAAAAAAGCTCTCAGTTCCTTGATTCCTCATGCATGACAATTATTTCCTTTATTTCATCTCAGTTACACATCCTGTCACAAAACCCTGGATCTCTATCATCATCAAAAGACACTGTATGAAACACTTCAATGTCTAACCCCGACTCTGTGATCACCGCTCCTAATCTTCCTAGTCGCATACTAAGTGGTATTTTAACTACTCCTCACCCTCACAGAGGCATCCAATCCACTCACTCCATTTTGTTCACTTTCCATTTCCCCTCAAAGTCCCTCATTCCTTCTATCAGCTTAAACTGCCTGGTTCATGGCTTTAAAAGGGTTTCTTAATCCCTGCCTCTTTCCCTTTATCGCACTCATCCAGCAAATCATACCCTAACCAGTCAAACCCAGCTATGATCCCTGAACACAAGCTATGAAGTCACTGAAGATATGCCACAAAACCAAGCTGACAGTTCCCATTTTAATTTCAAAACCTCAACACTGCTTGAATCCTCATTCAAATGAACCAAATGCAAAAAAAAAAAAAAAAAGCACCAGGAAAATCTGAAGATGAAGTATCAGATGTTATTAGGGAATTACTATTAATTTTGTTAGAAATAATCATATCATTGTGGTTATAGTTTCTTAAGTCCTTCTTAGACACACATACCTAAATATTTATGGGTGAAATAAGATATACGGGCTTTGCTTTAAAATATTTAGTGAAAGAGAGAAGGCAAGAGTAGAAACATGGAGAATAAAAGACACACAACTGGCGCATGCTGAAAATGGTTGGTGCTGAGCAATGGGCACATCGGGCTCATCACACCACTCTTCTCTCTACTTCTTTGACTGACTGAAGTTCTTTATAATAAAAACCTAAAAAATTGACAAACTCAAGACAACACAATTCAAATAGATAATTAGTGCTGTTCATCAACGCTACTACATTTCCCTAAGAAGTTTTATTTCCTAGTCTCTGTTAGGAACTTTTCCACAACTCTCATTCTTTCCAGACTTCCAACACACTATTTCTCAGCCCCTATTCTCAGCTGAAAACCTTGCCTTTTTTGGACACTATTAGATGAGAAATCCCTCATTTTTCCAACCCACCAAAACTACACACCTACCTGCATCTGTAATAAGATTTTCCTTCCTCCCAGTTACAGCAGAAAGAAACATATCTCTGCTCCTAAAAAGCCTCAAAATCCCACCCATGCCCTGGATCCCATTTCTACTCCACTTCTATAATCATGCAAGTATCCCCTCTTTCTTCTGTTCCATAAAGTCCTCCTCACCCTCTACTACTTCATTCCCATTAATATAAAAACAATACTTCTTCCTTCTATTCTAAACACCTGCTCTAGACACCACCATCTTCTCTGCCCCTCTTCACAGTAAAACTTCTTGAAAGGGCTACCCCCAGCCACAGTCTCCTCTCCTCTCCTTCACTTTTTGTTATTTCCTAAACTTGCCCAACCTCTGACAAAAATTCAATTCAACTACTTACATGGCAGGAGACCTTTCCAAACATCACCACAAACTATTCTAACCATACTTCCCACCTTTGTTCTGTGCCACCCCTCACGCTCCCCATCCTGTACCCTGACTAGCTTACTTACTCAACAGCATGACACTTGCTTTCATGCCACTGGGCCTTTACATGGCACACTGATTATCAGCATGGGCTACTCGTCAGAGAGACCTGATTATGAGCCCTTGCTTCCTATTTATTTGGACAAATTACTTACCTTCTCTAAGCCTCAGTTTTCATACCCATAAAATGGAGAGAAGATGATAGTACCCATCTCATAAGACAATGGCTGACAAATAGTTAAGTCCTCAAAAAAATGTGTTGGTATTTCTTAAGGGTATTCTCCTACCTACTGGTTCTTGCAACAAATATTTACTGACCTCTTCAATGAGCCAGGAACCGTTCAGAGCTCAGAGACACAGCAGCAAACAAGACAAATCTCTAACTGTATGGAGACTCCATTCTAATGTCCCCCTTATGGTACTCCCTAGTCCCTGAAATCTGCCTGCCTTTTGTGAAAGGCCAGCTATTACTTCCTATGTGGAGTCTTCTCAGACATCCCCAGGAAGAATTTGACATTCTTCTTCATTATGTTTCCTCATCAATTCTCCATACCTTTCTTATCAGCATTTAATGCCTATACAATGTGAACTCCATGAAGCCCATTCCTTGTTCCTTTCTCTACCTCTAGCAATGGCACAATATCTTGCGTTTAGGAGGCATTCATGTCAAATCTAAATGAATTCGTTTTTATCTCATTTATCACAGTATTAATAAAAGAAGCCATGTCCTGTGATTAAAATGCAATGCCTATCTCTACTACTATCTAATGGTTAGCTATTATATCTGAATATTTTCATTACTAAGTTTTAACAGTGAAATTCATCAAATTCACCTACTTTTCAAGAACTTTGCTGAATTCTCTAAAAAAAAGTAAGCTCAACAAATACTTTAAATGTTACTGTTACAGTATAATAATAAATATACTTACTACTATCATATAGGGAATAGCAATTTAAAAATTAAAAAATAATGAAAAAAATTAACTGGATAGTCAAACTGAACATTTTAGGCACTTTTTAAAAAAGATATCATTAGAGAAACTAAGGCTAAGTATAAAAATAATAAATTGTATCTGTACAGACTTCTGCAATATATTACCTCAAAACATCACAGAACTCAGGCATATCAACATGACGTGTTTTAAAGTAATGTGATCATCCAATAGCCAAACTAATTGTATCTATCAATAAAACTACTAAGAGTGTTTTGTAACTTGTTTGTAATGATAAATGGTAATGATATAGTCATTACCAATGTTTTTTTAATAACCACAGCCCTCTTTCAGTATTTGTTTAAAAACATTTCAATTATATTAGCAGGGTGGGGGAATCGAAGGCTTTTGGATTTGCCTGCATGGTCAGACGTTCTTGGGACCAGCATTACATTATCAGATGTGACATACAGTGCCTACTGTGTGCCAGTGCCAAGAGCTGCGAGGCACACACACAAAAGGGAGGCAGAACACAGACTAAGAAAGTAACCTCCAAGTGAAGTCAAACTTCAATAATGAAAAACTTACCTTAAAATCTGGAGAACTTCAGCTATAAGAGTCATGTGAAAAAGCAACCTAACCTACGTATTACTGAAATGTGGCTGACTTCCACTTACGCTTTTAACAATATCTAAGTTGGTCTTAAACTACAGAGTGCTACTGAAATGCCCAACATGGGGACATCTATGTTTGTGTCCCTGAAGACCCAAATGTGAAGTATACTGTTTTTAAGCTCAAATAATCTAACTTCAGCCCTAATTAGGATCAAAGGTGAATCAACTAAATTCAACCCACTAACAAATAATTAAAATACGCCAGGCATAGTGGCTCACACCTGTAATCCTAGCACTTCAGGAGGCTGAGGCGGGTGGATTGCTTGAGTCTAGAAGTTCAAAACCAGACTGGGCAACATGGCAAAACCCTGTCTCTAAAAAAATGCAAAAATTTGCCATGTGTGGTGGCATGTGCCTGTAGTTCCAGCTACTCAGGAGGCTAAGGGATGAGAATCGCCTGAACCCAGGAGGCAGAGGTTGCAGTGAGCTGAGATCATGCCACTGCACTCCAGCCTGGAGAACAGAGTGAGATCCTATCTCAAAAAAAAAAAAAAATCACTAAAATAAAACGAGTCAGAAATATTCACATTAAAACCTAGTATATACTGAAATCTGGTATGGAAAAAAGTTATGTGCCATTATCTTAAAATCAAAATATAAAAGTAAATGAAAAAGATTATAAATCTAGAAAACACAAATGCACTGAAATGGCTAAGGCACTTCTATTCCCTAGTCTAACAAAACAACTTCTGGCTTTCACAATCTCTAATTTTTACCAAAACTAGTATATAAGAGAACTTGCTTCTATAAGAAATTAATTTTTCCCAGAAAAATAGTTCTAAAGACCAAGAATATCCGATATTAGGGCAGCCATAGCATTTATAATGACAGATCAAATGAACATAATTGGTTTGACAAAAATTATTCATTACCTCATATGTTGCAAGTCGATCTAAGTAGGTTAATAACTTCCGTCTACAACGGCAAAGTTCCTTTTGTTCCAGTGTCAACCTGTTTTGAATAACTATGTTAGGCCACTTATATTTACACAGAATTATTTCTCTAGGAGTTATAATGAAAATGATTAATATTCCGTTGAGCCCAAAACTCATGAAACAGTTCAGAAAAGCACAAGGGTAAGATAATAGTAAGTACATTTGATCTAAGTTGCTAAAATAATTTGGACTAATTATTACTAGTAAGGAACACACTGAAATGATTAGTTATTTTAAAGAAACTATCAAATGAACAGTAACAACTCATTTACTTGGAAAAGTTCACTAATTTCAGTAGTTCTTGTCTCTTCTTGAGCTCCTTTTCCTTTTTATTCTTGGCAGGCTCTTCATCAGGTGGTGAAAGCTCTTCATAGGAGATACTGTCAATGTCTATTTCACCAGGTAATGTAAATCTGCAAGTATAAAAGAACAAATATATTTTCATCATTTTTAAAAACTTCGTGTTGTGAAAAGCTTTCTCCTATTTTGACTGATTTCATTATTGATTTCCACAAAAACAGAAGAAAGTATTTGAAAAAAACTTTTGCCATTGTAAACAAAGTGATCATTCATTATATCCACAGATGGGCAAAAAGTCATCAGTAATTATTACAAATAGAAATCTAAAAATCAAGAAAATGAAAACTATTTAGGAAGAGATGTGGGGTTACATTCACTCAATGTAAAGCAGCCTATGCTGAAAATGTCCACAGAGTTTGCTATTTGAATCACTTCTACTTAAGGTCTTCAAATGGTAGTGTCAGTCTCATTTTAATTATTTACTTCTCAGATATACTCTCATATTTATATTTTTTAAAAAGTTCCAAATGCCTGATGAGCAATGACTTCAGGTAAGACAGTATTGATCAAAAGCAACTGCTTCAGTACAGAATAACTTAAATAAAGAAAAGTTTACCCAGTCCAATGTCTCAGTACAAAAGTTTTCACAAAGTCACCTTTACTTTGAATCCAATTCTTTCTGTAACCAACCTGCCATCATCTGCTCCTTTCCCTATTGCTAAAAGAGCCTCCAGGTCTGTGCCTTTTAATCCATACTGAAGCAGTTCTTTTGCAGCATCCACATTTTCAGGAACTCTTTCCAAACACTCATGGAGAACCCAGGATCGCTTCTTTATTTTACTCTGCATATAAAGGAAGAAACAGAGGAATTACAGAATCCATGACATCTTACAACACATTACAACTGCCTTCAGAATTGTAAAGCTATACCTGATGTATTACAGCTATTTAGGACCTTGGCCATAGGGAGCTGCTAGAGGAACTCAAGAGAAAAGCAGCCAGTTGCCTAATGGTGACTACAACTGGATGCGGGGAGTGTGAGTTGACCTGCTTGCTTTCTTCCTCTAATGAGCTACGCAGAAACAGAAAGCTCAGGACTCATTTTTGGAAATATAAAATGTTTCCTCCTAACTTTTATAAATGCCTTTGGTTTGCACCGTGGCTGTATAATAGAGCAGACAATAAGGCAGAAAGGCAAGATATATTCTGTCATAATTAATAAGCATGTTTAACTTTTAAACAAAACAAATGAGCCCATCAAATTTCTGTATTTATTTGACCATGAGATATATCCCAGGGTGTGAATAACTTGATCATAAAAAGTCATGATATGCTGTTTTTTGGAAAGATCAAAGTCCTATTCCTCCCTCCCAACTATTTCCTCCAACTCCATTCAAAATCTCTGACTTTATTAGTCTTGCTAGTGGTCTATCAATTTTGTTGATCTTTTCAAAAAACCAGCTCCTGGATTCATTGATTTTTTGAAGGTTTTTTTGTGCCTCTATCTCCTTCAGTTCTGCTCTGATCTTAGTTATTTCTTGCCTTCTGCTAGCTTTTGAATGTGTTTGCTCTTATTTCTCTAGTTCTGTAAATTGTGATGTTAGGGTGTCAATTTTAGATCTCTCCTGCTTTCTCTTGTGGGCACTTAGTGCTATAAATTTCCCTCTACACACTGCTTTAAATGTGTCCCAGAGATTCTGGTATGTTGTGTCTTTGTTATTGTGGAAGACAGTGTGGCGATTCCTCAAGGATCTAGAACTAGAAATACCATTTGACCCAGCAATCCCACTACTGGGCATATACCCAAAGGATTACAAATCTTCCTACTATAAAGACATATGCACACGTATGTTTATAGCGACACTACTCACAATAGCAAAGACTTGGAACCAACCCAAATGTCCATCAATGATAGACTGGATTAAGAAAATGTGGCATATATACACCATGGAATACTATGCAGCCATAAAAAAGGATGAGTTCACATCCTGTATAGGGACATAGATGAAGCTGGAAACCATCATTCTGAGCAAACTATCACAAGGACAGAAAACCAAACACCGCATGTTCTCACTCATAGGTGGGAATTGAACAATGAGAACACATGGACACAGGGTGGGGAACATCACACACCGGGGCCTGCTGGGGGGTGGGGGGAGGGGGGAGGGATAGCATTAGGAGATATGCCTAATGTAAATGACGAGTTAATGGGTGCAGCACACCACCATGGCACATGTATACATATGTAACAAACCTGCACGTTGTGCACATGTACCCTAGAACTTAAAGTAAAATAATAATTAAAAAATAAAAAATAAAAAAAAAATCCCTGACTTGCCCTCTTCCTAGAAAGAGCTATTATGGTTATAAATTTTAATTAAGATTTGACTCATTCCCTAGGATCCTTTATATATTGCCTCACATCAGTTCTTTCTTCAAATGTCTCTTAATTCACTTTCCCTTTTCCACAGCTGCGGCCTCCATACCAGTCTAAATCATCAACACAAAACATCTAGCACACTGTAGGAGTCCCCTGCCCCAAGCAAGGTTTCCTACCTTCCTTCCACTCCAATTCTCTCTACACCATCTTCCTCTGCTTCCACAGTCAGAAATCCACAACAGTAGATAAATGCCTAAGTCATCAGAAGCTTTCCACATCCTCCTGAACTCAAATCAATATATCTTTTCAATCATGTTTCCCAGTGTTCACTATTGTCAAATATCAGTGCCAGCAAACTGGTTGATGTACAGAGCTCATTTATCCATAAAATGTTTACTGGGCACCTACTGCACACCAGCCACTGAACTAGACATGGAAATATAGCAGTGAATAAAACAGATTTAGTCACTGGCCTCATAAATCATGCTCAGTGTCTTTTAATTTGTTCATACCATCTGTCCTGTTAAGAATGTCTTCCTCCCTTCTCATTCAAGAAGGCCTAATTTAAATCCTTCCAAATCCCTGCTCCAAACATCTTCACTATATAAAATCTTCCATCTCTACCAGATCTATAATAATCACTATCTTCACTGGGTTTCTAGAGTTGTATCTGAAATCTACTTATACGGCCAGTTATTTTTAATATGGTGAACCCCCGTCTCTACTAAAAATACAAAAATTAGCCAGGTGTGGTGTTGTGTGCCTGTAGTCCCAAGCTACTTGGGAGGCTGAGGCGGGAGAATCACTTGAACCAGGGAGGCAGAAGCTGCAGTGAGCCGAGATCGCACCATTGCAATCCAGCCTGGGCAAAAAAAAGCAAAACTCCATCTCAAAACAAAACAAAAAAAATCATAAGCTCCCTATGAGCAAAAGCCACATTTATGCCTGTCCTGTACCCCTTCACAGTCCCTAGCATAGTGCTCTTGCTCTTAACTGTCTATTTAACTAAACGAAATATTCCCCTCCCCAAAAAAGTACTTGCTTTGTCTCTCTTAACATCCCTCAACTCCCTCAGAGACAAAAACTGTCCTTTACTGTATCCCAGAAAAAGATATACATGAACTCATGAGCTCATTGTCTTAGATCACAAAACAAGAAAGAAAAATAATACAGAATTAGTGTTTTGATTTTCTAAAGAAAATACAAGCAACTTTATCTTCTTCCGTTTCATTACCTCTCATGCTCTTTCACCTCTGATATCTTGCTTGTATTAATGTTAGGTTTATCATCCTGTTTGGCTGATGCATCATCTTCTTCCATACAACTTTTTCATGTTATATTTTTACTTTTAATTACTAACGTATAAAACTTTTAGGGAAATAATCATCATGAAATTTTCCCAGTGTTTCCTATAATCTTCCACAATGCAAAGGTATTTTCCTTTCTATATGTTAAGATCAGAAGTCTCAACCTTTTTAAAAGTATGCCATGAGTCTAACTATAATTCTTTCTTACAAAGATGCCAAAGGTTAAAACATATAGGCTTGCTATGAAATCAATATGTCCCCCAAAATCCATATGTTGAAAAACTAATCCCCAGAGTGATGATGTTTGGAAATGAGACCTTTAGAAAGCAATTAGGTCATGAGAGTGGAGGCCCCATGATAGGATTGGTGTCCTCATAAGAGGAGGCAGTAGAGAGCCTTCTTTCTCTCTCTCTGCTGTCTGCCATATAAGGACACAGCAAGAAAGAAATCCATCTGCAAACCAGGAGAGTGCCCTCACCAGGAACGAAATTGGCTAACACCTTGATTTTGCACTTCCCAGCCTCTAGAACTAAGAGAAATAAATTTCTGCTGTTGAAACCACATAGTCTGATATTTTTGTTGCAGCGGCTAAAACTAATTGAGACAAGACTATATTAACCTTAACTATGGGAGGCAGGTAACAGGAAGTATCCAGTTTTGAGATTTAAGTTTTAAAAAGGCATATTTCGCAGTTTTCATATATGTTACCTATTTATTGCCTCTCAGCTCCAAATTTCCCCTCAAAGCCAGCTCTGTGGTAGCATATCTCATTTGTGGTTGACACGATTTTAAGCTCTGGGTGCTGGAGGGCCACTGCAAAGGAAGAGGCTCTGCTTTCTAGTCCTGATGTGCTTTGGTTCTTTTCTTCTTGCTCCTATGGCTTGGCCACCAACAAGGCACGTGGGCAACATCAAGTGGCACTTACTTCCCCGCTTCCTCCCTCTGTTGACAACCTCCCACTGAGTTTCAGTGACACTCTCATGGGCAGATTGTTTTCTAGTGAATCACCCAGGCACCTGAGAGGGAAGCTTCCCAGACTGGAAGCTACAGTAAGGCTGCCTATAGGAGTAGACAGTTTTTTCTTGCCAGTCTTGGCCATGATTCCTTAATTATCTACCAGCCTTGAGCCACATGCATGCTGGTAGGGGTTTCCTGCTTCCTAGTCCCTGGGGTCTTCTAAACCCCAACCTCAGCTCACTGGCCCCCCCCAGAAGCAGGCGTCCAGCTTTCCTATCCATCCCATATCTCCCTGACTGCCAACCTTGGCAACCGTGGACCAGCCCTGGCTCAAGGCAACCCAGAGAACTTCTCTTCCATCCTACATGCTGCAACCACTCCTGGTCCAATGGGTCTGAATCCCAGCCTAGGGGAGGGGCCTCCCTTCCAAGTTCATTCCCTTCATGGATATGTCCCTTCAGCCCTAGGGTAGTCCTTAGCGTTCTCTTCACATCCTTTATAGTTCATCTCTGGTTACTAGAAAATAATTCTCCATATTGTAAATTTCCCTGTTTAAATTACTGTGTGATTTCTGGCATCTGACTAGCTCTTGACTCATGCAGGTAAAGAGAAGTGATTGTGGTACAGGAAAGAAAACGTTAGGCCGAGACCAAGTAGTTAGCTGGTTTATCTGTGAATATTTGTTCACATGTATTCAGCATCAAAGTCCAGTTGCAGGGGCAATAAAATCTAACAAAAAGACCATTTTTCCAGCTGAGAAAATTGTACTTCATTGGCTGTATTATAGAAAAGTCAGCAATGTAAAGTACTCTAAAATGAAGCCCTATAAACAAAAGATATTACATGAATATACATTTTACCACATTACCAAAATATTTAAACATACCAAATAATTCTGAATTGAAGCAACGTTGACCGCTGACTTCCTCCACTGCCTCTGATATACAAGGTCAGTATCCAGGCCGTAGGTATGAGCCAAGGACAAGGCTTCCTCATACTCTTCACTTTCAATCTTCAGATAAAAACACGAGGACAGGAATGTTACATGACTGAATTATCCACAGGGTCCTGATGATGATACAATGAATGATGATAATCCCTTGGACTTATCCAGCATGTCACTAATTCCTGTGCACTGTGGCACCAGAAGCTCACAGATATTTTGAGGAGCAGAAAGATCTCGTGTTTCTTTCAGCACTTCAACAGAAAGATGAGAGATAAAAGGTGCAAAGCTCTCGTTTTAGAGTAAAACAGCGGCAAAACCAAGACAACCATGGAACAACCCGGCTTCTAGTCCAGAGCTCCTACCACGACATTGCAAGAACAGCACAAATCACGTGAACACACAGTGCTGGTCACCTCGGCTTCCCAAGCAAGCCCTGGACTAGAAAGCAAGTCTGAACTTCTTCCTTCACCCTCTGTAGATGGCTGATTTAAACACAGATAAAGGGAGAGCTGAAGGCCACATGAAGGGTAGCAAAGAAATGAGCTAAGCCACCAAGTGGATAATCAGTCTAAGTGAATTCAATTTTTATCCATGGTTTTGATTTTGATTATTTAGGTACAAAGATTAGCATTATTTTAAAAAGCTTTATAGAACTGATATTTTTAACATGTCAATGATCCAACATCCCTCTTGAAATTTTCTCCTTTATTAAAAAATTAACTTTTTCTCAATAAAAGAAAAGCTTGATGACTTCAAACTTGGGTAGTAATATGCTACTCTCTCACCTTCCTCTGATAAAGTTCCTCTGGTGTCGTGGAGCGCAAACTCACAAGGCGGTAGTTTTTAGTAATGGTTCGTGGGCGTTTCCGTGGTGGTGCAAATCGCTCCATTTCAGTCACCAAGTAAAGGCCCTGTTTTATATAACCAAAGTAGCGAGCCTTGGCAGATATTTCATAATCAGAATCAGAATCCTCTTCTCCTTCATCTTCTTCTCCAGCTCTAGTCTCCAAACGAGATCGTTTGGGGGCAAGTTTAATCTCACACTAAATTGAAAAAGGAGATTTGAAGTTAATAGTAAGGAAATAAGAATAACTTTTTAGAATTAATGAAAGAAAATATATTTCTAAATCTACTCTGGTTTGATTCATTAAATCAGCTATGTGATCAAGATTAACAATGGAACTCAAAGGAACCTTACAGCAAGCATTATATACATCAGAAATATGCACATACATTATCAGCTCAAATCTAAACTAAAGCCTGTTTTTTTCTTCTTCTTCTTCTTCTTCTTCTTCTTTGAGATGGAGCCTCCTCTGTCACCCAGGCTGGAATGCAGTGGCGTGATCTCAGCTTACTGCAACCTCGGCCTCCCAGGTTCAGACGATTCTCCTGCCTCAGCCTCCCGAGTAGCTGGGATTACAGGCACCCGCCACCACGCCCAGCCAATTTTTGTATTTTTACTAGAGATAGGGTTTCACCATGTTGGCCAGGCTGGTCACAAATTCCTGGCCTTAATTGATCCACCCGCCTTGGCCTCCCAAAGTGCTGGGATTAGAGGTGTGAGCCACTGAGCCCAGCCTAAAGCCTGTTTTAATAACAGGTCATTAATACGGTCTTGTACATATAATTATCAGGTCTTGTACCTGATAATTTGATGATTTGTTTTTGTCTCTTTAGAGAATGAACATAAAGGTACTTACATTTGTTTTACCAAGAATAGCTCTCCCTCACCCCCTTATAAAGATGTCTAACAGCTTTGCTAAGTTCTGAGTCTGAAAGTCTGGCTGTTAAAGATAACTTTCATTCCAGACTTAACAGAGCTGGCTTAGATTTTAAGCCATAGTTTTCTTTAAGGAACATCTTTAGATTCCATAACAAACTTCAGAGTAAAAAATATGTCAATCTGCATTGCTGAAGTGAAAGCTATTAAAGGTTGTTACCCTTGAAAGGCTTAAAATAAAATTTTTAAATGACCAAAAGATAACTTTACAGAACTAGCCTCTATTTTCAAGTCTTTTGTCATAATAAACAAGTTTCCTTACTAAAAGAATCAAAAACTTTGTAAGTTGCCATGCTTTTTGGAAATGGGTTAAAGAGTATTTTTCTTAGGTACTGATACCATTCTACATTTTTAAATGACTAATCGAGGGAGGAAAAAAATATATCATTTCAGTGAAAAAGAAATACTTTATACAGAGCAAAATGACAACAAATTTTCTTCATTATAATTGCAAATTTTTTTATTCACTAAAAAATGGATTTTTTATACTACAACCATTACCTGATTCCAATCACAGATTTTTATTTTTAAAGAAAAGATAATAAGACAACTCAAATAAAAACCAGATATTTAAATTTTTGGTTAAATACATAACTATTCTCAAACAAACAGGAAAAAGCCTTACCTCCAAACTTAAAAATCCCCCATCATGGGTAGCAGTGACTTGAGGTGATGGTTCAAACCATTCACAGGATTTTCCCAGTAAATTCTTCAAAGTTTTCACAGATGAAACAGTTAAAGCACCAGAGCATCGAGCTAAAGTCACTGCACTGTCTGCCCACCAATTGACATCTATCAGTGGGTAAAAGGACTCTTTATCTAAGAAGCGAAAAACAAATCAATACAAATGCATCTGCTAATGTGGTTTAAATTCAAAATATTTAGTATAATAATCAATTTTAAAACAAAATTTATCTACATTATTTGGGCCCTAATGGTATGTTAAATAATAAGAAAAAATAAAATGTAAGTCATTCTCAAAATTTTACTCTATGAGGTATAAAATGTTAATTCCCTTGACAAATTGAGCGCCAACAATTTGTCAGTCTAGGTCTAAAATTCTAAGGATACAAAGGCAAATAAACTGAGGTCTTTCATTTCAAGAATACACTCAGGAGAGAGATGTGTCACTACTTTCAACCTAAGTTGAAAGGCAGGTGTCTACCAGGTGTGCATACATGAAGGTCATATAATGTTTTGAAAAATGTACACATACCACTTTCAGACAAACACTGAGAGAAATACACCCTTTAGAAAAATATAAGACAGATATGTAATAGTTTCCAGTGCTGATTTCCTCTTAAACTTGTAACTAATCAGAGAGGGAAAAAAAAAATTTATGGCTAGCAAAGAATCTTTAGAAATGAAAATGAATTATGGGCCGGGCACAGTGGTTCACGCCTGTAATCCCAGCACTTTGGGAGGCTGAGGTGGGCAGACCACAAGGTCAGGAGTTCGAGACCAGCCTGGCCAATATGGTGAAACCCCATCTCTATTAAAAATACAAAAATTAGCCAGGCATGGTGGTGCGTGCCTGTAGTTCCAACTACTGGGGAGACTGGAGAATCACTTGAACCCGGGAGATGGAGGTCGCGGTGAGCCTAGATGGTGCCACTACACTCCAGCCTGGGCGACAGAGCGAGACTCTGTCCAAAAAACAAAAAGAAAAAAAGGAAATGAATTATGGTTCACCAAACTAAGGCATTCAAAAGGCAATGCCATATTTATTATAATTTTACTGTACATTTTTTGAATATCACCTGTTATACAAAACATATGATGTGGTTTAAAGGTAAAAGTAAACCATAAATTTAACAACATATTTAAACATTAGACTAAGAAGAGAGAGATTTTAAATATGGAGTTCAGAACCATGAGACTAACTCATTGTTTTAATGAAAATAAAAAGCATTAACAACACTTTTTCCCCATGTAAGCCTAAGGCAATCCATGTAAATAAGAAATTTCAAGAAAATGTGAAAAGCAGAGTTCCTGGGGCTTATCACTAAGTGTAAAGTAGAAAGAAAGAGGAGCAAATCACTAAAATCAAATTCTAATTTCTGCTTTGACAAAGTAGTACTTTTCCTCAAAAATACGTCTGGATGAATATTTTGGATGATTATTTAAAGCGAATAATTCAAAGCATGGAACCTGATGCATAATATTAATCAATATTTTTAATCTTCTTTAAATGTGAACTAAAAGCATTTTTTTTTTTGAGACGAACTCTCACTCTGTCGCCCAGGCTGGAGTGCAGTCCCGCGATCTCGGCTCACTGCAACCTCTGCCTCCCAGGCTAAAGTGATTCTCCTGCCTCAGCCTCCCGAGTATCTGGGATTACAGGTGTGCACCACCACGCCTGGCTAATTTTTTATTTCCAGTAGAGACAGGGTTTCACCATGTTGGCCAGGCTGGTCTTGAACTCCCGACCTCGGGTGATCCACCTGCCTTGGCCTCCCAAAATGCAGGCAAGAGCCACCGCGCCCGGCATAAAAGCATATTGTAATAACAGAGCCTGAACCTTATAACTATCACTGATTTTACTGAAGACACTTAAAAATTCATCACGGATTTAACTTAGAAAGTTTCACCTAAAGAAAAATAACACAGTCAAAAACTAAAAGTGAAAAAATCTCAAAAGTAACCCCTACAGGATTTTATAATATCTCTGTTTCAATCTAGCAATCAAATGACAATTATTACTTTTATTTAAATGTAAATCTTGATTTTTTTCTACTTATAAAAGCAATATATGCTCATTGTAAAAAAGAAATTTTTTCTTTAAAACGTGGAAATGTATGCAAAGACAAAGAAAGCCCCACCAGCCTAACCCTAATTACCCCCAACCCGCGAGATAACTTTACTCAGTGTTTCTTCTTTGATGAAGCTTGATCTCACCCAAGGGCATCTGAAAAGGAGCACGCTTCTAAGCATTGAACTCAGTGTACCATCTCAATGCTGGCTCCTGGCAGGAGAGCCAGCTTTTAGGAAAGCCTGACCATCAGAAAACTGGATCTGTTGCCTTGACCCAACTCTATGAAATCTTGATGTTTCTTCCAAAGTGCAGCAAAAGTATCTAGAGACTTTTTATATCATCCAAAGAGAATCTTGTATAATAATAGGAGTATATTAAGGTTTCAATTATCACATTTCGTAGAACTCACCTTTGATTTTTTTTCTCTTCTCAGTAGAGAGCCTCCAATCAGGATTAAGGTCATCATAGCCTGGCTAAATATGAAAATAATGACTTCCTGAGTGAACTATGTAAGAAAATTATAAGAAAATCATCAAGAACTGTGGACTTTTTCAAATAAAGAGATGACGCTTTCCCTTGATCTCTCAATTACAACTAATTGAAATCTATTTATTGCCATGATAGTCTGGAAAAGCAATTGTTCTTACACTTAAAATGTGCACATGTACATATTATGACTTGATTTATGAAGAATACAGCATGCATATGAACAACAGGATAGCAAGTATACAATCAATACATATGAAAGCAAAATACACTAAGAATTCATCCTATACACATGCACACATGTGATGAATAAACACTGGCCTGGATACAGATCTTATCCCAGCCACTTATAAACTGAGCAACCCCTCCAGGCTTTAATTTTCAAAGCTTTGAGACTTGACTAGGCAACCTCCATGTTACCTCCTAGTCCTTTTTATGACTAAGAATTTACCAGGTAAAAAAAATATAACCATGCAGTCCTTCCTAAAAATGAATCCATTCATACTGTAATCTTAGGGCAATATGGTGTCATGCTCTTCTTTGAGAATATAACAGCACATTGATATCTCTCAAATATCAATTTGAGAATAAGCCATTACCTGACGACCTCTTGGCTTAGTGTTCCCTTCTTAGTCTCTGGAATTACAATAGTATGGGCAAAGAGTAAAAAAATAGTTGGGGTGCTCATTTGAAATCTGAAATCTAAAAAAAGCGTTGCTATACTTAAGTCAAAAAACTGTGCTTTTTCATCTAATGCAACAAAATACACACATGTTTACTATCAATTTTTCAATGGCTCACACTTCAGAGCTATTTCTTTCCACAGCCTGGAAGAACTTCCTATTCTCCACTATTATGGTAAATCACTCAGAGCAGACCCTGAGAACAGAAGACACGGTCTTAAACTTAATCAGAAAAAAAATTACCATAAAAGCCTACTTATATACCAAGGGGAAGAAATGGAGTGTCCTGGTTTACTTAATCATAAGAAACGATGACTAAGTTTCGAAAAATCATTTAAAAAAATAAGATACATATTATTGAAAACAGTCAACTAAACTGAAACTTTATTTGGTCATTTTAAAGCACCTGACAATTTTTCAATGCCTCCAAATCATGAGTACTACATACTCCAACCACATGCATGCCACCATGTATTTACGTGGCACATGTACCTTCCTACTTACATTTTGGAGTACACAAGGGAAATACAGAGTAAAAAACCTTAAGCCCCTCAAAGAACAACAATTATGATTCAGCCTTGGATACATTTAAGGACATACAGATCAAAATGAAATTTGACAAGAAATCTTAAGGAAATTTTAAAAATAAATAACTCTCACTTGAGAATTCAAAGTGTGCATGTCTTTGTCAAAACTAATGATAAGAAGGAGCACCACGAATAAGCACTAGAACCGGGGTCTGCAGTCACCTTGGGACTAGACTCTTCCCTGCACACTGCTTAAATAATGGGCAGCTCCTGTCAATTTGACATTAAACACAAGGTGAAGATGTGTTCTTCTGTTTCCAGAACTCTGTCATACTCATCCCTGTATTCCCAGATCCATCACAGTGCCCACCTGTCATAGCAGCTAAATGTCGAATAAGTAAATCAATCAACCAAATTTTAAGTCACTGAATTCTAATTACAATTCAATTCTAACATCTAAGCTATAGGAAAATTATCTGATATAGTACTAGGCTTCCTACACACTCCCAAAAGTGTGATTTCTTCTATTTAGTGAAAACATATTGGGGCCAGGCATGGTGGCTCACGCCTGTAATCCCAGAACTTTGGAAGGCCAAGGCAGGAGAGCTGCTTGAGGCTAGCAGTTTGAGACTAGCTGGGTGATATAGCAAGACCTCATCTCCCCAAAAAATAAAAATAATTAGCCAGGCACAGTGGCACACTTCTGTAGCCTCAGCTACTCAAGAGGCTGAGGTAGGAGGATCAACTGAGCTCAGGAGTTCAAGGTTGCAGTAAGCTATGATCACACCACCACACTCCAGCCTGGGCAACAAAGCAACACTCTATCTCTAAAAAAATGAAAATAAATAAATGCTGAGACAAAAGGAAAAAAAAAAAACCGATATTGCAGTCCCAAAACTCAAGCACACAGAGAGCTAATAAATTAATATAAATTAATATAATCCAAGATCACATTTGTTACCTACACAAAGAGAGGTATAGATAAAAGGTATAGGGGCCTTCGAAGGATGGACAGAGGATTTTGGGCATGGGTTTAAGAAAGATGAAGGAAATTCAAGGGGTACAAAGAAGTTTTATGGTGGTATTCTTTTAAGACTGGATAAGACTTGGATGTGGAAAATGAATAAAGGAAAACATTCCAGTCTGAAAGCATAATGTGAACAAAAATACAGAGTCAGGAAAATACAAAGTTTATTCAGGGAAAAAAAGGAGAACAGTTTAATAAGTCCAGGTCAGCAGGTTTTAATTATCTTGATTTTTGTTTGTTTGGGGTTTTTAGGGGGGATGTTAATGATATCCTTTTTTATTGAGGTGATCTTAGCATAATGTAAAATTAACCATTTTTAAATGAACAATTCAGGGGCACTTAGTGCATTTACCATGTTGTGTGACCATCACATCTATCCACTTCCAAAACACTTCTATCACTCCAAAGCAAAACCACTAGCCCATTATGCAGTTACTCCCTTTTCCTCTTCCCCTGGACCCCAGGAACCACCAATCTGCTTCCTATCTCTATGGATTTACCTATTCTGGATATTTCATATAAATGCAACCATAAAATATGTGACCTTTTGTGTCTAGCATCTTTCACTTAGTATAATATTCTCAAAGTCCTTCCACCATTGTAGCGCATATCAGCACTTCGTTCCTTTTTGTGGATGAGTCATATTCTATTGTATGGATATACCACAGTTTGTTTCTCCATATATCCGTTAATGGACATCTGCATTGTTTCCACCTTTTAGCTGTTGTAAACACTGCTGCTATGAATATGTAGGTGCATGTATTTGAGTACCTGAAGTGTGAGCCATTGAAAATTTGATAATAAGCATGTATGTGCACTGAAGCTAGCCTCAACTTACCATCCTTCCACCCCAGGGCCTCTATGCGTGAAGAGACTCAGGATCAGACCATGCATCACCACATCTGATACACACTGTAAACTGGTGCTCCGTGGACAGGATCACCAAACTCCCCATGACCCACAAGAAAGCTCCTGGCACCATGTGAATACATTTCAAGAAGCAACCTCCATGCCACTTCTCTGTATTTGCTGGAGCTCAGAACACAATACCCCAAAGTATAACAGCATTGCATGGCACCATGTGAATACATTTCAAGAAGCAACCTCCATGCCACTTCTCTGTATTTGCTGGAGCTCAGAACACAATACCCCAAAGTATAACAGCATTGCATGTTGAGTACTTTCAACTGAAGCAACCGAAAGGGCCTCAGAAATACTGTCCCACTGACCTTCTCCTGCCTTCCTGTCTCAAGCCCCTCCTTGTCTCCCAAAGCAAGTCACAGAAACCAGAATTCTTCTTCTCCAAGGTTCATCACAGAAACTAGAACTCCTCCCCCAAAGGAAGCTATAAAACCTAAAAACATCGCTCTCTCCCTTCTCCCTTGAAGACCCTTATTCCAGAGGGCTCCTGCCTCACAGTAGGAGAGGAATGTTATACAGAGAAGCCAAAAAGAATCTGGACAGACAGGCCTTGCTGGGTTTCCCCTTCAGTCTATCACCATTAGGCCATACCTTTTTGTCCCATCATATTTTTACAAGGCTGTCCATTCTTCATCAAAACTAAGCATAAAAACAGTCTTCCCTGGGTCTTTATTTCTTTAATTTAATTTAGACAAGGTTTCTCTCTGTCACCCAGGTTGCAGTGCAGTGGCGTGGTCACGGCTCACTACAACCTCGACCTCCTGGGCTCAAGTGATCTTCCCGACTCAGCCTCCCGAGTAGCTGGGAATATGGGCACACGCCACTTTTTTATTTTTTGTAGAGATGAAGTCTCACCATGTTGCCCAGCCTGGTCCCGAACTCCTGGGCTCAAGCAATTCCACCCACCTAGGGCTCCCAAAGTGCTGGGATTACTGGAATGAGCCACCGCACCCAACCAGAGCCTTCATTTCTGAAGGTGCCTGTGTCATGTAAAATGTTGATTAAGTAAATTTGTCATGCTTCTCTCGTTAACCTGTCTTTTGTTATAGGAGTGATGGCTGTGTCCTCTTATGATGGGTTAGAAGAGGTATCACACCTTTCCACCCCAACAGTTTCTGGCACCCAAAGTGGGGCAGCTGAGACACCTGACTTGCTCTGGAACCTGCAGACAAAATCCTGGAACAACTGACAAAAGGCAAGCAAAGAAAGGTAAGAAGTTCTTTGATTTTTTTTTTTTTTTTAAACAAAGTCAGCTTTCCTGGATCTCTAACTATAGTGCCTGGTCAAGAAGAGAAGGTAAAAATTTATCTTTACATCTTCCATTCCAAATTCAAGTTAGCAAGGAAAATCATTTGTTTTTAAATAAATTTGTTATGCTTTTCTCTTGTTAACCTGTCTTTTGTTATAGGACTGTCAGCTGTGATCCTTATGATGAGTTCAGTAAGGTATCATGTCTCCCCACCCGACATATTCATGCTACCACATTACTGAAAACAGCCTAATATGCCATCATTTTATACTGCAGCCATAACCCAAAGGAGGATGTTCTAAGAATAGTTATAGGTTTTGTACAGAAAACCTATTACGGCTAAAGTAATGTTTTCTTTAGACTTGAGAATTTTATTTGCTAATTGTTTTTACCACTAAAATCTAAATATAATGAAATCCCTGCCTCCAACAACATAAAAGCAACATTTCAAAGGCTTATTCATTCCACAAATATTTATTATTATTTATTATGTTAAGCCTAAGAGAGTCTGTGATGAAATACATATTCAGTGCCTATTCTCAAAGAACTCACAGTCTGGTGAAATTGTGAAAACAGCTGTGGATTATATCAAGATTCATCGCATCAACTGCCATCTTCCCACTTACTCTTCATTCATCTACTTAAGATTAGTCCAACACCTACTATGTGTGAAAAAGAAAATAAAATGACAATGAAGACATAAGTTTGTATTCCATTTCTAGGCCTGAAGAAGTACAAATAGACAAATAATAAAACTTGAGAGAAAAATTAAGGCCGAAAATGAGATGTAAAGATATAAACATAACATATGGGAAATGTTTGAAATGAAAATCACTTAAGCAATTTTACTATATTCCAGACATGAACAAAATTTAATACTCACAGATTTCTAGCCAGATGGATTTTCATATTGACAATGAAAGCCAAAGTATTTAATCAACTCAAAACTGGATATTAGTAAATCAGAATAGGCACTTCCACAACTATCTTTAATCATTAGGTTTTACAGAGAAAATACTCAATCACACAAAGCATATTATAAAAACTAATAAAGCGGCAAATTGCATGAAGAAAGCCCCAAATGAGTTGAATTCACAATTTTGGTAAAGAGGTTTAAGGCTGTGCAGGGTAGCAGCAACATTAATTTCTTCTCAGACAACATTTAAACTAAAATTATAAGCTGACTAGTTTAAATATCACCATATCATCGATTTGAAACTAATCGGTTTGTCTACTTACTAGAGCAGCCATAAAGAGAGGTGAAACTCTGCCCTACCTGGCTGATCCAAGCTCACTTGATTATTACTAGAGACATGAAAGAAGAGTAGCTGTCTCAGTATTTTTCAAAGCTTGGGATTTCTCTTTAAAGGATTCCAGTGATGAGTACACACAGCCACTTTACATATTTGGTAAACAACTGTATTACACCTCTCAGTTATTACTACTTGCACATTTCTAGGGTCTCTACATAATGAACTGCGTGACTCCAGGGGATGTTATTCATATAAACTTCAAGCTGATATATCTCCCTTGCTTACCATTAATATCATATGCTAGTCTCTGATTTACCCAGATAAAAGTCAATACTTCTAAATGTAAGTACTGTAAGTAGATATTCTGAAAAAAGGCTTAACCTATGAAGTCAGGAGACTTCAATCAAAATGGAATCTTGACTCTAACATTTAGTGATCTCAAGTTAACCTCTTTTAGCACCATTCCCACCCATTTATGCCTAGTGTTCCATTATTGGAATGCTAAGCTTGTGGGAGTTATTTAAATCCTACTGCTCAAGGTCATGGCCAAGGTCTGATTTTTCACAAAAAAAATTTGCCACCTCCAGCATACATGGGTTAATAGGGTTGTTGTGAGACAAATGAAAACTATGCTCTGTAAATAGTCAAGCCTTACTACACAAATACTATTTATTTCCAATAATCCTTCTCCCCAACACTATCAGCTGACCTACATGCCTTTCCTGAGCTTATCTTCTCAAAATATTAACATGTCATTTTAATCATTTGTTCATAATTTCCCTTGGAAGCCTGTGAATATCTTAAGAGCAGGGACTATGACACTGTATTCCCTACTGGAGCTCTTAGTAGAGTCAATAAATACTTGAACTTTATTATTTCACCATTATGTTATTACGTAAATAGGAACAACCTACTCTACTGTACAGTCCTGTTACACATAGGCTTTATTATACTTACTATAATACACTAGATTTTAGTAATTCATAAGCTAAAATTCAAATCTAAAACATCCAAGTGATTGATTCCCAGGATACAGGTGAAAGACTCAAAGAAACTATGGTTGTTCAAACTCTTCTTGCTTGACAAAGTTACCACCTTCCCCCAACCCCACTACATCATGAGTACTCTAGATATCTATTAGAAAGCTAAGGGTTTACCAATGAGAGGCTTCCCCAATTATTTATTCTGGTATCTGGTACACACTAACTAGCTCAAGAGTTAAGCATATCTGAGAGAGCTGAAGGAATCTGTATCACATCCACCGAGAAAAAGGATTTGTCTCTGTGTTTTTAAAGATCATCAAATAAAAAGAATCAATGTAAAAAATTAATAATTATAAAGAGTGATTATAGTCCTCCTAACCTTTTACATACAAATCTGATCTTTCAAATAATAGGATGCCACTAAATAACTAATAACACAAGTATTGTGGGAAAAAATGTGTGTAGTACACTCTGGCATTCGCTAGCCTAATAAATAAGTATTCTTCCACTTATCTTTTTGTTGTTTTATGTATTTCTTTCCCACACAGTCATGGAAAGAACATATGCATCAGTGTCAGAGAGGTATAAAATCAAATCTCAGCTCTATTGCTTACTTGTTGCACAACCATAGGACAAAGTGCTCAATAAATAATAAATGTAGTTAGGGTAAATTTTGTAAAAGCTACAAGACGATCTTATTCCTGTACCTTCTTCCTATTAAGCTATACAAGTATGCAATTAGCATACAGAAAGAAACCAGAGTGTCTGTGAAGAGGTTGAAGCCTCACAGGCGTGTTTACAATGGAATGAAGTTTTGGAAAGTACGGCAGAAATGGTTACATGAAAGTAGAGAGCAGGACAAGAGGATCTAGGAAGTAGAGCAAAGCAGCATGATGATCAGACTGCAGGAGATGACAGGTTCACAGAGGAGTTTTCATTTTCACCACAGCCTTAGGGTTTTAAAGGAAAAAAAAAAGAAATAAAATTAAATGCCTTCCATGTTCCCTACTTGGGACCAAAACTTCCTTTGAGGCTAAAACTGGCTAGGGTCTCAGAGGGCAGAGTCTGCCCTATCCAGCTAGTCCAGCTGAACAGCAGCAGGAAAGGGAGGGGTGGCCGACCCCGGCCTGTGCTGTGATGAACTCTGAACCGGGGAAGGGACAGAGCCACAATGGGAATGGTAGTCTGCAGTATCAGGGTCAGTAACTATAGCTAAGCCACTGCTCTCTCAGCAAAGGACACCACGACTCATACAACATCCTTGGTAATGGCAACTACGTCCATGGTTTTCAGTTTTGTGAGCCCCAAAATCTATTTTTCCAGTTTACTCAGGCATTCAAGGGAAATAATTCATACCACCCACATCAGAAGAAAATGACATATAATCCTAAAAATGTGTACATTTATAATAAGAGAAACAACTAGCTTGAGAATCAAGTTGCATAGCTCCCCTGATTGACAGATCAATTTAAAAGTCAAAAGCTCTATCTGAGGACTGTTTCAGGAACATGGAATCAAAGCCACATCCACAAAATGGATGCTCAACAGCCAAGCTACACAATTCCTCATGAATTATTCTTCCAGACTCTCAGGGTATTTGTTCAAAACACTTTTGCTAAGGCATGACAACTTCTAGCCTGAATGCCTCTCTTCCTACTACATACACATTTTTTCAATTTCTGAGGTCCCCCCCTTTCCCTTTCCTGTCCCATTACTTTTCTGACTGCATATTTCAAACTACTGAAATATTTACATTTATTCATTCTCTGGTTTTAAGGTTTTTAAACAACTTTTACTTTTTTTAATAGAACCACTCTAAAAATCTAATCAATGAATTATATTAATGAGTAAAGAGTAATGCATTATTATAGCATTGACTGGCAACTAATGACCAAAAAAAAAATGCTAACCAGTCAAAGGTTGAGCATATTCCAATAAGGGCCACAAAAAAAGATTCAATTTATCTTTGCAGGACAAAAAAAAAAAAGTCTCTGGATTTTCAGTAAACAAAAGCGCATACTAATCAATTTTGCTCAGAATAGCCTTTACACTGGATGTATAACGTACTAGGATACACAGAATATGAAATATTAAGAGTGCTTCAGAAATTGATAAATATTTCTACTAGGTGAATAAAAGTAATTTTAAAAAACAGAAAGCCAAGGGGGGAAAATGCCTTTATTATTCAAAGTTTTCACCATTTAGAAAAATGTTGCCCAAATCTAAAATTTCCCAAATACAGAGAGAACATCAGGCTCCTCTCAAACGAAAACAGCTGAATACTTTATCATCATGCATTGATAACCATGAAAAACACGAAGTATCTTTTGGATCAATGAAATGAATAATGCTTTATTTTGAACATAGATATGAAACATGGACTTCATGTATTGTGCATCAAGAAGTAGAGTCATCCCTCGGTATATGCAGGGTTCCAGGTATACCAAAATCTACATGCACTCAAGCCCCCTAGAAGACCCTGCTGGACCCACCTATACAAAAAGTCACCTACCCTATCCACAGATGTGACATTCTGCAAAGACTGTATTTTCCATCAGTGTTTGGTTGAAGAAAATCTATGTACAGAGTGGACCCATGCAGTTCAAACCCATGTTGCTGTAGGGTCAACTGTGTCAGTGATATGAAATATATGCCCTATAAATCAGCCTACACTCCCATCCTCAGTCAGCTCTTGAACAGCCAAGTGGAAGTTCTGCTGCCTGACATCCCCAGCTAAATACATTACACAGTTTTGAGAGTTCATCACTTCACCTCTAGAAAGAAGAAATGAGTGAAGTTAGCTATAATTTCAGAGCAGAGAGAAAGACTGTCCCTTTTATTTAGCCACCAAGGTTGTAAGCTGAGGAGCACCTCTGCCACTGAGGACAAATCTAGATCCAATAAGGGAGAAAGAGTGGTAAACATGTGGAGATCATATTAACTTCAAGTTGAATGGAAACCAGGGAGAAAATATCTTCCTAAAGCTGTGTATAAGACAAAAAAATAAGAATATCTAAAACAAATAAATTTAAACCAGTGAATCGAGGAAGAAAATACAGAGTCACTTTCTCTTTTCCTCTGTCATTCTGAGAAAAATTCCTTATCAATAATCCTCTCAATTATGACATTGATCCATTCAGGTCATTCAGGAAATAGGCTCTAATATGAAAATCTCAAACCACCCACCCAAAGCTGGATATGCCTAGAGAAAAACAGAGTGAGGGGGTGAGAGAAGGAAAATTAATCCCTAAAATGGTAAAATGTAAGTGAATCAGAGTAAAAGATTTATAATACAAGCTATTTCCAGTTGAGGAATTTCTTTAAACCTTTACTCTATCACAATACATGGCTTTATATGAGCAGACCTTTCCTTCCCCTTGTGAATTTAAATTATAATATATGTCACTAACTAGTGCTACTCTGTCACTACATAACAAAATCATCTAATCCTTAAAACCTATCATTCCAGGACACTAACAAAGAGTTCCATCCTTCTCTATATCTTAGCTATCCACATTTCAGTGAAGAGAAGGTAACTCCCTTCAAGGAGGCCCCAAATAACTAGTGTTGCAAGATTTGAAAAGAATTGTAACCCTTTTAGGATTTGACCCTCCAAATCCTTGATAATATTAACTTTTGCTGAAATGTTAACATCTCCATTCTGTACTTTTGAATGACAAAGAGGGAAAAAATGAAGAGTTTAACAAACTCTTTTACAGATTACACTCTGTATACAGAGTGTACCACACTACAATTCAAAATTAGTCCACAGTATTAATCTATTTTTAATTTATCCCACTGTACTGATATCATAATTTAAAGGATAGAAGAGCTTTGGAACGATGAGAATAAACAGCTGTGTACTATAGTAAAATATCAATAAAATAAAATTAGTATTGTCAATACTCACCCTTAAGAGAGTATCATTCTAATAACCAAGAGACGCACCTGCTCATTTTGACCCCATTCCCCTTGTTGCTTCAGAGATGGAATCGCCCAGATGCTCAGTTTCCCTGAGAAGTGAATGGCTGCCAGGAGCATCCCATCTGGAGAAAGGCTCATCTTAAAAATTCCATCCTAAATAAGAATCATAAGGTCAGGGCAAAGGACTTATGGTCAAATGTAAATAACTCAGAAGTAAATGACACTCTTTAGAGGTGCCAAGTTATAAATGATCTTTAGTAATTAAGAGTTCTGCCAGCTTCCTATCATTATAAATGTACTTCAGCATAGAGAAAAAGTCCTCCTGACCTTAAGGAGTTTGTTACCTACTTCAGAGTTATAATTTACATATAACCCAAAACCAAAAATTTGGTTATATTTACATATAACCGAAAAATATGTATGCATTATAAATATATTTCTTCACATATCAATTACCATGAATTCTCAATACCTTTTAAGGTTGGTCTTGACTAGATTGTCAATTCCTTAAAATTTGGGCCCAGATCTTTACAAGATTTTATATCTACACAGTGTCTGAAGTATGCTATATATCATAAATAGGCCAAAAATTCATGCCACGGAAAAGAAGGAAAGGAGTAGAAAAGAGCTAGAGAAAGAGTGCAAGAATGATGGAAACAGAAGAAGATAAAGAGGAAGAAAATGGTCCTTAATTTAAGAAATGCTATGAATGTTTACAATTTTCTAGATTTGCTGCCAAATTATCCAGTTTAAGGAATGTGTTACTACAGAACAAAGAAATTTTGTAATGACTGATTTCATATAGTCAACCGAAAGGTACACAGAGGAAGAGTTATCCTTCCAGTCCTTCTTGTCCAAATAACCTCTCTGTCTTTTCCTTTCTCAGATGACACAAACCATATGAGCAGAAATCATATGAGCAGAGACATCACCTGCCACCACCTACGATACACTCAGAAGACCTGAACAAACATTAACTGGACAGCTATTTCCCATTCAGGCATTTGTTAAGAACAGGGTCCAAGGTAGCCTGCCCACAAAGAATAAAACAGAGACCAGAAAACAGCAGCCCACAACCATATCTCTTCTGAACATTTAGAAAATCTGGCAAAACACAGCCCACATCCCCAGATGACAACAGAACTTGGTAGCAGATGACCTCTTAGAAGAGTCATAAACTTTCCAGTTAGTCAATGCCCACACCTTTCTCTATTATTGCTCCAGTATTGGGGTCAAATACTAGCTATAGAACTGAAAATGAAACATGACTATACTGAAAATCAAAATTATTACACTTGATCCAATTCACTAAATTATATTATCAGCCTGGCCTCTGTAGACATTTAAGTCCTCAAGTCTCAAATGACTAAGGTGCCTTAGCCATCAAAACCAGAACAATTTCAGGAGGTCAGGAACACTGTTGAATGAGTACATAGATGAAAAGATTAGCATCCTCTAATCACTTTACTAAAGACTAAAATTACTTTAACTAGATATAACAGGTTAATCCCAGAATCCCACAATTAAATGTAAGATTGAAATACAAATGCTTGAAAAAAGAGAAATAATAAAAGCAAAAGTACTTCAAAGCAAAATTTTAAATCTATCACATCCCTTCCTCTAAGATGGGATCAGGGAAAGAAGTACAAGACAAAGGGCCTGATGTCCTCCCTCCTCAAATTTAAAGTCAATAAGCTCCATGGTTTTGTATAAGGCAGGCCTCAGAAGCACAGATTTTTACCAGCCAAAAGAACTCTGCCCATCTTTCAGATTTCACAAAGGAAGAGATTAAAGTCCTGAAGGGCAAAGACACTTGCCCATGATCACTCAAGTGTGCAGAGCAAAATCTGAACTAGAATGTGGATGTTTTCAATCCCAACCAGGGCACGTCCATGAGCCAGGACTATAGTCCTCACCTGGACCCTGGCCTAGTTTCTAGTAGTCACGAGCATGCCCCTCAGCAGAAATTATGGTCAAGTATAATTTATTGTTTTGACCACCTGAATAATTAGTCATGTGTGATCTGTACGGTAATTCCCAGGTATTATAAATGTTCCATTATACAACTCCATTGAAATGCTCTGAAAGCAAGAAAAAAGTTTATGAATCTCTTTAACAACAAAAGTATACTGAATAACTTCACAATAGCAATATGACCGAAAGCACTGAATAAATATATAGTATTTTTTAATTTTTAAAAAACTTCTTCCCTCTTGATAGGGTTCAGGACATGCTACCCCAAAATACAGAATAAGTCATGTTAGCATCTGAGAAAACATCAGAGGCAGGAAAGTCATTCCCACCTTCCTCCCACCCTTCCTCCATGAAGCAGGTCATAAAATCTAGGAAGAATTTTCTAACCTTTTGCTAAAAGCAAGTCATGATCCTCATTCTGGAGGTGCCCTCCCCAAACCTGGAAGAAAAGAACATCCTCATCTCTGAAGACAGAGTCACAGGGAGAATGTGAACAAACAGGCCTTGCTAAGTTCCTCCCAATTTACTGCTATTAAATCATACTTATCCAACCATACTTCCACAACTATCCATTTCTCTTCTTCAAAGCTAGCATTAAAAATACACAGGTTGGCCAGGCGCAGTGGCTCACGCCTGTAATCCCAGCACTTTGGGAGGCCGAGGCGGGCACATCACGAGGTCAGGAGATCGAGACCATCCTGGCTAACACAGTGAAACCCCGTCTCTACTAAAAACACAAAAAATTAGCCAGGCGTGGTGGTGGGCGCCTGTAGTCCCAACTACTTGGGAGGCTGAGGCAGGTGAATGGCGTGAACCAAGGAGGCAGAGCTTACAGTGAGCTGAGATCGTGCCACTGCACTCCAGCCTGGGCGACAGAGTGAGACTCCATCTCAAAAAAGAAAAAAAAAAAAGAAAAAGAAAAATACACAGGTTTACCCATTTCTTCGAATCTTCATTTCCTTATGAAAGCTCCCATGTCACATAAAATTTACATTAAATCTATCAGTATATCTTGCTAATCTGTGTTTTGTGATAGGAGCCTCATCTATGAATCTAAGAAAGGAAAGAGAAAAGGTACTGTTTCTCCTCTACACTCACTTCTTTCTTTCCAGAAAGTTAAACAATAAATTGTATTAACTAGAATGTTCCCACTTGCTTTCATATGGTGGATACTTGATCCCCTTAGTTTCATTAGATGCCATGGTATCCACACTGTAAATGTAGTATTTCTTTCTTGAACTATCTTATTGTAGAAATTTTCACTTACACACAAAAGTAGAAATTACAGTATAATAAATATCCACATACCCAACCTGCTTCAACAAATATTAACATTTTTTCAGGCATGTTTCATTTACCCTTCCCCAGTCACCACCATGCCAGAGGATTTTAAAGCAAATCCCAGTCATTATTTTGCTTATAAATACACATCAAGTATGCATTTCTTTGAAGTCCCAAGTTATCTATTGAACGTTCATGCATAGTAAGATGATAGAGTTATTAGTAGTAATTGGATTGTAGCCACTCAAGATTCTCAAGACACTTAGGTTATGTTGGAAATACAGTGTTTTCCTTCTGAAATAAAACTCTGCTCTTTATTTGTAGAAACCTTTATGTATTTATTTATTTCTGAGACAGGATCTGGCTCTGTCACCCAGGCTGGAGTGCACTGGCACGATCTCGGTTCACTGCAACCTCTGCCTCCCAGGCTCAAGTGATCCTCCCACTTCAGCCTCCTGAGTAGCCAGGACTACAGGCATGCACCACCATGCCTGGCTAACTTTTGTATTTTTTGTAGAGGGTCACGGGGGTTCATCATGTTGCCCATGCTGGTCTCAAACTCCTGACCTCAAGTGATCTGCCTGCCTCGGCCTCCCAAAGTGTTGAGATTACAGGTATAAGCCACTGCACCTGGTCCGTAGAAACATTTCTGAATTCCTATATAACATGCAAGGGGGTTCTGGCCCAGGGAATAATTCATTATCCCAACAGTAACTGTGGACCAAAATCTCAAGTCACAGTTAGAAAATCCACGCTAAATTCTATGAACAGAGTCTGTGGTATTTGGGAGTCTGAGTGTCTGTTGGTGAGTAATATGGTTTGGCTCTATATCCCCACCCAAATCTCATTTTGAATTATTGTAATCCCCATGTGTCAGGGGAGGGACCTAGTGGGAGGTGACTGGATCATGGGGACAGATTTTCCCCATGCTGTTCTCATGCTAGTGAGTTCTCATGAGATCTGATGGTTTAAAAGTGTGCGGCAGTTCTGCCCTCGTTCTATCTCCTTCCTATTGCCATTAAGACCTGCTTTGTTTCCCCTTCATCTTCCGCCATGATTGTAAATTTCCTGAGGCCTCCCCAGCCATGTGGAACTGTGAGTCAATTAAACTTCCTTTCTTTATAAATTACTCAGTCTTAGGTAGTTCTTTATAGCAGTGTGAAAATTGACTAATACAGTGGGCAAGGGAGAGAATACCAGAGTTTGTGCCTTGGAAATGGGAGGATAAAAGCAACTACATATCACAATAAAAGTATACCTCGGCCAGGTGCAGTGGCTCATGCCTGTAATCCCAGTACTATGGGAGGCCAAGGCAGGTGGATTACCTGAGGTCAGGAGTTCAAGACCAGCCTGGTCAACATGGTAAAACCCCATCTCTACAAAAATACAAAAATTAGCCAGGCATGATGGCAAGTGCCTATAATCCCAGCTACTTAGAAGGCTGAGGTGGGAGAATGGCTTGAACCTGGGAGGCAGAGGTTGGCATGAACCGAGATCACGCCATTGCACTGCAGCCTGGGCAACACAGCAAGACTCTGGCTCAAAAAGAAAAAAAAAAAAAAGGTAAACCTCAAACATTTAAACCATGATTCTTCATACTGTATTAAGATTTCTCAGCACAAGTAAATAATAATCTTGTTCTCTTCTTTATTTGAATTAAGCAGTTGTAAAAGCAATAAAATTTATATGTAGCTGCAATTTTCTCTTTTTTTTTTTTTTTTTTGGAGACAGAGTCACTGTCTCCCATGCCGGAGTACAGTGGTGCAATCTCAGCTCACTGCAACCTCTGCCTCGAGGGTTCAAGGATTCTCCTGCCTCAGCCTCCCACGTAGCTGGGATTACAGGCACCTGCCACCACGCCGGGCTAATTTTTGTATTTTTAGTAGAGATAGGGTTTCACCATGTTGGCCAAGCTGGTTCAACTCCTGACCTCAGGTGAACTGCCTACTTAGGCCTCCCAAAATGCTGGGATTACAGGCATGAGCCACCCCACCCAGCCACAATTTTCACTTTGGTTAAAGTAAGTCTTAAATTTCTTTCACATTCCTCGTTTTTATTTTAATCATGAATGTCATTTTTATTTTAATCATCATTTCAACAGCTGAAATTTTGGTCAAGAACATTAAACTTGGCTCTGCCACTAGTAGTTATGTGACCACAGGCACATTAGTTAACTATCATAAGTAACAGAGGCTTTCTCTCTTTTTGAAATAAAAATAACAACATCTACACATTATAAGGTTGCCCCAAGGATAAAATTAGAATGTACGTAAAGTCATTTAATGCATTTATCATATAACTCAACTTTCTAAATATAGAAGTTAGTATGAAGATTGGATTCTACCTGAATCCATAATAACACATCTTAATCGTAAATTCCAACAACATGTCTCATTCATTTGGCACTCTTCACTTGCACCTTAGTAAGATCTTTTATATTGGAGGAATATATTGATATTTAATTCTTCTAACTAGTACTTTACCTAGTCTCACTAACCACTTTATATGCTCCCTGAGTATAGAAACTCCATCCACATTATATAAATGCTAGAATACAAGAGCTGAAATAAGACAATAAAGAGTGATGTTCCCAAAAAAGGAGGGTATCAGAATCACATGGACACCTGCTCCACTCCCAGCACTTAGGATAAATAGAAATCTAGGCTGGAAAAACATAGGCATATGTTCTTTGAAAAAACTCCCAGATATCTCTGATGTGCACCTCCACTTGAAATCTTCCACTTTAATTCTGCATTTTTACCCCCCTTTTTTCATTTTGCTGAGGAGGCAGCCAAAGCCCAGACACTCATGTGGCATGCTCCAGATGACCTGACAAGACTCTGTGGCAGCAATACAATAACTCTCCTAACACGCAGGGAACATCTCTTGGCATTCACAATAGGCAATTTCTTCAATGCATTGCACAGAAAATGGTGAGTAGTCTCTTGCCAAAATGCTGACCAGGCACTTGATAAATACTGTTCACATAAATGGAAACTGGGGGAAGTTATGCACACTCCAATAGCAGGAGCGTGACAAGAGATCCTGGAGCAATCGGCACTCTATAAGCTCTCAAAACTAACCGGCCTGCACCCACTTGTACAGGGGAAGTCCCATACTAATGTCATCAAAAACAGATACGATCCTCTTGATAAAAGAAGGCACTACCACCTATACAGTTTTCTGCCTTTAAAAGCAAACAAAAAATCTGCATGATCTTTAAATCCAACTACTAATTTATAAGAATACATGGACACAAAAGGACAAAAGAATAAAGGAAACACCACTATAAAGATGCAATGAGTAAAATGAAAAAACAGTTTCTTCAACAAATAATTTTTAAGAGAAAAAAAAGATGATATGGAGGACAGACCAGCAGATAGAGAAAAAGAGACTTAAAACACATAGTTTTTTTTAAAAAGCCATATTGTTAGAGATGAAAAATTGCATGATAAAAGTATAAATAAACAGATAAACCTAAGCCAGAATAATGGCTGCTTGTGGAGGGAGGGCGGGAACTGTGTTTGTGACAGGGTCCATAGAAGGTAGCTGGCAGAGTCCTGTTTCTGCCCTAGATAATGGTTATAAGGTTATGTACCTTTTCAACTTCAAACAAGAACCACTTCACACCTACTAGGATTACTAGAATAAAAGATAATAACAAGTGTTGGCATGGATGTGGAGACAATGGAAACACCATACTCTGACATTAGGAACAGAAAATGGTGCCGCCACCTTGGAAAACTATCTGACAACTCCTCAAATGGCTAAACACAGTTATCATAAGACTCAGCAATTCCACTCCAAGAAAAATTCAATGATATTTCCACAAAAGAACTTGCACACAAATGTTCACAGCAGCATTATTTATAATAGCCAAAAAGTAGAAACAACCCAAATGTCCAACTGATGAATGGATAAATAAAACACTGTGTGTGTGTATATATATACACACACACATACATATACAGATACACACACACACACACACACACACACACACAATGGGCTATTATTCAGCAATAAAAAGAAATGAAATACTGATACATGCAACAACATGGGTGAACCTTGAAAGCATCATGCTAAGCGAAAAAAGCCAGTCACAATGGACCACATATTTTATAATTCTATTCATATAGAATGTCCAGAATAGGCAAATTTATACAAACTAAAAGATTAGGGGTTGCTTACGAGCTGGGGAGATGGAGTGTTGCAGGTGATAATTAAGGGATGCAGGGTTTTTTTCCAGAGCGATAAGATGTTTAAAATTGATTCTTGAAATCATTGCACAGTTCTGTGAATATACTAAAAACCTCTGAATTGTATAATTTAAATGAGTAAATTGTACCACATGTGAATATTTCAATAAAGCTGTCCCCAAAATGGTTATTAAACCACATATTTGTTTGATGCAATTTCCTACATCTGTATTATATTTCACAATAAAAAGCTTAGGAAGGAAGAAAGCATGGGAGAGAGGGAGGGAGAAGGAGAGGCAAGGAAAGAGGGAGGGAAGAAAGGAAGAAAAGAAGGAGGGAGAGAGGGAGGAAGGAAGAAGGTGCAAAAAGAAGCTAGCAGGAATCTGATTTAATTTCTTGCTGCAAAGGAGGTTATCATCTAATACACCTATTCTATTCCAGGCACTTTTCTAGGTAAAACAGATGTGAATCTAGCTTCATGGAGCCATGAAAATACAGATTAGGTATACAAATAAACTAACAAATAAATCTACATTACAAACTTTGATTACTGCTATGGAAGAAAAATACAGAGTGCTCTAAGAGAGAATAACAATAGGAACTGTATTTAAATTGAAGGACTATAAGAGGAGTCTGAGGATATGAAAAATAGAGCTGATGCCCAAAGATGAGAAAAAATTAATTAATGAGGACAAATAAGGTAAAACCATTCCCAATAGAAAAAAAATGGAATCTACAAAGAAAAGAACATGGCACCCTTGATGAGCTGAGATAAGGCCAACATAACTAAAAGAGAATGAGCCAGTGGCATGAGATCAGTCTGCAGAGACAGTCATGGGCCAGCTTATGTAATGTCTTTTTGGATAATGTTAAGCATTTGATTCTGTCATCATTCTTAGTTCAACAGAAAGCCACTGACGGCTTTCTTCAAGCAAGAAAATGAGCTTATCTGATTTACATTTTTTAAGTCACTAAGGTTGCTAGGGGAACTGATTAAGTATCTGCTAATGTAGGAGAGATGACAAATTATACAATGGTGATAGCCACACAAGAAAAAAGAAGTAGAAAGATTCTAAGTACACTCTGAAGATGATACTGGTAGCAAAGGTGTTAGATTAGATTAGATGGGGGGATGAAGGACTGGCTAGTGTCAGCAATAATTTTCAGGTATCTCCCTTTGGCAAAAGGATGGATTACTGAGGCAATCAAGTCTAAGGTAGAAAGGGTTAGGGAAGAAAAATGAGAAGCTATCAGAGTTTTGTTTTGGAAATGTTTGATTTAAAATGCCTGAAGGCTATCCTACTGAAGCTGTCAAGTAAGCAGCAGGGTATACAAATCTGAAGTGCAGAGGAGAACTGGGCTACAGATGCCAGTTTAGGACTTCTTGGGATCTGAAAGGTATTGAAAATCTGAAAATACTCATATTTTATACATTAAGAAGTATGGAATATATTGATGTTGATAGCATCCCAAAGCCACAGAGCACACATTTAATTTGCTCCTAGTAACACCTATGAGTAGGTATTGAAATTACTTTTAATGATGAAAAATTAGTAAAATATTTCCTTGTATTTTACTATAGTATACTCCCATGTCATCTATAATAACTGAGAACCATCTCTATCAAAAGATATGTTTTTAAAAGCTTATCTAACAAATTATTAAAGGAACTAAAATTTTACAACTTTTTCCCCTAGATACACTATACCTTTCCTCCACTGATTCTCCGTAACTAATCTGCCTGCAAAATGGGTGATTAGTAAAAACATTTACTGAGTGTATAAAGTACATGTAGGGGTATACAGAAACGGGAAGTAGCTCACCCATTCTCCACTAAGTTATTTCAACTTTCCTCTCTGGAGGGCCCATAAAAGAATATGGCAGCAATGTAGTATCAAACTACCACAGATGCTAGAGTTCCACTTGCTATAAAACCTCACTTAGTTTTTCTAATCTGATTCTAATCTATAAAATTTGGATAATACTATACCTTTTGAGTTGTGAAGTTTAACAGATAATTAAAATATATATTTATCCCAATAAAAAAAATATTTATACATACATACAGTGTCTGGCATACAAACATTTAAAATGGGACTATTCAAAAAATAACATGCTGGCGAGGTTGTGGAGAAAAAGGAACGCTTACACACTGCTAGTGGGAGCATAAATTAGTTCAACCATTGTGGAAGCCAGTATGGCAATTCCTCAAAGACCTAAAAACAGAAATACCATTCGAACCAGTAATCCCATTACTGGGTGATATGGTTTGGATCTGCGTCCCCACCCAAATCCCATGTCAAATTGGAGGGGCCTGATGGGAAGTGACTGAACCATGGGGGCGGATTTCCCTTTGCTGTTCTCATGATAGTGAGTTCTCACAAGATCTGATGGTTTAAGTGTGTGGCACTTCCCCATTCGTGCTCGCTCTCTCTCTCTCTCTCTCTCCTGCTCCACCATGGTAAAGATGTGTTTCCTTCCTCTTCAACTTCCGCCATGATTGTAAGTTTCCAGAGGCCTCCCAGTCATGCTTCCTGTTAAGTCTGCAGAACTGTGAGTCAATTAAACCTCTTTTCTTCATAAATTACCCAGTCTCAGGGAGTTACTTTTTTTTTTTTTTTTTTGAGACAGTCTTGCTCCATCGCCCAGGTTGGAATGCAGTGGCGCGATTCTTGGCTCACTGTAACCTCTACCTCCTGGGTTCAAACAATCTTCCCACCTCAGCCTCCCAAGTAGCTGAAATGACAAGTACGTGCCACCACACCCAGCTAATTTTTGCATTTTTAGTAAAAATGGGGTTTCACCATGTTAGCTGGGCTGGTCTCAAACTCCTGACCTCAAGTGATCTGCCTGCCTCAGCCTCCCAAGTGCTGGGATTACAGGCGTGAGCCACTGCGTCCAGCCTCAGGTAGTTCTTATAGCAGTGTGAGAACAGACTAATACACTGGGGAATATAAATCGTTCTGTCATAAAGACACATGCACACATATGTTCACTGCAGCACTATTTACAATAGCAAAGACATGGAATAAACCTAAATGCCCATCAGTGATAGACTGAATAAAGAAAATGTGTTACATACATGGAATATTATGCAGCCCTAAAAAAGAACAACACTATGTCCTTTGCAGCAACATGGATGGAGCTGGAGGCCATTATCCTTAGAAAACTAATGCAGGAACTAATGGAGGAACAACCAAATACCACATGTTCTTACTTATAAGTAGGAGCTAAATGATGAGAACACATAGACACATAGAAGGGAACAACACATACTGAGGTCTATGAGCAGGTGGAGGGTGGGAGGAGGGAGAGGATGAGGAAAAATAACTAATGGGACTAGGCCTAATATATGGGTGACGAAATAATCTGTACAACAAACCCTCATGACACAAGTTTACCTATATAACAAACCTGCACAGGTACCCCTGAACTTACAATAAAAGTTAAATTTTTTAAAAAAGTAAAAATTTAAAAAGTAAAATGAGACTATTTTAAAACGTTTTGAGAAGGCATAGTGATATTTATTAAGGAAAACCACATGAATTGTTAAAATATGAACACAAAGAAATTGTCATGAAATACGGCTTGATAGCAAAGAGTATCACTAGTATCTGCTGCAATCCACTCTATTCCACTAGCTCCAATACCCATTTGTTCTTTCTTCATTAAAAATACTATTAAATCCTTCTACTACTGGCAGCAATATTTGGAGAACGAGTTGTACTTTCTCTCAAACATTGCAGTAAAACTTCCTAACTAACTGTCCTTTCCAAGACAGGGTTTTTAAGAATATTAAACATCAGACCTTTGTACTGAAATCAATCACCTGTCATCTAATTTAATAGAATTAAAAATGAGTGATTTACTATTTCCTGTAACTTTCAAATATACAAACTGTATTAAAAATAAAGTAGTTTTCTAGTGCATACATTCGAAACATTCTGAAGTACTACATATTCTTAAAGAAAAAATACTCAGATCAATAAAAGGCAAATTTATAAGTGCTGCTCTTCCAACATTCCACAAGTATTTATTGAATATTATATATTCAATAATAAATATTAGGTGCCAGGCATTGTTTTACACTGTAGGAAGTCAGCGTTGAACAAAACAAACATAAATCCCCACCCTCAAGAAGTTTACTAGATATTCTACACCATTATATTTTAGAAGTCTCACACACACACACACACACACACACACACACACACACAAAATTAGAAATCTATCCTTCAAATCAAACAAAGTCAGCCTCAAAAGCCTGTGACAAAAACACTGTAAATGCATGAAGGAAAGAAAAAAAGGCTTTTGAAAAATAAAAAAAAAAGGCCAGGTGCGGTGGCTCACGCCTGTAATCCCAGCACTTTGGGAGGCCGAGGCGGGTGGATCACGAGGAACATTCTGGCTAACACGGTGAAACCCTGTCTCTACTAAAAAAATACAAAAAATCAGCCGGGCGTGGGGGCGGGTACCTGTAGTCCCAGCTACTCAGGAGGCTGAGGCAGGAGAATGGCGTGAACCCGGGAGGCGGAGCTTGCAATGAGCCTAGATCGCGCCACTGCACTCCAGCCTGGGTGACAGAGTGAGACTGTCTCAAAAAAAAAAGAAAAAAAAGAAAAGATCCAAGCCAATATCCTTGATAAAAGAATATAAATAATTCTTATTTTAACATACTCTTTTAAAAGATAATACTGGCCAGGCATGGTGGCTCACGCCTGTAATCCCAGCACTTCGGGAGGCCGAGGCCAGCAGACCATGAGGTCAGGAGACCTAGACCATCCTGGCTAACATGGTGAAACCTCATATCTACTAAAAATACAAAAAGTTAGCCGGGTATGGTGGCGGGTGCCTGTAGTCCCAGCTACTCAGGAGGCTGAGACAGGAGAATGGTGTGAACCTGGCAGGTGGAGCTTGCAGTGAGCCCAGCCTGGGCAACAGAGCGACACTCTGCCTCAAAAAAAAAAAAAAGATAATATTATATGCCAGACAATGAGAAGTTATTTTTTAAAGCCACGTAAGTTTGGGTATAATAAACCACAATTCAAAAAGAACCTGTGGACTACTAATTATTAATTCTATAATTCAGGATATAAAGAAATTAACAGAGATAACAGCAGTCACCATTACACCACTATTATTTGCTGAGTATCTGCAATATGACAATCACTGTCTTGGCTATTTTATGTATATTACCTCTAATACTATACAATCTCAGTGTTGTTAGAGTTTCATAAGTAAATTTTTAAATGAACTAAATATTTTTTTTTTTTTTTTTTTTTTTGAGACGGAGTCTCGCTCTGTCGCCCAGGCTGGAGTGCAGTGGCAGGATCTCGGCTCACTGCAAGCTCCGCCTCCCGGTTTTTTAAATGAACTAAATATTAATAATATGGTTATACAGGAAAGCAGGCCCATTTTGTAAAGATATTAGTAGTTAAGAGGAACTTTTTTTTTTTTGAGCCAGGGTCTCACTCTGTCCCCCAAGTTGGAGTGCAGTGGTACAATCATGGCTCACTGCAGCCTCGACCTCCTGGGCTTAAGTGATCCTCCCACCTCAGCCTCCCAAAGAACTGGGATAACAGGTGTAAGCCACCACGCCAGGCTAAGAGGAGCACATTTTAAGAGAAACATAATTGCTGCCAAACTTGAGTAGTAAAATAGATAATTCTTTCTAAGATATTAAGTAATTTGTCATCTCAGCTACTTTGAAACACATCTTAGTTTCTGTTTCTTCCAAATTACCAACTAAAGGTTTAAGACAATAACCAACCAGAAGTGGTGAAAACAAGCACTGGATCACAAACCAACAGAAGACCAAACACATCTCTGACACTGGATAAGTGAGTTTAGGCACACATTTCTCTTGAGGCCTTAATCTCTTCATCAATAAAAAGCAGGCATCATAATGCCAGTGTAGGTAATGCAAACTTCCTGTGAGATCCTGTGAAAATACTTGTCAAAGTGTTCATGATAATAAGAAATTATTAGATAAGCCCTATGAGCTCTTTCAGCTCTAAAATTATAGTACAGTCATGTATCACTTAACAACAGGGAGATGTTCTGCAAAATGTGTCATTAGGTGATTTCGTCGTTGTGAAAACATCATACATAACAGTGCAGTTACACAAATCTAGATGGGATAGCCTACTACGCACCTAGGCTGGGTGGTATAGCCTATTGCTCCTAGGGCCATGAACCTGCTCAGCATGCTACTCTACTGAATACTGTGGGCAACTGGAGCACAATGGTAAATATTTGTGTATCTAAACACAGAAAAGGTACAGTAAATGGTATAAAAGATAACAAATGGAACATGTGTATAGGGCATTGACCATGAATGGAGCTTGCAGAACTAGAAGTTGCTTTGGGTGAGTGAGTGTGCGAGTGAGTGGCAAGTGAATGGGAAGGCCTAGGACAGGACATTACTGCACATTACTGTAGACTTTAGAAACACTGTACACTTAGGCTCCACTACATTCATTTTTTTAAACTTTCTTTCCTCAATAATAAATTAGCCTTCCCTTACTGTAACTTTTTTACTTTATAAACTTTGTATTTTTTTACCTTTTTGACTTCTGTGATAACATTAGCTTAAAACACAAACATGCTATACATACATCTGTATTAAAAAAATTTCTTTCTTTACATTCTTGTTCTACAAACTTTTGTATTTTATTTTATGCTTTTACTTTTTACACATTTTTGTTAAAAACTAAGACACAAATACACACATCAGCCTAGGCCAACACAGGGTCAGGATCATCAATATCACCGTCTTCTACCTCCACATCTTATCCCGCTGGAAGGTCTTTAGGGATGGTAACACTCATGGAGTTGTAATCTCCCATGTTAAGAATGCCTTTCCGTGCAATGCCTGAAGAACATTCCTAAGGCTGTTTTATGGTTAACTTTTTTTTTTAGTAAGTAGAAGGAGTACTCTCTAAAATAATGATAAAAAGTACAGTACAGTCAAGCCTTCCATATCCACAGGTTCCACATCCTCTGATTCAACCAACCATGAATTGGAAATACAGTATTTGAGGGATATAGAATCTGCAGATATGAAGGCCTGACTTTTCATATCAGCAGGTCCTACAGGGAAAGAAACTGAAGCAGTGAAAAAGATTAGATTATTTGATTTTCCTCCAAGACAGGAGTATGATTTGATTCCCCCACAAGACAAAAGTATGATTTGATTCCCCAGTGTAGGTCAAGACTCTTGTGAAAGTCAAACAGAGAAACAAATGTAACCACCTCACAGAGGCAGTTCCTAAGTATCACTGATATTCATCTGGATGAAACCGTCTAACATCCTTGCCATGGATCCATACTCTTCCTGCTAAGTAACAAGACAGTAAAACAATGGTACTTAAAACCTAGGGTCAGGAGGCACATTTCTTCTTGGAGCATCAGTAATCTCAGATTTGGGGAAGAATTTTTTTTAATATTAAGCCAAAAAATGATATATTATGAACAATAATACAAAATTCACAAGATTTGTAAAGATAAAATATGAAATTCAAAGATATGTATATAATGTTTCTAGGAGAATTCCTTGAGCTATATTCCCAGATCCCCAAGAGGGCTGGGTATATTCTCTATAATTATTTTTCTTTTAAGATAAGGTTGATACACAGTAAAATATAAAAATCTTCAGCACCAGCTCTATGAATTCTTACTAATGCATATAGCCACATAGTGTATATGAATACACTCAGATGAAGATACAAAAAATTCGAGGTTCATTCAGCTTTGACCTTAAAGGTACTTCAGGGTAAAAATGTTTGAGAAGCCCACCATAGTTAAGCCAATTTGTGTTACCTGTTCTTGTCCCTGGCGACTGTAAAACTTGACACTTAACATCCTTAATAATCCCAGTGTCTTCGGTACCTGCAAAATAAATGCATCATATGAAGAAAGATTACTGAAATGACTTATCGTTGTAAAATGTCCCTTTATAATGAAATGAAAACTATAGCAAATCTAGTATTTTTTTAATTGATTAAAGAAAATCACCAAGAAGGTGTCAAGGATCTTGGTGAGATTTTGTTTTTGTTTGGGAAAAAAAAATCCACCAAGTGGTACAATCTTACAAAAGACATCCATGATCAAATGCTTTTTTAAATATATAACCAGTAAACTTTATGCAAATCAAAATCCACCGCAAGCTCTTCTCAAGTAAGGCTGCCCAAGGTTGCCATTTTATCCTAACATCAGTATAGAAAAAGCTAAAACTTCCCAAAGCAATTTCATCTATTAACAATTGATTCTATGCTTGAAAAACACCAAAAAAGACTTCATCATTAGAAATCAGTGCATAAAATAATTTAATATAACACATGACAATTTTTTGTCTTTAGACTTAGAAACTATATTTTTTCAGTGGAAAATAACATTGTTGAGGATGTAGGGAATCTGGAACCCTCATACACTATTGATGGGAACATAAAACCGTACAGCCACTGTGGAAGAAGCTTGGTGGTTCCTCAAAAACTTAAACATAAAACTAACATACGACCCAGCAATTCCATCTGAGATCTATACACAAAAGAATGAAAACAAGCATTCAAACAAATATTTGTACATGAATGTTCACAGCAACAATATTCACAATAGCCAGAACTTCTGAGTTGAAAACATTAGGGATGGCCTTGATACACTTCTCCAAATACTTTCTCCAAAAAAATCAAGAACAAGAAAGGGAGATAAATCTACACAAAAACCATACTCTCCACTTAGCCTGAAGATAGAGAATAACCCAAACTTTACAATAACTGTAAGCAAAAAGAAAGAAATCACCAAATCCCAATGTGTCATCTCCATTGCTCCTGCTAAAACCTATGTCCCCACTTACTCCATTGTGACCTGCCACAAGGTGTGGTGGTGAGCAAAAGCAAATTGAAAAACACCCAGGGAGGACAGAGGGGAGCTAGCAAAAATGGCTAAGGTCCATCTAAAACCAAAACTACCACCAAAAAGACTAAGTCCACTCTGAGTGAAAATACTATAAAAGCATCCAGGTTAATCAGACATGGCCTACAGGGAAGGGACCTAAGTGTGGGCATGATATGAAGAGGCAGGCTTCCAAACACAGAGCTTCTGAGGGAGAAAAATGGCAAACAGGAAGAAGTGCCTTTTGCCAAAGGGGTGGTAAAGGGGAAAGGAAGCAAAGGGGCAAATGTAGTGTGCAGCAAGACAATAGACAACCACAACATCAGAGGATCCACGCCCCCTCCTGCCACCAAAACAAAACCGAAAAAATCTGCTAAGGTATTTGAACTTTGCTATACTGACAAAAGAAGGCACCGTTAACCTACCAATCTTGTAAAGTATTCCAATATCATAAAAATGAACAAGAAAGAGATTCACAATAGTTTGCAGACATGAGAAGACAAAAGTCAACACGTGTCAACAAAGGGAAATTATGGCTGAAAAAACAACCACGAAGCAAAAGAAAACTTTAACATAGCACTCCAAACAGAATGAAATATAGTCAGACAAGCATTTGAGAATGTGGACAACTTGAAAAATCACCTTAAATCAAAAATTCAGTAACTGAAAATAGAACTGGACAAGAAGAGTGAAAAAGGGTTAATAATAAAAAGCTCAATAAATTCAGGAAATAAATATAAGAAAAAGAGAAAATTATCTAAAAAATAAAGAATAAATTACAAGGTACTCAAGGATAATTTAGTAAGGGGCTTTAAAGGAAGACATGAAAACAATGAAAAAATGAAAATGAGTTAAGAAGTGAAAAGGAAATGAGATAAAAGGGAGAGGTAAAAAGAGTAAAGAAAAACTACTGGAAAGAGAAGATAGTAAGAAGCAGTAACATTTGGATTGCCAGAGAATCTGAAGAAGATAAACAAAACCAAAGTACAGAATATTTAAAATTATAATCCATGAAAACTTTACAGAAACAGAAAATGGAAAAAATAGAAATAGAAAAAAATCTGAATCTACACACTAAAAGAACCAATGCATACCCAGAAAATTTAAACTCAGCATGATCAACTCCAATATCCTAGGAAGCTATCAGATTTCAAAGATAAAGAAAATAAAGACCTGTAAGAAAAACTGACTAATAACATACGAAGGGCAAATAATTTGATTGCATCAGACTTTTAAAATCTCACATACAAAGCAAAACAAGAGTAGCATTTTTTAAAAGTGTAGTGAAAGAGAAGGCGAACCAAGGATTTTACATCCAGACAAGTTTCCCCTCAAATTTGAAGGTTATGGCAAAACAGTTTTGAACATAAAATACAAAAACTTAAGAAACTCATCACCTATGAGACCTTCTCAAAACATACTGTAATTTCATCCAACCACAAGAATGACTGGGAAAACTTCAGCAAAAGAACTGAGTAAGCATTTTAAAATACATAAATAGATGACTAAAGAAAGCTGGGAACAAAAGTAGACACCAATGTACAAATATTATGTATGTGACAATGCAGAAACAAAACAACAAAAAAAAGAAAAAAGAAAGCAGAATAAGCTGATTTTTGTATAAGCAATTAGTAGAAATGAAAGAATACGAAGAAAACAAACTCGTAAAATGCTGGAAGACATTGATAACATCAATAAGAATAGTTTCTGTGAAATGATGGAGGGAAATCTCCATTCGAGTGAATTCAAGAGAGAATGGAAGGAGAGGAATTGGAAACAAGTACAGACAACTCTTGAGCATTGTAAGGAAAGGAAAAGAAATGGGATGGTAGCTAGAGGGCAAAGTGGAGTCTGAAGAGTTTTTGTGAAGGGAAAAATAAAAGCATGCTACATGCTGATAAACCTAAGAGGTAACAAAATTCCTGATGTAAGATGAATATCCTTCAATAAACAAGAGTGGGAGATCTAGTGGACAAACACAGGGCTTGGCCTTAGCCTGAGCAAGGACAGTTCCTCTGTCTGAACAAGAGAAAAGTTACAGTACACAGGCACAGCTGCTGGCAGGGTGTGGGATCCTACAGAAGTATTCCTTCTGATTACTTCTATTTTTTTCAGGGAAATAGGATTTCTCGTGGAAATAGGATTTCAAAAAGTCTATGTTCTTTCCACAACAAGCTTCTATATTGAAAAAGCAGCAGCAGCAGCAGCAATAATAAAAATTCAGTCAACTTTGTTCATTCTCATATAGTTTTCCAAAATTTTGATCTTAAAAACTCAGACAACAATAAATAATTAACACTGTAGATCATCTTACAGTTTATCAAATGCCTTTACATATATTACTTCATTTACATCCTGGCAAAAGCCTTAGTAGACAGTGGTAAGGGATAAGGTGGAATTCAAACACCAGCCTTCTGACTCCACAGCCTGGGTCCTTCCTTTGTCCCAGCTACTGAATTCTAATCTGGTACCTGTTATAGCTCATTGCACTTATTTGAGACATAGCTGTTCTTCCCATATGCAGCGAATCCCTTGAGGGCTGCCACCAGTATTTTTACATTCCTAATACCTGGAGCAGTGATTAAATGTTGAATAAATGAATAAATAAAACTATCTCACATAGATGACACTAACATTAATTTGGAAACTTGGGTCAATACACATATTGAATTTTGCACAGTCTGTTTTACAACCTAGCAGCCTTGAGAGAGACTACGATGTATGTGTCAGCAGCATTTTTCAGTCAATACCTACACCAAGACAACAGCAACCTTAAACAAACAGTAAGAGGAGGTTCGATGAGAACAATATCTGCTGCCTGACAAAAGGAACTAATCCCATAACCTCAAATTATTGTGAGGTAAGGGAAGGCTATGCAGAATGATTTCAAGTTTAGCTGCAAGACACAGCCACTAACATAATTAAAATACACTTGCAGCATTTCAAGAAGTTAATCATACAGCAGAGCATTCCATTTGCAATTCAATATTTTTCCCACTTATTTTGTCAGCGCACAAGCAATTTTCTTTTAAAAGACTTCAATACCGAAGCCTCAGGCCACAAGGAGATCAGGACCATACATAGCAGAGTAGATTCCAATACTTCAGTAAGGTGCAAAGGGAAAGCACAGGAGAATTCAAAGAAACTAAGGTGAAAAAAGGTTCCCTGGTATGTGACTTGCCACTTGCTTGCCTACTGGGTCCCAAATAAACACTTGATTACACCAAACCAAAAGGGACTTTCACCACTTACCCACGTTCTCTCCTTATATCCTCTATACACATCCATTTTCCTTTTTTCCTCAACCCTATTTTGACAAATTTCACAGCTACAGAAAAGTTGAAATGATTGTACAATGAAACACGAGTATACCTCTCACCTAGCTAGACCAGTTATTAACATTTTGTCACATTTGCTTTATCTCTATGTGTGTGTCTATGTATACAGACACACATAATTTAAAATTTTTTTTTTTACTGAATCATCTGAAAGCAAGGTGCAGACTTGGCCGGGCATGGTGGCTCACGCCTGTAATCCTAGCACTTTGGGAGGCCAAGGCGAGCGGATCACCTAAGGTCAGGAGTTCAAGATCAGCCTGGCCAACATGGGGAAATCCCTTCTCTACTAAAAGACAAAAATTAGCCGGGCATGATGGGGGGTGCCTGTAATCCCAGGTAATCGGGAGGCTGAGATGGGAGAATCGCTTGAACCCGGGAGACGGTGGTTGCAGTGAGCCAAGAAAGCCGCAGACATCATGCTTACTTTAGACAGAGCTAAGAGAAACTTCTTCAGACTCTAAGATCTACCCTGAAACATCTTGCATATAAAACTAGAAGCTGGATATGACCTAAATCAGAGAGATAAACACAGCTAAATTCCTACAGATATGAACTAATGTGTCTAATATGTACGAGTAACTTCTACCTCACTTTACTTTTTATAGATTATGGGATAATCATCATAGCATATATTAGTGCCACTGATATGGACAGAATTTCATGGGGTGGCGGGTGCAGAACAGAAACTAGATCTGGCCCATCTCATGCCTCTATGTTCAGTTATTATGCTCTATGGTGCCTTAGGCTCCTTATTTGTGAAATGTGGCCAATAATACACCAACTGTTCTCCTTACTAGGTCCTGCAGAGAGAATAAAGGGCTGATAGACTAGGTAGATGGACAATAAATGGAAGGAAAGGCATATCCACAGTACTGCATAAGCTGTTCTACACATACAAACTGGTTTAATGTCTGGTGCCATATAAACCAGTAAGTTGACTTCATTTAAAGAAAAAGAAACTACTACTTTGTTGGGTTAAATCACAGTTACACACTGCAGTATATATTAAATGCTAAAAATAAAATTCACAGAGGATTACTATTATTGCTAAAGATTTCTTTTCAAAAGTACATCTTCATTAGTTTATTTTCAACACTAAAATCTTTAATAGTTTGTTGTTTTAGAACATAATTTGAAATCAATATATTTTTTGACAAATTCATTATCAAAATGAACACATATCATGTTTGATTATGTTGTGTTTCAACTTTTCTAGATTTCTTCCCTCACTGAAAAAATATTTGAGTGCCCACTAGGTAACATGGTAAACCCAAGCTGCATAATTTTGGCCAAGTGCTCACTTCCTTTTTTTTTGAGACGGAGTCTGGCTCTGTCACCCAGGCTGGAGTGCAGTGGCACAATCTCGGCTCACTGCAACCTCCGCCTCCCAGGTTCAATCGATTCTCCTGCCTCAGCCTCCTGAGTAGCTGGGATTACAGGTGCACACCACCAGGCCCAGCTAATTTTTATATTTTTAGTAGAGACGGGGTTTCACCATGTTGCTCAGGCTGGTCTTGAACTCCTGACCTCGTGATCCACCCACTTCGGCCTCCCAAAGTGATGGGATTACAGGCGTGAGCCACCACGCCCGGCCCAAGTGCTCACTTTCATACAGTTTACACAAATAACTAAGACATGCAAGACTGCAGTGTGGCCAGGATGGTAAACATAATTAGTATTTACCAATACCTAGTTTTTCACATCTTTCTGGACACATAGAAAACTATTTCCCAGCCCCTTTGAAGCTAGGAGGGGCCATAATACAATAAATGAACTGTAAGTAGAACCAATGTCACTTCTGGTCTAAGACAGTAAAAAGTTCCACCTATTATCTCTCCCTTCCCTTCCTAAGACCATAAACGGAGATAGTGGGACCCCAAAAGGTCACCATTCTCCATGGATCTTTTAATCATCACTTAAAACAAGCTGCCCAGGAGAGTCATGATCTCAACATCAGGCTTTGCCACAAAATAAGGAAAAAATATGTATATGATAAGCCACAGAAATTTCAGGACTTTGCATTTGCTCATTTGATTGCTTGAATTATCAAAATAGAACCTAGCCTATGCTGACTACTACAGCCCCAAGGACTGCCTGACACAAAATAGAAGCTCAATAAGTAAGTATAGAATGAATGGATGGATGGATGAATAGTCCATGTAAATATGGAACAACATGGAAATCTGGACTCTAATTCTGCCATTTGCTAGCTGGATGATCAGGGCAACTTACTTAACTACACCTCACTTACCACCTCATCAACAGACTCGGGCCAGTAACAATATTTACCTCAAAGGGTTACTTAGAATTAAATGAGTTAGAGCATATAAAAAGCACTCCAAATAGCTGCCAACACATTAAAAAGTGCTTAATACATGTTTTCATCTAAATAAGCAAATACAAGGAATGGGACTACTGTTAGGTTGTTTTTCTAGTATCTGAAAATGTCACTACTAAAAATTATTCCAAGTTAAATACAATATGCCTCAGTTGAATTTGTTATTTGAAAGAAATAAAATTATACCAGCATTAATTCACTGTCCTCATTCAAGATGAAATTATTTCTTCCTCTATATCTTACAAAGGACTTATTTGTCTAAGACAAATAGCACAGTGAAATGACACATAGCAAAGTGAAGTGCCATAACTCATACTTACTGCAGTAACCCCGTCTCCACCATTAGTAACCTGCTTATAATACGGTGATCCTGAAAGAACTCTCCAGGCAGAAAGGCCACAGCTAGAAGCTTTTGACATGCCTACTTCAGCAGTTTCACATCCACCAACAAGTAAAAGTCTAAAAAGGAGAAAATTTTTAAAAATCGATAAATTGCAAATATAAATAAGAGCAAAACAAAGAGAGCAGAAACAGTCACCTTGAGAAAGAAAATTTACCAAGTACTATTAATATATGTTAAACCTAGAAGGTAAATATTTCAGAGGAAACAATCAAAAGAAAACCAAACTGTTTTTCAATTAGAATTTCACCATATACTAAGGCTTAAATATTCAGGCACCTGAAATGCAGGTGGGAACTTAGAAATGAAGAAAAAAATTAAGGCTAGCAACTGAATATAAAAAAACTGTCTGTATCAACACCAATAAACTTTAATAGATGTGTAGCCTCACCCAGACACATTATGTATTAATTATGGCAATGTATCTGATGCAATGAGGGAGCCATTACAGAAAGCTAGAAAGAAATGACACCCAGGAGAGACTGAATGGGAAAGAACCACAGAGCAATAATTATACCAAAACAAGACTGGTTGGTAGTTTAGCTGCACACTATGAGTGGTTCACTTTTCTGTTTGTTACACTCCATTCATAACTGGAGGCCAGTTACCAACAGGGCAAACAGCCTAACATATACTAAAAGTTAGAAGACATTACTGTGTAACCACTATATAAACAAAGCTAATTAATAACGAAACCCCAACAGTCACAATTTTTAAAGCTATGTTCAGTACTTCTGGCAGGGATCTGTATAACAGACATCACAGTTATCTGTCTAAAGAAAGAAAAAAAGTCTGACAGTTCCGTTTACCTCCTTCTTGGCCATACTCATAGAAAAACCAAATCTTGAAAAATTTATGTTTCTACATAGAAATTGAAAAGTCAAAAAAACATAAAGTTATTTAGAGTTGGCATATCAGACTAACTCAGTTACAATTTATGTCAACTAAAGCTAACTTTAAATGTTATAAAATAAATATCAGTACCTCATGACATAACACCATGAGCTCTCAATACGGACCCTTCAAGACCAGTGGAGGTGTATGCCCACTGGTAGTAGTCAAAAAGCACTATATTATGGTAGAAAGCAACACCTGCCTTCTGTTAATTTTGTTCACCTTGTGTGGCAGGCAACACAATGGCCCCCAAAAGATGTCCACATCCTAATCGCTGCAGTCTGTGAGTATGTTCTATTACATGGATTTAAGGTTGTAGATGGAATTAGGGTTGCTAATCAACTGACTTGAACTTAGGGAGAGTATCCTGAATTATTCAGGTGGCCCCGAAGTAATCACAAGGATCCTTAAAGGTAGAAAGGGGCAGCAGAAGAGTCAATGTCAGAGTAATGTAATGTGACACTCACCTGGCCACCGCTGGCTTTGAAGGTAGAAGGGGCCACAAGCCAAGGAATCTGGGAAGCTTCTAAAAGCCGGAAAAGGCAACAAAATAGATTCTCCCCAAGCCTCCAGAAAGGAACACAGCCCTGAGGATATGTTTGATTTTAGCCCAGTGAGACCCATTTCAGACTTCTGAGCTCCAGAACTGCAGGGTAAGTTTGTGTTATGTCACCAAGTTTGTGATTCATAGAAAATGAATATATACCTTTTTTCTTTCCCAGTCCCAAAACTCAGATGACCTGTCACACTCTAATGCCACTAAAAGCCCTCTTCTCATTTGACAACCCACTTTCTAAAGTGTTTCTGAACTAAGCTAACAATAACAATTAAAGAACTCATCTCTACCATATACTCTTAGATCTAAATTTTTCAAAACTATACAAAATCCTTCTAGGTTTAATTATGGAATGTAGCCCAACTCAAAATCTCAAAAACCATAAAGTAATTCAAATGCACTTTCTTCACAGAAACACAGCTTGGGCCTACACACAAAGCCTTTTCCCTACTGCCTTTTTATGCAGCTCTAACAAATTTTCATCTCAGCAAATTGGAAGTAAAAAACTTTGAGACGATGCCTTGAAGCAACCTATTTTGGTTGTTCCTACCCTAAGCAAATCCTTAGAGCTAACACGTAATTAACCCTGCTCACCAGGGCAAAAGAGACTGTGGTCCAAAGTCAGGCTAGTATTATGAGTATTACTTGCCCAGAGCATTCATTCTTCTCAAATGATTCTATTACAGTAAAATATTTCACAAAAAAAGGAGTATATCTAGTGCAGATAAAATCATATTATCCCTCAGAATCTAACTCTCAATTTGGAGAAAATATTGATGAAAAAAGAAAAATACTTTAAACAACACTACAAAGATGCAATCAACAAAAACTAGACAGTGAGAAAATACAAAATAAATGGCCTGGGTTTTTTTTTTTTCAGAACCCACACACACATAATCAAAGCAAAAGAGCAACAGACAGAAGGAGGATATGGAGAGCAGATCAATGAATTAAAAGAAAACATAGGTTGGATGCAGTGGCTCATGTCTGTAATCCCAAAACTTTGGGAAGACAAGGTGGGAGGATTGTTTGTGGCCAAGGGTTCAAGATCAGCCTGGGCAACATAGTGAGATCTCATCTCTACAAAAAAAAAAATCAGCCAGGTGTAGTCATAGGTACCTACAGTCTCAGCTACTCGGGAGGATGAGGTGGGAGAATCGCTTGAGGACAGGAGTTCTGAGGTTGCAGTGAGCCATAATTGTGCCACTGAACCCCAGCCTGGGTGACAGAATGAGTGAGAACCTGTCTAAAAAAGAGGCAGGGGAGAACACAGTCTGGATATTTGAAGATACTGACAGATTACTGTTAATTATTTTAGATGTGCTAATGGTATTATGTTTATATTTTAGAGTCTTTATTTTGTAGAAATACACACTGAGATATTTACAGATAAAATAATATGCTGTCCAGGATTTACTTCAATATAATCCAGGGAAGGGTGGATAGGGAAATGGCTGGGTATACAGGTAAAATGAGACTGGCCATGAGCTGATTGTTGAAACTGAATAACAGGCACTAAGGAGTCAGTATACTATTCTACTTTTGTACATGCTTCAAATTTTCCATAAATTTATTTCTCAAAAGTCCATTTGATAGGAAAAAAATCCTCTGAATAAATAGAAATATAAGGGGTAATCTGGAATATCCAAAGTTCAGAATTTAATCACAACGTTTTTTCAATCCAAAAATATGTGATTCATAAAACATACCTTTAAAAACTAGTAACCTACTATTTAAAACAGTAACCTCTATTGAACCTCTATTTGAAAACAATATCACTATTTAAGAATTCAATAAACTATAACAATATCACTACTTAAGAATTCAATAAATTCCCAAAGTCCATTATAAAACAGTTCCTTGATAACTGAAATAATGTCACTTTGATCAATGTCCAATATATATATTTGTATTAAAAACATATAATATAGTAAACATTAATGTATTTATAATATATAATTTCTACTAATTAAATTTATGTTAACATATGTCTGAAACTTTAAGTTGGCTGACTACTGAAGGAGTTACAGACCTAAGTGATAATCCAGATTTTTTATGTCCTGGGTATTGCAAGACACTTCCTCTCTATGAATTCTGATAACTAGCATAGCCATGCATAGATAAAACTGTCTACAAAAGGTTAAGATCCCCTAAGAACAAAAGGGATTCAGTATCTGTTCCCAGCCTTTCCTCCGTTCATGCCAGACTGAAGAATAAGGGGAAAAGCAGCAGAATGATGAAACGAATCATGTGTTGTTCCAATCAGACAGATAGCAGCTTTAGGACACTGATGCTCCAGCTCTAAGAATGCATATGTGTTCACACATCCAAGTAGGCACGGGTCCTCAGGTATGTTTAAAGGGGAAGAAATGGAGATAACTGAATCAACATCTTCACAAAACTGGCAGCTGCTGAGTGCAGGGCAATGTGCAGGGCACTGAGTGTACAAAGATGAACAAGGCATGTGCTCTGCATTTAAAAGCTCACTCTCTAAAACAGAAAAAAAAAAGGAAGAACACATGGGAGCATGAAATTAGTGGCACAAAAGATGACAGACCAATCTGAAGATGATAAGCAAATCTAAATCTACTGAAGGGTTTTTCTTCAGTTATACATGCCAAGGGGCCAGCCTGGAAAACATGTCTCTACAAAAATACAAAAATTACTTGGGCGTGGTGGTGCATGCCTGTAGTCCCAGCTACCTGGAAGGCAGAGGCTGCAGTAAGCCAAGATCGAGCCACCACTTCAGCCTGAGTGATGGAGCAAGACTTTCTCAAAACAAACAAACAAACAAAAACCCCAAGGGGTATCAACCCCAATTCAAGACTCCATTACTTTATTATTCAATAAGACTCACAATGTTGACGAGAACTAATCTACAAGTGATTAAGAAAATAAAAATAAAACAGGCTTATGGTGATGATTGGCCAAGTAAATAAACACGCTCCATCATCATCACAGTGTTCAGAACAGGCTTCCAGGGCAACACTGGCCAGAAGTGAGGAGAAATAAAGTTCCACTGGTAAAACCATGTAACTTAAAAAAAAAGCCAGTCAATGGAAGAGAAGAGTCTGAAACTCAGCACAATATACTCAATAAATGTTTGCTGAGGGGCTGTGAATTGAAAGTCCACATTTCTCATTAGGAAGCACAGAGTGAAGAAGGTACAAAGAGACCCATCTTCTTACTGCTTGTCTTCACTCTATGTTTCAGCAGTAAGATATGATGAGATAAGGTGGGGAGAAGGGAAGGGTCACGGCAATGGAGGCAGGGAAAGGTGGGGTCACACTGTTTAAAACGGACAAAACAATGCTAAGCCAAGAATTTGATATTTTTAAGGAAACATCGAGAAGAAAATTTCAAGCTTGTGAGAGTTACATGAATGAAGACGGAGAGATACTATCTTCTTTGGTGGGTATTTTAAACATGCCAATTCCTCTTAATTTACAAATTGAATGCAATTTCACATAAATCCTGTAAGAATTTTTCATGGAACTGAACAAACTGATTTAATGAAACTAGAAAAACACAGAATTCCCATAAGAAAATAAGTTCTAAGAAGAGCCAACTCAGTTCATGCTCATCAAGCTTTCACTTATGAGCTGGGCTTTGTGCATCTTGACCTGTAAACATTTTCCTACCCTGCCATCATTAAGACATTCTCACTCAAATTTGACCATATTAAAATTTAAAATTTCCATCCATAAAATGAAGACTGGGCTTGTAATCCCAGCACTTTGGGAAGCCCAGGTGGGTGGATCACCTGAGCTCAAGAGTTCAAGACCACCCTGGGCAACATGGTGAAACCCCGTCTCTACTAAAATACAAAAAATTATCCAGGTGTGGTGGCGTGCACCTGTAGACCCAGCTACTCAGGATACTGAGGCACCAGAATCGCTTGAGCCTGGGAGGCAGAGGTTGCAGTGAGCCGAGATCGCTCCACTGCACTCCAGCTTGGGCTACAGAGTGAGACTCCATTTCAAAAAAAAAAAAAAAAAAAAAGACTGGGAGAAGTTATTTACAACACACAGAACTAACAAAGTATTAGTAGGCAGAATTTATAAAGATCTCCCAAAACCAGTTCAAAAGGAAAGTAGACAAAGGATAAGCAACAGCAAATCACAAAAAAAGAAATCCAAAAGCCAATAATGCAGATTAAAACAACACAGATTTACACCAATCACCCTCTAGAATGTTTAGGGGCCTAGTAACTCTTAAAAACTACTAGCGAGATTGCAAATTGAAGCAATCATTTTGGAGCAACTTGACAATATCAAATAAATGCACACAACTAACTATCCCACAAACTGCTCCAAGGAAACTATAGAGAAATTCTTGCACAGGTATATTCATCTTTTGGCCAAAAAAAAAAAGTTTAGTGTGAAACTTGTTTTGTTTTTTAGGTTTTTTTACTTTTATTTTAGGTTTAGAGGTATATGTTCAGGGTTTTTATATAGGTAAATTGTGTGTCGCAGGGGTTTGTTGTACAGATTATTTCTTCACCCAGGTAATAAGCATAGTACTCGATAGGTAGTTTTTTGATCCCCACAGTACTATTTATAAAGCTGAAAAATTAGAAATATTTCAAATATTTAAAAGGGATGGACAAATAACCAAATTGTTCAGGAAAACATATACAATGTGAAGGGAACAAATACAAAAATATATATTGGAAGGTCACACACCAAAATTATGACAGCTGCCTCTAGAGGGAAGAAAGTGAGACAAAATAATGGAAGTAGGGAATTTTGTTTGTATTATTGTCTTTGATATTTATATATGTCTGTGAATGTATACACACACACACACATAAACATACATCTTAGGTCAAAGAAAGACACATTTAATATTTGTTAAGTGCACGTAGTAGGTACGTAGTTTTACAGATGCTCCTTGACTTATGATCAGATAATCAATAAACCTATTGTAAATGGAAAATACTGTAAGTGAAAAAAGGGTGTTTTATACATGTGATGGGATGTCAAAACACACAACACAATATCCAAAACATGCTGGCAACACAGTACATAGAGTATCGTTTGCTTGCCTCATGACCTGATCACATTACCCTCATGGTTGCATGGTAGACTGGGAGGTTCAGTTCGCTGCCATACCCAGCATCACAAGAATATCCTACACATACTGCTAACCCAGGAAAAGATCAAAATGCTAAGTACAGTTTCTACTGAATGTGTATTGCTTCTGCACCATCATAAAGTGGAAAAGTCTTAAGTTAAAAAAATCACAAGTTGGGGACCATCTGTTTATTACATCATTCTCTGTACTTCTCCTTCTCTCTCCCTTTTTTTTAAACTTAAAAAGAAGAACATCAAGATACAATGTCCCAAATTATGCACATAAATTTCTCTAGTTAATGAAGTCTAGGGGAAAAAAAAAAAAAAAAACAGTGAATTGGCTTTAACACGTTGCATCAACCCACAAGTGTAGTGAAATACTCAAAAGGAAATTATCATATAATTTGCCTTGTGGTATTTTGAGGTTGTATATGCATTAATGATTATATCTTAAGTATTCTGGGACTGGGACTTACTACTAAAATAATTATTAGATTTTTTTAAGAAATCTAGTCTATAAAAGCTAACATTGTAGCAAATAATTTATATCATTAGCGTTATTTGTTTTTGCATTAAATTCCTTCACCTGGAATATTTACATGCAGTGGTAACCATTACATCCTCAAATATACAGAATATTTGACTTTTAAGTGCTTAATTTCAAAATAACATTTTGAAGCAAATATTTTCAAATTATCCTATGAAGATACAGTAAAATGGAATTTTTATAATACAAATTAAATCCTCTACACTAAAGCACACAACATGGGAATGAATTAGCAAAACTTTACTTCCCCTTAACAAAAACAAGAGAGAGAAAGAGAAAGAAAAAGATTATATTACCCAATAATCTTTGTATTAGTCCATTTTCACGCTGCTGATAAAGACATGCCCGAGACTTGGCAATTTACAAAAGAGAGTTTTATTGGACATACAGCTCCACATGGCTGGGGAGGCCTCATAATCATGGTGGAAGGCAAGGAGGAGCAAGGCACATCTTATGTGGAATGGCAGCAGGCAAAGAGAGCTTGTGCAGAGAAACTCCCATTTTTTTAAAATCATCAGATCTCATGAGACCCATTCACTATCATGAGAAGAACATGGGAAAGACTCGCCCCCATGATTCAATCATCTCCCACCAGGTCCCTCCCACAACACGTGGAAATTACGGGAGCTACAAGATGAGATTTGGGTGGGGACACAGAGCCAAGCCATATTACTCTTCAACCTCAAATTTTATGGAAAATAGCAGGAAAATGATGGGTCTAGAATCAGAAGTATCAAGTTCAACTAACCTTTGCTAAAAAGAAACTATATAATCTTGAGACATTCCTTTCACCCATTAACATTTACTAAACTGCATATAACCAATAAGGAATATGCTAAGCCACTGAAGAAACATCTTAGTAAACTACTTCTAACTTTTTGGAAATCAATGTTCAGCATAACTCTTAACTCTCACATTTGTCCAGTATCACATACGGTGTGCCGGTTAGGGGGCTTGCATTCCTTCTGTACCTTCCTTTTCTCAAACAACCAGGGATATGAATTCATATAGAGGAATAAATATGAGCAGAATCCACCACAAGTTCTCATTTAGTTCAACTTCTTCATTTCTTTATTTTTTTTTTAATTTTTGAGACTGGGTCTCACTCTGTCACCCAAGCTGGAGTGCAATGGTGGCGCAGTCACAGCTCACTGCAGTGTACCTCCCAGGTTCCAGTGATCTTCGCACCCTCAGCCTCCCAAGTAGTTGGGAATACAGGCACATGCATGCCTGGCTAATTTTTTTCTTTTTTTAAACTTTTGTAGAGACAGGGATCTCCCTATGTAGCCCAGGCTGGTCTCAAACTCCTAGGTGCAAATGACCTTCCTGCCTTGGCCTCCCAAAGTGCTGGGATTACAGGCATGAGCCACTGTATGCAGCCAAGAATTTGCATTTCTAACCATTTCCCCAGTTTTTCTGATGCTGCTGGTCAGGGACCACATTTTGAGAACCACTGCTTTACTTTATGTTTGAATCTGTTATATGATCTCTAAAAGATATACTTTACTATAGGTCAAATTATGAAGCATCAGACTATTTAGTCAACATGTGCTTAAGAATAATCACAGAAAACTGATTATATTGAATGATTAATTATTAAAGACAAAACATGGGAATTTTTCCTGGACTTCTTAGTTCACTAATGAAATCATTCCCTGGCAATTTGATAACTGGGCATCATATTTAAAACTGAGTGGTACTCGGCTATAATTTTTTTTAAATACAATTTAGAGTTTAAAATCAAGAAGTATGGAAAGGCCAGGCACAGTGACTTACATATGTAATTCCAGCACTTTGGGAGGCCCAGGCAAGTGGCTCACTTGAAGCCAAGAGTTAGAGACCAGCTTGAGCAACATGGCAAGACCCCATCGCTTCAAAAAATTAAAAAATTAGCTGGATGTTGTGACATGTGCCTGTAGTCCCAGTTACTCAGAAGGCTGAGGAGGGAGGATCGCTTGAGCCCAGGAGGTAGAAGCTACAGCAAGCCAAGATCACATACATCACTGCACTCAAATATGAAAGACAGAGCAAGACCCTGTCTCGAAGAAAAGAACTACGAAAAAATCTACGAAGTTCAATACGCCTTACTTTCTACCTCCCAAACAGAACTAGACCCATACTCAGACAGACTGTTGGATGACATAAAATAGGGGCCAGAAAACATTCTGTGTAAAAGGCCAGATTATAAATATTTTAGGCTCTGTGGGCCATATGGTCTCGCACAACTACTAACTTATGTCAGAGCATAAAAAAAAAAACAGACAATATGTAAAACAAAAAAAAGTGTGGCTATGTTCCTATAAATCTTTCTTTATAAACACAGAAATTTGAATTTCATATGATTTTCATGTATGATAAAATATTCTTTTGAGGTTTTTTTCAACAATTTAAAAAATATAAAATCTATGCTTAAAAACAGGCCACATTTGGCCCACAGGCCAAAGTTTGCCAGAGAAAAGCTTACTGGGCATGGGAATCAAAGACATGAATTTACCACTCAACAGTCATGCCCTCTTAAGAAAGTTGCTTAAGCCTCTAGGAGCTTAGGTTTCTCTACATACACAATAGCAGTTATGAAACCATCTCATGTTGTGATGAGTAGGATTCAGCATATATAAGTATCTGGTCATCAGTAAAAGCTCTATAAAGTTAATTTCATCTATTATAACCTTAACTTCAATTGAAGTCAATTCAATGTCAATTCAGAAAGTGTCTAAAACTTGCAAGGTGCTAATCTAGCAGTGTAGGAAATACTGTGTAATGAAATCAAGTATTCCCTGCCCTTGTGGAGTTAACAATCTTATGGCATTACTATATTATTAACTGACTGCAATCTTAACAGTACCTTCTTCGACCCAGCTGGCACAGATGATCCCATCTTATAGCAACATCTATTCTGATTCGTTGGTCACCCTGAAGAGATGTGACCAAAGAAACACTGGTGAAATTACAGTCTCACTCAACTGTAATTTCACCGAAGAAAAGTTTGGAAAAAACCTGTTTTAGACATTCCATTCATACAGTTGTTCCACCTAGCTCTTACGTTTTAATTCTTCCAAAGTCAGGCTTTCATTTATTTACTGAGAAATATTTATTGAGCACCAATTATGTGCCAAGCCCTCATCTAAAAGCTGAAAATAGAGCTGTAAATAACACAGATGGAAGTTTCTGCCTTCATGGAACTTACATTCTAGTGTATTAGTATTGCTTTCTCTCTTTATATGCTTTGACAAAGTCAAGTATATTTAATAATTTAACTAAAATCTACTGACAGGTACTCCATGCAAAGCACCGTGCTGCTGAGACTAATGATACAGTTCTAAGACAGGGTGTTTGGCTTTAAAAACAACAATGACATTTTGAGATATACAGAAATTTACACATGCCTAGAGTTATCTAGACCAGGAGCCAGCAAACTCCAGCCCCTCAAATCAAATTCAGCCCACCATCTATTTTTGTAAATAAAGCTTTATGGAACACAGCCATACTGTGAATTTTATATGTAGTCATGTCTGCTTTCACACTACAAGAGGAGAGTTTAGTAGTTATAGCAGAGACCATATGGCCTGCACAGTCTAAAATATTTACAATCTGCCCCTTTACAGGAAGTGTGCTGACCGTTGGCACAGAGCAAAGAAAACATGAGAGGGTGTAATAGGAAGCTAGACAGATTAAAGGCCAAACCACAAAGGGCCTTTAATACTAATCTAAGAAGTTATATATCTATCCCAAGGGCTAAAGAAAATCAGAGGATTTTTAAGTAGAGAAGTAAATGATCAGAGTAGTACTTTAAGACCTGTAATTCTTTCTGACAACAGAAATGAAAAGAAATTAGAGGAAGAGGAAACAACTTGATAAGTAAATTGGGTCAGAAGTAATGAGGGTCTGAAGTATAAGGATGGCACTAGAAATGGGGAGGAGGAGGCATACTAAAGAAGAAGAATCAATAAGGCTTGAAGATCATGAGTTGAGAATTATCTAACATAAATCTCAAGTTTTGGCCTGGTGGAAATATTATACATCAAGATATGGGAATACATGAGAAGAAGCAGGTTTGAAGGAGGAAAATGATGAACACAGAATATAATAAGTAGGAGGTACTTGTGAGCTATCCAGGAAAAGATGTTCAGTAAGCGAGTGAATAAATAGCTCTGTGGCCTAGGAGTAACTTCTGGGATACAGACTTCAAAGATATTACATATGCATTCAAGTGGTTAAAAACCATTAGGTCTGGATAAGGCTGCCTATAAAAATATATAGAATAGGTAAGGGAAAAAAATATGGCCAAAAGATTCCATTAAAACACCATGAGAATTAATAACCAAGTTTAACGTAGGAGCGATATGCAGTTGACCCCTGAATACCACAGGGTTATGGGCGCCAGCCCCCAAGCAGGCTAAATCCACGTATAACTTTTGACTGCCCCAAAATTTAACTACTAATAGGCTAATGTTGACCCAAGCCTTATTGATAACAAAAACAGTCTATTAACACGTTTTATATTTATTACATACTATATTCTTACAGTAAAGTAAGCTAAAGAAATGAAAATATTAAGAAAAATCATAAGACTAAATACATTTACAGTACTGTACTGTATTTATCAATACTGTATGTTTACATAGTCTGTTTACAAGATCGATCATCTATCTGAAACGGTGCGCACCACAGCTGCAGATTCAACCTATGGCACATATCGAGCAATTCAACTTTTTCTTGTCATGTCATGACTTTTCCCTGCTTCCTGGGAGCACTTCCAGCATCACTAGTGACACTTCGTATGGGTCCCATGGCATTATTCAAGGTTTACAGTACTGCACTAAACACAATGAAAAATACATGAGAACCTCGAGAGATTACTTTTTACTATGATACGCAATTTCCCGGAGAGACTAACTGCTCAGTCAGCCTTCCATAGCCATGGGTTCTGCACACGTGGATTCAATCAACCACAGATGAAAAATATTCAGGAAAAAAAATGGATGGTTGCATCTGTACTGAACATGTATAGACTTTTTTTCTTGTCATTCTCTAAACAATACAGTATGACAACTATTTATAGAGCATTTACATTGGATGAGGTATTACAAGTAATCTAGAGATGATGTGAAATACACAGGAGGATGTGCATAGATTATATGCAAATACTATACCACTTCACATCAGGGACTTGAGCATTTGTGGATTTTGGTATGAACGAGGGGTCCTAGAACCAAGCCTCCACAGATACCAAGGAAGGACTGTGCAAAAATAAATTGTATTTCTATAGGCCAGGCGCAGTGGCTCATGCCTGTAATCCCAACACTTTGGGAAGCCAAGATGGGCAAATCACCAGAGGTTAGGAGTTCAAGACCAGCCTGGCCAACTTGGTGAACCGCTGTCTCTACTAAAAATACAAAAATTAGCTGGGCGTGGTGGTAGACACCTGTAATCCCAGCAACTCGAGAAGCTGAGGCAGGAGAATCACTTGAACCTGGAAGACAGATGTTGTAGTAAGCCGAGATCACGCCACTGCACTCCAGCCTGGGGAACAGAGTGAGATTCTGTCTCTAAATAAATAAATAAATAAACAAACAAACAAACTGTATTTCTATCTACTAACAGTGAACACTGAAAAAAGGTAACTAAGGTAGGAAATATATCTCAAACTTCAGACACTAGTGTACTTCTTTCAAATGATTTTTTGGCATATTAAAGGCATCATTTACATCATCTTATTTGTTCATTTATTTAAAGGTAGCACATAAAAGCTAAATAACTGTGCTTTATCATAACCACTACTCTCTGTGACACCACAGATTTTTTACACAAATTAAATTAAAAATATCTGTGCATGTAAAACGTAAAGCCATCATGCTGCCCTATTCGGGAGACACGTGGTGAATGGAAAAAGATAAAATAATACCAGAAATGGAGTGACTTCCTGGCTGCCAAGATGATGGTGGTGGTTCCTAACTGTGCTATGGGGTGCAAGATGCCCCACACAGGTTTTGCAAAGGCAGATGTTCTTGAGTAAATGTGATGATATAGATTGTGTGCCTGCACTTATTACATGTCCCGGTCCAAACTGGGGTCTGACTGGCATGTTGTAGGCTTCCAAGGAAGTCAGAATAAACACACATGCATACACATGCTCACTCCATGCAGACAGACAAGAGAAGATGGATATCTAGTTCTGCTACTTCTACACCTATGTCAACCATCAATCTTAGCTCCTTATGGGCCCAGTTTTTTAGGCAGCTATAATCAATGGAAGGGAGACGACAACCAAATGAAATTTATTGCTATCCCTCATTAGGGCAACTTCAAAGCAAGGAAGATATCCTAGTCATTATCCCATTGATCCTATTAAATCTCCCAGAGCTTAGCACAAGGATTTTTAACTGGAGGGAAGGACACCTGATCAAGCCTTTGAGGGTAGGACCTAGGTATGCATTTTTTTTTTTTTAATTCTCAACAGGTAATTCTGATGTCCATACCTTGTTAAGAGCCATTGGCCTGGCACAGAATGTCAACACAAGTACTAATGAATAAATTAACTTAAAGTTCTTGGACACTCTTGCCTGTTTCCTTCCCTCAACCCACAGCTGATGCTAAAGAACATCAGCTGAAGACTTAATTCCCTCTTGATCCTTAAGGTGGATTTAAGCAACTTCACTGCAAAAACACAATATATTCAGCATCTACCTATATGGCTTATTCCACATCTACCTTTTATCCAGATTTAAATGACCGTCCAGTTTCTGAAACCAAATTTCCAATTTCCATCCCAATACCAGCAATTTAATTTTTGAAGTCTTGCTCAAACTGGTTCTCCCAGGAGAAGTAAGTCTTGTCTCTGAAGCCGGCTGTTGCCTGCCAGGTATCCCTGACAATGAATCTTCCCACAACGCCTGCTGTTAAACTCTCCACCACAATTTTCCTCTGTGAAATGCTACACAGTAGTCTATACTGACCCTCCTTGGTGCTTGAAGAACTATGGTCTGTGCCCAGTACAGTGCCAGAAAAATGTGGTCCAGAAAGAGTAAATGACTTACTTTGAGATTACACAGCTAGAAAGTAGGACAACCAAGAACAGAATTCAGGGTTCCTGTCTCCTAATCTGGTACACACTCTATTAAAAAATATTTTTAAAATTTTCTATAGATATAGAACCAACCGTAGTAGTGGTGGCACAACTCTATACATTTAGTAAAAATCAATGAATTATATACTGGAACTCAGTGTCAAAGGGTCATCAAGGAATTTGAACATGAGTGGCTTTTCAAAAGTACAGCTTCTCCCAAGAAAGTAGGCATGTTCTCTGCCTTTTGACTTTGTTGAAATGTAAATTAGGGTCTAGAAGTAGTTACCTTCAAACACTAACTAACTTTTTGTAGCTATCAAGGAAATATTGGAAATACAACAAAATCAGATGTTGCTTATAAAAATTTTCAACAAAATTGAAAACAAAAATAGTAACAAAATCATAAAAATTAAAAAGTTATATACTACTGAAAGCAGTAAGTGCCACTTAAAAATCTATACATAAAGTCTTTGATCTGAACCTAACTCATTAAGTGTTAATTTGGGACTGTGTGATTCCCAGATAGGGTATAAACTCCTACAGGACAGGTACTACATTTGAATCTCCACCAGCAAGCACAGTACCCACCGTGAGCGAAAGGCTTAATGCATCTCCTCTAACAATGCAGAGATCAGAGAATCTTCTCAGCCAGAATTAGGCTATAATCTATGCTAAAACCTACAGAGCAAAGAGAACAATAAGAATAGAAAAAAAGATGGCAGCGAGGTGTTGGGGTAGGTTGAAGAAAGGAAGCAAGACTGGAATGAGATAGTCTGCGTGTTTAAGGAGGACAAAATACATTCATTAGGCTGTGAGTTAGGATATATAAAAAAGAAAATAGTCAAAATCCACATATTCATAGAGCTTATCCCAAAGCTTCTCAATTAATTTTTGTTTCATATCACCAAATTTACCACCTCAGTTTCTCTTCTTCAACAATACTCACAACATTAGGCAAAACGATGAATTTCATAAAATCCTGTTTGTATATTACCAATTTATCCAAATTCAACTCTGGCTGATTTACTTCACATTTATAAAATCTTTGTGGATGATAAACATCACAGGCCCACATTACTAGAATAACTGAAAATAAATAAAAATGTGATGAATATTTCAGCTTCTTTCATTTAAAAAAAAAGACCACATAATGGAAAATATAAACAACCTAGCAAAATTTTTGTCATGCACAACAGGCCACTTACACATACTCCTTGCTTTACAACAATCTTCATTCAGAAACAATAATGTAGTTATCCATCTCCAAACTGACTGCCACCAAGAGATGTAAATGATTGTACAACCAACAAAAGGTCCTCCTTCTGTGGTTTGATAATATATCAAACTTTCCAGATGTTCTTATTTAAATGGAGACTGCCCCTCAAAAATACCCTCAATTGCTTAAATCCTGAATCAAAAAGTAAACATCTTAAAAGTAATAAGTATAATCTGACTTAAAAGAAATTTATCCCATAATAATTATTCAGTGTGTAATCATTTCAATCCTACGGTCCCACTTACCTTCCTGAAATAATGCCAGGAAAAAAGAAATCAAATATTGACTTTTGTAACAAATCAAGAGAGTGGAGTAGTCAGTATGAAATAAACAATCAAACAAAAACAGTCCAGCATTAAGATACAAAATACCCTTCTTTTAAAAGGGACAAGAGAAAAAAAAAAAACACAGAAATGTGGGGTATGAAGAAGAAAACAAAATAGAAAAGGAGAAAAAAGGAAAAGTCAAAAGAAAGAAACATAAATTTTCTTTTCTACTCAAAAAATAAGAGTTACTTATTCAAGGTGTCCTCAGAGCCAGAGCTCATATACTATTTGCTGTGGGTTTTACAAAGGTATACAGTACATATTCCTTGCCTTCAAGTAGCTGATAGTCTAATTGGAGATATGGGATATGTGACCATCTGTTTGTACTACCATAACAAAATACCTGTGACTGAGTAATTTATGAAGAACAGAAACCTATTTTCTCACAGTTCTGAAGACTGGGAAGTTCAAGACCAAGGTGCAGTGAGGTTGGTTGTCTGGTGGGAGCTGCTCTCCACTTCTAAAATGGCACCTTGTTGCTGCATCTGCCAGAGGGGAGGAACACTGTGCCCTCACATGGCAGAAGGCAGAAAGACAACGCGTGGAGCCTCTTCTATCAGGGCCTTAAACGCACTCATGAGGGAGAAGTCCTAACGGCCTCATCATGTCTTAAAGCCCTCATGTCTTAATGCCGTCGCATTGGCCATTAAGTTTTAATACATGGATTTTGGAGGGCAGATGTTCAAACTATAGCAGGATATATTCATCAAAATAGAAAAAAATTAACAATAAAATGTGGTGTATTTAAACAGCGCCCAAACTGTGGTACAAAAACAGTATAGCAGTAACATATAAGATAATGAGTAGGTGCTTGTTACGTGTGGCGTGAACCAGTACCTGATCATCTAAGAGTCACCCAGCCTCTAGTATCTCCCTATGGAATCAACATTCCTCAAAATACAAATGATCATATTTCCTCAGCTCAAAAATTTGAGTCCCTTAAAGAATAAGCTGCCTCTTACCACTCCCAATTAATGGGCCTCAACCTGCCCTTCCCATGTCCTATCTCCCACCACCACTATCACCTCCCTTGCCCTCAGACACACACTCTACAGTATCAGCCAAGCTACACCACTTACAATTTCCCAAAACTACACTATGACTTCTTTTCCCTTGCCACTATTAACATTGTCACTTTATCTAGAATGTCCATCATATCCGGATTGTATCCATTCACCAAAGCAAGCCCACGTGCTACCTACCATGCTTCCCTGCTCCTTCAAGCAAGTAGTAGCTCCTTTATCTGGACCCCCACATCACTGTATCTGCATCCCTTTAAGGCGCTTATTTTCTAGCTTGCATTCTAGTTTACATATATAGATTTTTAATATATTTTTATATATATGTACATTTACATATACAATATGAATGTTTATATTATTTATATTATGTTTATATAATATATATTTTTAATATATATGAAATATATTTTTATATATTATATATGTTTAGATATGTAAATGTATATATATACATATATACACACACACACACATAGAACATGCAGTGAAAGAAATGTATTTTAGACATCAGTAAAATATATATGCATACACTGGCCGGGCGTGGTGGCTCACACCTGTAATCCCAACACTTTGGGAGGCTGAGGCGGGAGGATGACCTGAGGTCAGGAGTTCAAGACCAGCATGGCCAACACTGTGAAACCCAGTCTCTACAAAAATACAAAAATTAGCCGGACCTGATGGCAAGAGCCTGTAATCCCAGCTACTCAGGAGGCTAAGGCAGAAGAATCACTTGAGCTGGGGAGGCAGAGGTTGCAGTGAGCTGAGATCTTGCCATTGCACTTTAGCCTGGGCAACAGAGTGAGACTCCATCTCAAAAAAAAAAAAATATATATATATATATATATGTGTGTATATATATATACACACACACATATATATTTCCTATCTAAGAATATGAGATCTTAGGTCAGAATTGCTCTCCATCTTTACATCTCCCCCAACCGCTAACATGGTGCATTCCACAAAGCTAGCCGCAATAAATAAGAGAGTCATGGAAAGCAGGCCAGATAAAGATAGAATGGACTTTCCACCTCATCAATCTTCCTAATACCAACAACTTCTGTAACTGAACACATACGCTTTTTAAGAAACATATTCGAAAAGTATATATATATGTGCTGAGGAAGTGAGGTATTAATAACTACACTTTAAAACAACAAAATTGGCAGGGCGTGGTGGCTCATGCCTGTAATCCCAGCACTTTGGGAGGCTGAGGCAGGTAGATTGCTTGAGCTCAGGAATGCAAGATCAGCCTGAGCAACATGGTGAAACCCTATCTCTCCAAAATCAACAGCCAAGTGTGGTGGTGTGCACCTGTAGTCCCAGCTACTCGAGAGGCTCAAGTGGGAGGATCGCTTGAGCCCAGGAGGTCGAGGCTGCAGTAAGCCAAAATCACGCACTGGACTCCAGCGCGGGTGACAGAGTGAGACCCTCTCTCAAATAAATAAATAAAATAAAACCAAAAAATCAAGCTGAACTAAACCCAAAAAGACTTTAAAGGAAGAAACCTCACTTAAACAATAAAACGGGATCCCAAAGGAAATGTTAACATAAACAAGAGGTCACCCTCAACAGAAATCAAACTAGCAATCAGAGTGCCATGGGTACTGTATATGCAGTATCAAGGCTTGGCAAAATTTCACAACAAAGAACTGAGCATGTCACAGCAAAACAAAGTCTATCCCATTTCTAACAGCAAAATTTAAATTCAAGACAATGTGAAGCTAGGTGCAGAAAATACAAGATCTAACATATTAACCATTGAAAGGCCAGTCTTTATATAAGAATTTGACAAAAAATCAAAATGGCATGATTTTATAATTGTAATATGTTTATTTTATAATCGAAAGTGTTTTGTTAAAATAAATTGTGTAATTATTTGCAGCATATATGATTACATTCAATATTATAAAATGTAAAGACCTCTAACTTCACATATCAACATTCAACTATATCCAAAATAAAACACAAGTCTATTATTTCAGATTACCTACTGTAGTTAATATTTTTAAATTTTTAAATTTTTTCAGTTAGCTAGATTTTTGAAACTGATTATCAAACTTCTTAAGGATAAACAACTAACTCTTAAACACAGGAGCCACACATATCAAAAGGAGTAAGTTAACAGTATTATATTTATTCAATACTAAATAATAACTTCACCTATCATTTCCTGAATACCTACTATGTGCTGAATATTTAACCCTCAAAACACCCTGGGGCTCACTAAATACTCATTTCAACTCCCTTTTCTCTTTCCTTAAGAAAGATTTTTAAAAGAACTAAAGAGAACTTCTATAAATGAAAAATATAACAATAAAATCTAAAATCACAATAACTAATTTAAAAAGGAGATGCAGCACAAAAGAATTAGTAAAATAGGAAATATATCAGCAAAAATTAACCAGAATATAGATTTTTCAAAATAAAATCATATGTATCAATAATTTACCAAAACAATAATTTACAAAAATAATTTACAATTTATAAAAGATCTCAAAAAGCATTTCAAACTACTTTCTTCAATAAGTACATGTATTTATACAGAAAAAATTAAACTAATATTTTACTTCTCTTTTTTCCACAAAAACAAAGGAGGGGAAACAGGAGAGAGTGAAAAAAATTACAGGTCATTCTAAGAGACCCTACATCTAGATAACAGAAATTCCAGAGAATTAAAAGAAAAAAAAATGAAGAGGAAATAATCCAAGAAATAATTCAAAGAATTTTCCCAAAAGTGAGATTACTGACTATCTAAAGTGAAGGGCCAGCACTGTGGATATTAATAAACCTACGCCAAGTCATAACATGGTCAAATTTCAGAACGCCAGGGGAAAAAAAAAGAAAATCTTAGATCTCAGAGAGGAAGACGACAAAAAGCAGAGAAAGAAAGAAAGAAACATGGATTTTATATTACAATGACATTCTCAAGATAAACACTACTAGAAGCTAGAAGAAAATAGAACAATACCTTCAAAATTTAATGGAAAAAGTATTTCCATCCTACAATTCTATCCGGTCAAATGATCAATTAAGCACATGAAGATAAAATAAAGCCATTTTCAGATATGCAGGGCTTCAAAAAAATATTATTTCCCATGTACTGTTTCTCAGGAAGTTACAGGAGGTTGTGACCCACCAAAACAGTTAAATAAACCAAGAAAGAAAAAAACAAATCTAAGGAACAGGTCACGCAACCAAAGAGAAATAGGGAAGCCATCTTCTGGATAACGGTGAAGTGAAATTCCAAGACAATAGCTATATGGCAGGTGTCAAATCCAAACTGGAGTAGATCAGAAAGTTCTGAGATCTCCATCCATGGCCGTACCACCCTGAATGCACCTGATCTCGCATGATCTCAGAAGAAAGTTCTGAGACCTCTTCAAGATGATCAAACAGCACACCTAAAAGGAGGTTTACACTATGGGGGTGAGTTTAGGGGAAAGTCTGTGATAAGTACATTTCAAAACGTGGCAAATTAAAAAGAATTATTAACTACAAGGAGAATAAATAAGTAAGAAGTTACCAGGTGGGTCTTACTATAGCATACGAGG